>NC_000002.12:84444542-84749926 GCF_000001405.40 Homo sapiens
GGACCGGGGCGAAATTAAAATTGCTAATGAAGTTTCCAGCACGCATTGCATTGATAATATCTTATCAGGAGACAGGCTTTGAGAGCAGACAACCGGTCTGACCAAAAATTATTAGGCGGGAATTTTCTCATCCTAATAAGCCTGGGAGCACTACGGGAGACTGGGGCTTATTTCATCCCTACAGCTGCAACCACAAAAGATGGCCGCCCCCCGAAGTGGCCATTTTAGAGGCCTACCCTCAGGGATGCATTCTCTTTCTCAGGGATGTTCCTTGCTGAGAAAAAGAATTCAGAGATATTTCTCCCATTTGCTTTTGAAAAAATATGGCTCTGTTCCGCCCGGCTCACCGGTGGTCAGAGTTTAAGGTTATCTCTCTTGTTCCCTGAACATTGCTGTTATCCTGTTCCTTTTTCATGGTGCCCAGATTTCATATTGTTCAAACACACATGCTCTACAAACAATTTGTGCAGTTAATGCAATCATCACAGGGTCCTGAGGCGACATACATCCTCCTCAGCTCACAAAGATGATGGGACTAAGAGATTAAAGTAAAGACAGGCATAGGAAATCACAAGGATATTGATTGGGGAAGTGATAAGTGTCCATGAAATCATCACAATTTATGTTCAGAGATTGCAGTAAAGACAGGCGTAAGAAATTATAAAAGTATTAATTTGGGGAACTAATAAATGTCTATGAAATCTTCACAATTTATGTTCTTCTGCCGTGGCTTCAGCCGGTCCCTCCGTTCAGGGTTCCTGACTTCCCGCAACACCTTAGACTTCTCTTTTTCATCTAAATTCATGCCCTTGGTGATGTCATCCCTTATCATGGCAATACATATCATCCATATGGTGACCCCTCCCACATACACAAAGACACATACACCCCACATATCTAAGCCTTGAACTCCATATTCACATTGTCAACTGCCTACCTGACACCTCCACTTTGAGAACTAGCAGGCATCTCAAACTCAACATGTCCAAAACTGAGTTCCCAATCACTCCCCTCCATCTACCCCATCTCAGTTAAAGACAACTTCACGCCTTACAGATAATCAGACCAAAAATACTGAAGCCATCCTTGATTATTCTCTTTCTCATATGTCCCATATTAGATCCATTAGTAGAGCTTATTTCTCTATCTTCAAAGTATAATTGACAACTCCTCCCCCTTCTACTGCTATCACCTTGGTCTAAGTCACTTCAACTCTTGACGGGTTATTGCCCTTGCTCCCCTTCAATCTAATCCCCACAGCAGCCCGAGTGATCTGGTCAAAACATAATGAAGATCACGGCACTCCTCTAATCAAACACTCTGATTGTCTTAGATTTCAGTCAAGTAAAAGCCAAACTCCATATACTGGCCTACAAGTCAATTTACAAGCTGTCTCCCCACATCAGAATCCCGTACCTGCCTACTTATTACACTCCAGCCACGCTGGCCTTGTGGCTTCCACACAGCAGGCACATGCCTGCCTCATGGCCTCACTGTGCCCTCTGCATGGAATATCCTTCCCTAAGATATCCACTTGGTTCACTCCTACATCTCCTTAACATCTTAGTTCAGAGATCAGACTTCCCCTGACCACCTGATATAAAATCACCCTCTCCTCCATCCTAACCACCAGGACTACACACACTCCTCCTTTCCCCGGCTTATTTCTTCCATAGCAATTATACTTCATAACATACCACATAATATACTCATTGATTTTGTTGATATATTCCCCACCAACCACTAAAATGTAAATTCCATGAAGACAGTGATTTATGTCCACTTTGTTCATTGCAATATGACACCTAAATCAATATACAGTAGGCATTCAATAAATAGCTGTTGAAAAATGAACGAATCTATGTGATCATTTCAAGGACCTTCAAAATGTGGTCCCAACTATTCACGTTCTGTTAAAGGAATAAAAATCAGGGCCTTAAGAAGGACCTCAGAAATTTTCTGATTCAAATTCTTTTTCAAAATAGGAAACTTGGCCCCAAGCATGTTAATTAATTTGTCTAAAGTCAGGGGCAGGGTTTTGAAAGAACCACAGGCCAGTGCTCTCTCTCTCTTAAAGCAGTGCTATTCAAAGTATAGTTTGGAGACTCTTGCTGCTCTGCAATGAGATAAGAGGAAAAAGAAAAACAACAAAAAAAGGAAGGAAGGAAGGGAGAGAGGGAGGGGGAAAATCTAATTTTTAAAAAAGTAAAAATGTTTGCAATTTAAAAAAGTAAAAATGTTTGTATGACATTGCTACAGCTTTTACTGTATTTTATAAAAATATTGATCTACATTAGACTGAAAATTAAAAACAAGCACCTACACTGGTTTTTTGCTACAGACACTGAGAAGCACTGCCCTAGACTACACTGCCAGGTAAATTCAGAAGTACCAAATTTTAATCCTAAAGTAGTGCTAAACAGGAATAACACATCTATTCAAAATAAGCTTATGTTTCTTAGTTTTACCATCATCACCAGCCAGTACAATGTTAGGAACAGTAATCATTTTAGCAGCTTATAAACCCAGTAAAAGAAACAAGATGACACCCACTGGAAAACTGCATTGCTGAAACATACTCTAAAAATGCAAGGATTTTTAATTCATATGTGGAACAATGTGTGTACTGAGAAAACAAACTAATGAGACAATATGCAGATTTACTGTGGAAGTAAGTTCTAAACTTCAGACCTCACCATTATCTCTAAAATGAATCTGAATCAACAAACCTGAGGCAATTAACACTCTCACTTACTTTAAAAACAACAAAAAAAAGGAGAGTGAATGAGAAACAATGTTAACTGCAGGTAACTGAAAAACGCTGTAACTACCTCTGGATTTAAATATTTAGGCAAACTATCACCTTATTTAGAATATAGAGACAGTTCTGAATAGTGCTTACACCATGGGCAATGGTTCTTACAAAAAAGCTCACAGCTTAAAATGTCACATAATCATATAATATTTGGCAAACAGAAAAAATTATATATAATAAATTTATGTGGAGAATTTGGGTTAATCAAACATTTGATTATATGCTAATCATATTAATATATAACAAAAAACAGGCTGGATATAACATCAACTGGGAAGGGGATAATAGAATGCACTTCAAATCTTGGATGAAGATCTACTTTCCTTAGAATGTATATAAGGGAAGTGGCATACATAAGATTATTTAGCTATCAGAATAAACATTTTTTTTTGAGACAGGGTCTCACTCTGTCACCCAAGCTGGAGTAAGTGGTTCAATCATGACTCACTGCAGCCTCAACCTCCTGGACTCAAGTGATCCTTCCACCTCAGCCTCCTGAGTAGCTGGGACCACAGGCATGCACCACCACACCCAGCTAATTTTTCTGTTTTTTTTGTAGAGATGGAATCCCACCATGTTGCCCAGGCTGGTCTCAAACTCCTGGGTTCTAGCAATCCTGCTGCTCTGGCTCCCTAAAGTGCTAGGATTACAGGTGTGGGCTACCACATCCTGCCATTTTTACAAGGAACAAAGTTTCATGGTTTTATGGGTGTTTCATTTTTTGATATTGGATTTTTTTTTTTACAGTAATAGAGGAATGGAAGAAGAAAAAGAAGGTCCACTGCAACACATTCGTGTGCTCAGTTATTTCAGAAAAAAAAAAAAACAAAAAACAAAAAACAAAAAGCAAAAGGACCATTTTACATGAAACAATCTGCTAACTGCAGTCTATAGGATTTGGCCCACTACCTGGTTTTGTAAATTAAGTTTTATTGGAACGCACCCAGGCCCATTCATTGACAATATTTTCTATGGCTGCTTTTGCTGTTAAAATACTTTTGAGTAGTTGTAACACAGACTGTATGACCCACTAAACCTAATATGTTTACAATCTGGCCTTTTGCAGAATATGTTTACTGACCTCTGCTCTAGATTACCAAAATACTGAAGAATTGACATGACAATTCTTTTAATTACAGAAAAATCATTAACCTTAAATTACCAAAAAAAAAAAAAAAAAAAAAAAATTGACTGCTTTTATCTTGCCATATCTCCTTTAATAATAAAAAAAGGGATACTTTGGGTTAAGACACGTGGTTATACTCTAATTGATTTGATAGTATTCCCTTTTAAAAAAATTCTGTGCATCTACTATGGTGGAAGAATAAATCTGTTCCAATGTTTTAAAGTTCAATTTAGCAGTAGCTATTAAAATTGTAAATACACAGACCATATAACATCCAATTTTACTTTTAGGTATCTATTTTATAGAAATATGGATTGTATATATATTATATGCTGGATAACGTTATATAAATATATATAATTCTATATAATAAATACTACAAAACACATATTATATAAATATGTTTGCATGCACAAGAAAAATATCTGAAAGGATACATGCCAACTTGTTAACAGAAGGAGTTCCTGGGGAGTAGAAAGGTAGGAAAAAGGAAAGAAGATTCTTATGTGGCATTTTATTATAGAATTGCATCACAGATATATTTATTTACACTTACACAAAATCTATGAAAAGAACAGGAAAGAGTATGAGAGAATGAATATAAATAAATGACAACAAATTAAAACACTTCAGGCAATTCTGCCTGCTAGTCCCAGGCCATCATCCCAGAGAAAGTATAAGATGAAAAAAGTCAGTGGGCGGGTTCTTCCCTTGTCTCAGTATCCATGAGCCTCTCTGGGTTTGAGCATTTCTCCACACTGAATATGGATTCTGTGTTTAACAATACGGTTTTTTGTCTGTTTGTACAAAACCTAAACACAAGAATCTAGTTGACCTAGTGCTTAGTCAAAGAAACGGTGATCTCTTTCAACACTGGAGGAAAATCATTAGTGTTGTATTTGCTGAAAGAAAGTGTATGGGCCTCCAAAACAATATACTCCTAGTAAGCATACAATATACTCCTTTGCAAGGTAAGTTTAAACACAATTTTTATGTTATAGGCTGACAATAGCAACTAACCTCCTCCTGAGATACAACCCCATTGCTGTACAGTATATTTTTCTGCAACAATCATGTGTTATTTTTGAGATATTAAAAATAAAAAAATAGTTAATTTGTTATATCTCTAGTCTACATTTGAAAATAAAAATCTAGATATACATACCTGTTTGCCAGTGAAACCCTGGCAAATAATCTTTGTATTTTTATCAACATAGAGATGTTGCCGAGAAGCTGTGTAGGAACAATGCCGAATTCCATTCTGCGGCACTAAGAGGTTAAAAAAAAAAAAAAAAAAAAAAAAAGACACATTATAATTTTTCTAAACTTTTGAACAATAATTCAACTTGATCACAAAAAAAAAATTCTTTAATGCACGCGCTATCCTGTGATCACGGCAAACCTAAATGCCACCTTTTAAATAAGACACAGTGACCACAGAAATAAGAAAAACAGACAAGACATTGTTCCATTCTCCAGGATCCTCTCTTTATCAAGAACCACGATCTTGTAGTTTTTTCCTGAACTGAGGGAAAAAAAAGCAATGTTTATCATTTTTATTTCCTAGAAAAAAACTGGGGCTCAAAGATAAATGGTTAAAATTAAATCCAGGGACTGAAAACAAAATGTCACCCCTATTAACAATGTTTACTAAACAGCCACGTTTCCCCACTTGACCCAAATTTTTAAAGCCTAATACCTTTAAATAGGTAAGCTAAGAGGCAAACTTTGTCAGGAATACAAGTAAAAATCACTCAGCAACTCATTCTCTAGTAAGAACAACATATTAAATGTTAAGTCATAGGATAAAACTTATCTAAAATATAATACAAAATCACTTAATCTCTTCTGATATGAACTCATGTATAAAAGACACAGGGAAAATAAAACAAATAGGAAAGTAGACAAGACAGGAAAAAGCTTGTTAGGAAAAAAAAAAAAAAAAAACCCTAGGTTATTGCAGCAACCTACCTAAAAGAGAAATTGAGAAATCTAAATAGTTACTACAACCAGCTCCCCACATTTCAAAACACAGTAGGAGGAACATAGATGACTTAAAATTTTGGGCTACCTTCTAAATGTCCATTAATACTAACAACCTGACTTCTCTGTGGCCCATCCCTGGCCCTTTCAAAGTAGCCAGGCCTTCTACCTATCATTGTGGTAGCCCATGAAGCTAGCCCAAGAAAAGAACATAAGGAGTAATCTCTATTGAACAACAAAAAAAGAACACCTGTCACATATTTGCCCAGAGTCCACTCCATGCTTTCTGCCTTAAATCACTGCCTCATACCCACCTAAGTCCTGACCTCACATTACATAACTGAAAGAGCAACAACATCTGCTTCTGGAGGAAGTATATGGAATCCCTTACACCTCTAGGGAGAAGACAGGCCCAGATTTAGCCCTTACCACCTGGATAATATTTGGTACACACAAAGAACTGCTACGTAACAGGCAGCTTTCTCATACTAGACTGTGCTCAACAAGGGGCCATGGGCTTTGCAGGTCAAGTTCTGGCACATCAGTCACAGCTAAGCATCTGACTCTAGGCCAGTGGACACAGCAGGGATTTATGGCCTGAGACCCTGTCCCTACTGAGCTGTGCAGCACAGCCCACCCTTGCCAGTGCTGCATTCGAGACCCATTCTTGCCCTTGGCTTCCACTTCTCCCAGCTGAACACCTACAACCATGGTATTTGTGTAGAAGCTACACCCTTTCCTACCCTGCTACAATTTCTGACTAGTGGAATTGGCTTTACCAGTCCCTCCCATTGCATCTTCAACAAATGCTCATATCATATCATATCATATCATACCATATGTTTTCAGACCAGAAGGTAGAAGATTTGATTATAAGATCAGATGTTATGATCAGGATATCTGGAGTCCCTACTTGTTAACATAAAATACTTTTTGTAGGTAAAGTTTGGTTCTGCACAAGTACTCTTATACTCACTAACTTAACAAAGATCAGACAATTCACTTCTCCTTCCACAGGAGCAGAAGTCACCCTGAGAAAAGGCAGGTCTGTCTGTGTCCCTAAAGCACAGCTCCAATAACAGACCAACGAAGATCTCTGCTTTCTCGTAGTAACTCCAGATCTCCTGGATCAATTCTATGGAGCTCAAGATTTTACAACATCAGATCTTTGGTGCTCATAAAAAGTGTATCAGAAGTGTGATAAACAGCAGCTTACCTCCCAATCCCCTAGCCTTTTAGTGTTACTCAGCCTGTGCAATGCCCCTGAGAGCCTGCAGCATCTAATTAACTAAATCTTGGGAAACCTCTAATGCACAGGTGTAGATGTGTGTGCGCTCATGCATGTGTGATCTCCCCATCTACACACCAGGCCTGGGCTCATACAGACCCACTTCTAGATAAGCTGGAACTAACAGACTATTATCGTCTTACAGGCAAATCCAAGAAATGTATTCAATGGCAAGGAAGTGAAATTCCTGATCACATTCCATCCTGACAATAAACCTGTATGATGCCAGACAAGGTTATCATCTGGTACTGAAATGTGAGTTCGTTCATTGATTCAATCAACATTTGAGGAGCACCCATACCAAGCCATAATGTCAGGTGTCAAGGATAAAGTGATGAATGACAGTGTCTCAGCCCTCAAATAATTCACAATCTATCTGAACTCATATAAAAGTGGGCCATAACTGCGTGGTGTGTGAAGTACTATAATAAAAAAAAAAAAAAGCCTTGGGCATTTGGGGTGGATAAACTCCCCACACCTATTCAAGGTAGAGAAGTCTATGAATGTGTAAGAGGTGGGGAGGGTGACAAAGCCACCAAATTACTACAGTAAGTGACTTCCTAAAGTGAAATTTAGAACACAAGGCATACATTGGTGGCCAAACCATCTTGCAAATATCTCTTACCTTTCAATTAAAGATTTAATGTCCTCAACTTTCTGAGAATTTCACTTACATTGATCCATATAAATTAACATTTAAATAAAACATTACACAGTCAAGAATTCCTATATCTTCACACGATATACATGATTTATGAGTATACTGGGGGACTTTAAAAGGGATCTGAGATTAAGAAGAATAGAAGCTACAAACGCTTTCATGTGGGTATACAATAAACACCATCACACACTACATTACTGAGTGCACACATATTCTTACTCTTTTCATCATGTTATTTTTAAGTGAAATTATCTAAGCTTAAATTTATTTCAAGACTATTTCAAGTACCATCTAAATACTTTTCCCACTGCTAACTGTAAACTCCATGAGTGTCAGGACCATGTCTTACTCATCTTGTCTCCTATGGTATATGGTCAGTGCCTTACACACAGTAGGTCTATGGGAAACATTTCACTGAATTCCAGGACAAGAAACAGGGTCTCCAAAAGAAACACTTCTACCAAGCTAAACACCATAAGGTTCGTCTCTTTTTCGGTGAGTTGGAAAAAGTCAATCTTGAACTCCCACGTATCAGCAAAGAGGGAAAAGAACCCTATATCTATTTTTGTACATATAAAGATCATAGGTTTCCCTAAAATTCATATAGAGACTGCATGGAAGTTCGGCCCTAAAATGCTTCTGGCGGTCCCCAAAGCTACATTAATCTAGTACAAACGCCATGCTGACATTTTTTTAAATAAATAAAACCCAAAAGCAATAATACAAATTGAATCTTTACCTACATGAAAAAAGCAAGCATTCAGACAGAGTGAAACACACCATAGGCAGAGTTAAAGGCAATGACAGACCAGGGGAGTGTTTTCCTAACATTTAACAGACAAGGAATTAACGTGAGCAACATGAAGAGCCAACAAAAAGTGGAGCCCAAAGCCTAAGAGAAAAACTGATAAAGGCCATGAACAAGAAACACAATGGATGACAAACTGCAAATCCATATATGATGAGATGCCTAGCTTTACTAATAAGAAGAAAATAAGTATTATTATTATTTTTTTTGAGACGTTGTTTTACTCTGCAGCCCAGGCTGGAGTGCAGTGGCACGATCCCGGCTCACTGCAACCTCCACCTCTCGGGTTCAAGCAATTCTCCTGCCTCAGCCTCCTGAGTATCTGGGACTATAGGCCCACATCACTACACCCAGCTAATTTTTTTGTACTTTTAGTAGAGACGGGGTTTCACCATGTTGGCCAGGCTGGTCTCAAACTCCTGACCTCAAGTGATCCGCCTGCCTTGGCCTCCCAAAGTGCTGGGATTACAGGCAGGAGCCACCATGCCCAGCCGAAAATAAGTATTTTAAATTAAATATTAGAGCAGGAAAGGTGAGGTTGGCCACCAGGAAAAATTTCTGATGGCGAATGCTGTAGTTGCCACATCCTAGGCCACCTCCTTCTTTCCAGATTCTTAGAAATTGTCCAGCTTAACCTTGGGACTGCGTCCCAGGAGCAGCTGAGAACATCATCGCAGGAATCAGACAGGCCTGGTCTTGAGTTTATGCTCTGCCTTCCAGCAGCCATGTAACCCAGAGCATACCTTTTGATCTCCCTTAGCCTTAGTCTTCCCATCTAGAAGTGGAATAACAGCTGCCCCTGGGAGGCTGTGATATTAATATGAAATTACTCCTTAAATTGGCACCAGGTAGCACAGTCTCTGGTACACTCCCAAAACTGGGTTTACAACCCTACATGAACACAAAGGCAAATCTATCCCTAAAAAGAGAGAAAAAATAGTTCATATTTTAAAATCAAATAAGTCTAGCCAAAAATGTTTTCTACATGTCCTTGTGTACATCTTATATGTTTATTTATAAACATACTAATCCATGTCTGCATATAATGTGCAGTATGCACAAATATACCTCTAAGTTTTTAACATATAATACATTTGTAAAGGCGCAGCCCTCACTGTAAAACACGGACAATAATAGTATCTCCTTCATAGGCTGATGTGAGAATTAAATGAGTTAGTAATATATAAAGCATTTAAAACAGATACAGCAAGTGTTATATCCCTAAGAGCTTTTTATTAGCGTTATTATTACCGATGCAGAATGAGCAGACCAAACTGCTTTGAGATGTTGACTGTGACAGGCTATCTGTCAGGTGCTAGGGATTCACAGGTGAACAAGACAGGCTCAGGCCCTACCCACATGAAGTTTCCTGCCCTGTAAAAGAGCTAAACATTGCACAAAAAAAAACAAAACTACCAACAGTACAAACTGTAATAAAGACAATGAAGGAAAGAGGCTGAGTAATCTGAGAGAGATGTGTTTTCAACAGGGGTGATAGATTTGTACCTGTCAGCCACATACTGGTCCTCTTTACCACAGATAGTAACACATCATTTATAAAATGGCTGGTGGGATGAATGATGCAATCTATGGTCAAAGAGCACCTGCCCAGGAGAGACTCAAACCATGGGCCTTGTATGACCAGTACCATGCTCCTAACCAATAACCCAAGGCTCTATTCATGAAATACTCAATACTCCTTCAACTCACCTCTCAAACTGTGTCCCTGGTAAACATTTATTCGTGCACGTACTCATGAATTTAACAAATGTACACTTATTAACCATATGTATTATGCATATGTAAGACACAGGCTACTGCAGTCTACACCTACAGGACCTTATAATACAGCAGAGTAGCTAGCAGCCACTTACCCCTAAACTCCAAACAACCCACTATTCAAATGTTAAATTATATATTCATTTAATATTGACTTACGAGTGAAGTTTAATAAGCTGTAAGTACCATATTTCATCAAATATAAAACACCATTGATTTTTAAGAAGTACTATTAATTACTGGTAAAAAAGAAAAAATGAGGCGGGCGGATCACCTGAGGTCAGGAGTTTGAGACCAGCCTGACCAACATGGAGAAACCCCGTCTCTACTAAAAATACAAAATTAGCCGGACATGGTGGCACATGCCTGTAATCCCAGCTAGTCGGGAGGCTGAGGCAGGAGAATGGCTTGAGCCCAGGAGGCAGAGGATGCGGTGAGCTGAGATTGTGCCATTGCACTCCAGCCTGAGCAATAAGAGCAAAACTCTGTCTCAAAAAAAACATATATATCAGTAATAAGACACAACCTAATGTAAGAAATGTTATAATGTAAAAAAATGTGGGTCTATCACGCCTGTAATCCCAGCACTTTGGGAGGCTGAGGTGGGCGGATCACAATGTCAGGAGATCGAGACCATCCTGGCTAACACAGTGAAACCCCATCTCTACTAAAAATACAAAAAAATTAGCCAGGTGTGGTGGCGGGTGCCTGTAGTCCCAGCTACTGGGGAGGCTGAGGCAGGAGAACGGCTTGAACCTGGGAGGCGGAGCTTGCAGTGAGCAGAGATCACGCCACTGCACTCCAGCCTGGGCGACAGAGCAAGACTCCGTCTCAAAACAAAAAAAAAAAAAAAAAATGTGGGTCTATGGTATGCCAGTCCCCTGATGAAATGAAATTGTTGCCCTGTACTTAAATTATTTTTAATATTCCCAATTACATTTCTATGGAGAAACAAATTTGATGTCAGAAAATCAAATCACTTTCTCATGGCTACACTGGTACATCTGAATCAAGGCTATTTTGTATTTCTGAAATAAAGATTTGGTTATTACATGCAATGGCAACAGATGCTAATATCCACAACATCACTGTTGAGGATCTCATTTTCCAAACTACACTTTAAATGCATCTCTGATTCGAAAAACAGGCCTACGCACTTGGCAAACACGGGGAAAAGGAAGGCAACACCTTTGAGCAGGATAGTCACCTTCTCAACACATCACTAAGACTGCCAAAAAAAAATCAGAGCTTCGAAAAAAGCTTAAGTTATCACATGGTACATGCTGGCGGAAAGGATACTGCAGAGTCAGAAGACCTGGGTGCTAGTATCACTTCTGATACTCACTGGAAACTTTTGGGATTTCCTCATCTGCCGTACAAAGGTATGGGACCAGTTGGGTTTTAAGGTTTACTTTCTGGCATTAAAATACCAAAATTCTGAGGTTCAAAAATACTGGCTTTTATTCCCTATTTATTCTAAAAGATTCAAGTTACAGAAACTACTGACCAGTTTTAAAAAGACCTTGCATTACTTTATGCTTCTCTTAAAACTTCACTATTTCAACTTCAAGGGTGCTTATGAAATCCTTAAACTTTCTCATGGAAGAACTCTTCCTCATTTTTCATTGTATTTTCTCTCTCCACTTCAACTGGATCCTTTTCCTTTTTTCTCTTTTTCTGAGACAGAGTCTCACTCTGTTGCCCAGGCTGGAGTACAGTGGCACGATCTCAGCTCACTGCAAGCTCCACCTCCCGGGTTCAAGCAATTCTCCTGCCTTAGCCTCCTGAGTAGCTGGGATTACAGGCGCCTGCCACCACACCTGGCTAATTTTTGTATTTTTAGTAGAGACGGGGTTTCACCATCTTGGCCAGGCTGGTCTTGAACTCCTGACCTTGTGATCTACCCGCCTCAGCCTCCCAAAGTGCTGGGATTACAGGCATGAGCCACCGTGCCAGGCCACTTTTCCTTTTTTCATAAGCTATAAAACAGGGCTCCGGAAGGCATCTACCAGTGTTCACTTGAGTTTTTTCTGTGGCTGTTAACTCTAATCAATATTGCAACACTATGACCTTCAGCAAGTAATGTACCATAAGTTGAAACTTAACAGAGGGAACAAAATTCCCTAACATCTGTAGCTCTATTAGCTTCACAGACTAAATAATTTCTGGTCCCTTTTTAAAAAAAAAGTTTGCAAGGTGATGTTGTAGCTGCTATTTTTCTAGTGGGAGTGAAAATGGGCTCGGAAATGTGGCATGGGAAAGAGGAGTTAGAGTTTTGTGAATTTAGAGGTGTTTACACATTAAGCATTGTTGTCTGTAACCCCTCTTAATATAGAATACATCTTGGTTTAAATCTCAGACCCGTAATAACAAGTTAATCACATGACTTGAATAATTCAAGCCCACTCCAGTAACAAAACTAAACCAGATGGTCACTCTAGGGCCAAATGATCCTGGGAGTCTAGGAAGAACACACTTCCAGTTCTGTGGGAAGAGGATTGAGAGGACTGCTAAGGGTGGAGTAAGGAACTAGATCTTTTAGACACTCTTCCTTTATTCTCTAGATTTTTCTAGACAGCAGACCTACCTGAGGCTAGGATCTTTCAGAACCTCAGACTAGCAAGACCACAGAAGCGAAAGACACAGGTGGGCAACTTCTTCCTAGGGTTTCCCACCACAGTGGCTGTGCTGCACATCTGATCTTCTACATTCTAACCCACTATCTATTCAAATTAAGCTGGTTTAAAACCATATCCAATATACTTCATTCTTGGTGCTCAAACTTTATTGACCTGAGTGATTACTGGGTATAATGAATTCTTTTTGTCCTTCTGCCTACAACACTCTCAAGAATCTCCAGAAAGCTTTACCAAACAAACCATTTCATACTTGCTAACGTTATCTAGCCAGACCTTTGTCCTCAAGTGATTGGCAACTAAGTGTTAGCTATTGAGTGCACACTCATCAATGTACACTTTCAGAATGTAATCTTCTCAAGAAAGGAATTAAGTCTCATAAAATATTCAGTACAAGCAGAATTAAGAGCAAAGCGGAAAAAGAAAACTAACTTTGAGTGTTTGTTACATACGAGATGCTTTATATAAATTGCTCCACTTATTCTGCAGTGAACCCAGATCATCCTGTACATCATCATTGCTAAAATGCACATTTTTTTTCACTTTTTAAAAAACCAGGATACATGTGACAACCACTGGTGTGTCACAGTTTTAATAAGCAATCGTTCTTCATTGTTAGTGGTAAACAAAATAATGGTCCACCTTACAAGTGATGGTGCTTCAGGCCCCTTAAAATGTGTTAATATTTTCATGTGATTGGAAACACTGAAAAACAGATTAAGTGTCCAGGGTTATTACACAGACTGAAAAGGGACTAGCCAGACTTCAAACCCTGATGTGGCTGATTCCAAAGTTTCTTTCTACTATAACCTACCTGACAAGCACAGAGACTTTGAATATGGCAAGAATTTTCCATAGTCAGCGTGTCTCAAAGACTAGCAACCTTGGGTACTAAGTTTTCGGGAACGGATGTGTCCACAAATCGCCTGGTGGAGACACTGCAAATAAGCTGGTTTAGGTCCCAGCCAACCATAAGCTTCTAGTAGTCTATGCGGCTATGCCGACCCCACTCCGTGTGCAGAAACCATCTTTCCCTGACATACAATCCTGCAGAGGGGGAATTCGAAGTGCAGGACCTTTCCGTACTAGGGACAGCCTCATCCCCCAACTTCCTACTGAGACACTCTTCCTCTACCTCTCAACCCAGACCCTTACCTTCCCCACCAAGTTCACCTTGGACCTCTTCATCCCCAACTCCAAATAAGGCCAGTCTAGACGCCACCCCCATCCTGTCATTTGTCACCGCGGGGCCGAGAGCAAGCTCCCAAATTTGCAGGGCTCCCGGACCCGAATCCTGGCTCAGCCACCCAATATCTCCATCTGCCAGCGGCCTAAGTCATGCCCCCCGCCCCACGTATCCAGCAAAGCTCCTTCCACCGTAGGGGTCCCCGACTCGAAGCCGGAATCCCAAGCGGCTCCCAGGCCCCCGCCGAGGTCCAGCCCTGAGGGCCCAGCCGCGGCCTGGGCCAGGAGGTTGGGTCCGGCGGGGCCAATAACCCGCGGGCGCCAGGAAGACAGTACTGGCTGGACTCACGGAGGAAGCTGCGCGACAGGAGACGGGCGGCGGCGAGGCCGCTGCTGCCGGAGACCATGGTAGCGATGTCAGCGGCAGCGGCAAGGGTTGCGGTCATACGCCAATGACACTCCCAGGCCCCCGGGGACCTCCCAGGGGCAGAGGCCGGAGGAGGCAGAGGGTGGCCACAGCAGTCGCCTGAACAAATTTCCCTTTACAGAGGATTCTTCACGAAACAGCGGGAATGGCAGGTGAAGACAAAGAGGCATCCTATCGGAGAGGCAGATAATAACTCGGCTCCTTCCTAGAAATGTGGGTTTGATTAACATTAATTATAACAGCAGCTGAGGGAAAACCCCACGCGAGACTGGCCAGCGCGTGGCATTGTGGGCAATGTAGTCTGACGGCCGCGACTGGTTCGTAGCTTTTGAGTGAGGCGGCGGGAAGGGAGCGAGGGAAGAGCGGCAGTGAGACCGGGGAGACAAGGGACTTGAAGACTAGGAGGGAAGAAACAGCGAGGTGAGGTGCGAAGAGCAGTGCCAGAACTTTGTATCCCAGGCCCATCTCCTTCCCCCTTCGTTTTCCTCGTTTGCTATTAGAGAGAATAATATTTCTCACCGCGTACCTGTGCCTGGACCCGGAAGGGTTGCCGCTGGGGACGGGAATTCGAACTGGCACTGGTGGCCTGTGAAGGGAAAGATGTGATGAGAAAGACCAAAACCTATCTTACTGACAGTTAACTTCTTGGAATGTGAATTTTTTTAGTTAAATAATCATGCAGTCTTTGACTAGCACTAAGTGCATGAGTGTTTATTCCCTGAGGATCCTAAGGGCTGAAATTCGAGGTCAAATGTGACTTTGCTCCCTGATTGGACAAACAGTTCCCTCTTCTGTAACAGCTTTAGAAGGAACCTCAGAGAGTCCCAGAGTCAAAAGGTAAACAAGAGATGAAGTAATCTGCGTCTCTGCCGAAAATCGTGCTCCTGAGATTCCTCATCAGAATTGTCAATAAAATTGCAATCCTAATTTACTTAGGTAGTCATTATAATTGGCACTGAGCTGTGGGATGGATGAGTGGGATTACCCCAGGAGATTGCCCAATACTTCCTTTATGATCCAAATATTGTCATTAACAGGTTGGACTTCACTGCAAATAAACTCCTCCCTCATGGATCATGTTCTTGTGATAACTAAATTCCTCAGAGTTAAATAGTATCAGTGGTTTCCAGATATATCCATTATAACAAAATGGACATTTTTATGGCAAATAAATAGAAAATCCCTTGCTATTTTAAATAGCAAAATTATTCCTGAGCTGTCGCTTGATAAGTTATATGTTTAGTTTCATTTAATTGATAAAATGCATGATGACAAAAAATATAATTTCAGTACACTTTTAATGAAAATTTGTATTTCCATGAAGACGGGGATTTTTGTTTGTTTTGTATCCTGGAGTATCCCCAGCACCTAGAACAATGCCTTACACAAATAACTCATCGTTGAATTGAATTGATATATATAGGAGAAATAGTAGTATATAGATTATTTTTTGGATCCACAGGCAATGTTTGATGGACTTAGGATATTTCAACCTCTTGTAATAACTGCACCCCTGTGGCAGACCAGGTCTCACTAACGCAGGCCTCCATAACAATGTTTCAGTGCTGACTGAGTGGTTAAGTTAAATATTAAAAGCCAGTGCCCTTATACAAAGGCTGAGATGTAACAGAAACCCACCAAGGGTTTTGCCTAGGCCTTTCCTGGGCCTTGAAGCATGACAAATTAATGAAGAAATTCTTAACAGGACCCATTTAGGATTAAACAAGTTTTATTGGAGGTCCGAAGAAACTCCCCAGGCCTCCACAAACAAGTTTATTGGAGGTCTGAAAGAACTCTCCAAACCTCTGTGATTTAGCAGGGGATAAGATAAGGGTAATCACCCCAGCACCTAAACCCATGTAGATTAAGTAAATTTATTGAGGCTTCAGAGGATGGTCTTCAGTACTCAGACCTTAGTTATAGATTAAAAGAAGTTAATCACTTATGTCTTTAGATAAATGCACACTTACAAGTAAACATATAGCTTAGAAGGTATATAAGCTCTGGAAAACTGTAATTTTAAGTTGGTCTGATGATAATTTCCAGGCCTTCTCCCTGTAATCGGTTGCAGAAATAAAAACTCTCTTCCTCCCCAGTTCATCTACATCTCATTATTGGGCCACAAAAAATAGCAGCCCAACCCTCAGTTTGGTCCGGGAACACCCCTACCTCAATTCTGTAGCTCATAGGTAGGGGACAACCACACTAGTCAATACCACACCACTCATCTTTGTATGCAGATTGAGTTTGGAAATCAGACAGGTCTGGGTTCAAATTCCAACTCTGCCACTGGCTACATGACCTCTGGGTTTCAGGTTTTATTACTGAGATGGGTATGAAACTCCCTATTTCATAAGAGTGTTGTGAACATTTAATACATTTAGTATATAAAGCTACTGTCACCTTGTACCAAATAGTCGATAATGGTAGTTATTATCATTAAAGAACTGTCTTTTTTACATGGCAGGATCATGTTTTAAAGGTTTTAACTAAAGTGAGTAACCAAATTAGAATAGGATATTTCTATTTGTCTCAAAACTTTGTCTAAAGCTCTAAAGCTGAAGACAACAAGCCTTACCTCCACATCCATAAGGAGGGCAGTCTAGGAGCTACTTCTCTCTGAAGTTTGATAGGAAGTGGCCAAACTTGTCTTTGAATTCTCACCCCCACATCCCAGCCGGCTCAGATAAGCAAAAGACTAGAATTCACTGTATGAGGGTGTGAAAGGAAAATAAATCTCGGGACCCCAAAGTCATCAAGCCAAGAGAAAAGTCCAGCTGGGAACTGCCTGAGGCAAACCTACCTCCCATTTTATTCCTAAATAATATAGCTACAAAGATAATAAGCTACATACCTCCCTCACAATTTGCCCACAGGAAATTCCTGGTGGATAAAGGACAGGCAGAACTCAGTCATCACTCTGAGGCTCACCTGAGACAGATGCATATCTGATTGCTCCCTCTGCCCTATTGTTTATGTAAAAATGCAGATTCACTGAGCCAGACTAAATTGTGTATTCAGTGGAAGGCTGATCAAGGACTCAAAAGAATGCAACCTTTTGTCTCTTATCTACTTCTAACCAGGAAGTCCCTGCCTTACTGGATGGACCAATGTACATCTTACAAATATTGATTGATATGTCATGCCTTCCTAAAATGTATAAAAGCAAGCTGTACCCCCAACCACCTTGGGCACCTGTCATCCAGACTTCCTGAGTCACGAGTGCATCCTTAACCTTGGCAAAATAAATTTTCTAAATTGACTGAGACCTGTCTCAGATATTTTGGATTAACAAGGGGACTGATGCTTCTGAGTCTACAGTTGGCAGTTTAATGTTCTTGTTTCCTTCCACTCCCAGCCAAGTTTGTGGGTGAGGGCTTCTTACCAAAACATTACTGGTATTAAATCTCAGGATAAATCCCTATAGAACTGCAGAAATTCATGAGTCCACCTTAGTTAGCTAGATAGGTCTTGGTCAGAGAATGCTTGAGGAAACCTGAATTTGGAAGGCAGGCCTAACTGTTAAGGCTATGTCTGCCTCCTTCCTAGAGAATTGCAATGGCAGGAAGCTAGCTGGAGCAGTCCTCATCAGCAGGCAGGGCAATATTTGGTGTATCAAGATGTGTTAATATTCCTGTGAGTAAAATGCATACCAAGAAAGAAAGTTGAACCTCCCCCTGAGAGACATGCCATCCTCTGAGGCAAGGAACCCTAGCATAAAAGACTGTAGAAAACCCCCAGAGGGAGGAGGAAGGCAGGAAGAGTTACAAGGAGGCCAGCCAAAGAGTACCTAACTCACGTCAGGATACTGTGCAGGGGAGTGGGGGAGGAGTTTCTGAAAAATCCATGAAGTGCTCAGAAAGAGCCAGCATTCCAAAGAGAGAATAGAACATCAGGAGAGAACCACAAATAATACCATCTAAGAGATTGTATCCAAACCAAACCCCACTACTGCAGGAACATACAGCAAGGGTGTGAAGGGAGGAGGAGTAAAAGAAGAGGGGGAGACAGACCTCAGCCCCTTCCTTCCCAGCTGCAGGTTGTGGAGCCACAGATCATGCCAGACCTGGGAGGGAGGGAGGAGCTTTAAATTAGGTATAAGTTTGAAGTTTTTAATTGGATTGGATGGAACCTTTAGTTGTTGGTTTTTGAAATAGGTAATTTATTACCGTGGATGAAAATTCAAAAGGTACAATAAGTATTAAAATATAAGCAGTGAGAAATCTTCCTTCTAGTCTCCCCACCACCTGGTTCTCCCAAAGGGAAGCCAGTACTATCCAGTTTCTTGTGTATCCTTCCAGAGCGTTTTTTGTGTGTGTATTCAAGCATATACATATATCCCTTCCCCCTACCCCACCCTTCCATGTTCTCACTAATGTGTGAATAAACAGGGACAATTAGAGATATGTGCGGAGTCAGGAGACTCAGCAGTCTGGGTGGCTGGTGTGTAGAGTAGCAGCTCCAGGGGGTATCTTTTCTGCAACCAAGAATCTTGACAAGACTGAGCTAAGTAATGAGTTTCAATCTGTTGGAGCAAAGTCTCTCATTTGCATTTTTTTCATTTGCATTGTTTTTAACGAAATAAATTCATTATAGTCCCTCATGTGTGGAATCCAGTCAGAGCAGAAGGGAGAAGAGTTGACCAAGATTTGGAGTTTTCTGCCTATTCGATAAATTTTGGCTCCTTATGTTGAAAAGCAATTATAGTTCTATATCTTACCTTGATTTTTTGTGACCCCCCATTCTACCAGAATGTCAGATTCTTTTCCTTTCACCAGAGTTTTGTCTAAATTCCTGGAGTGATGCTAGGGTGAGGTGGATGTAGTGTAAGGAGTACTTTGTCTTCTGTCTGTGCTGGCATCTCCTGATACATACATCCTTCTATCTGGTCCTTAGCTGTGGTCCAAGCTACTGCTGCATCATCATTTACTCCTACTTTGAAGGCCTGTTTTGCTCTGATTCTGTCAGCTCTCTCTGGGCTCTTCTCAGGCATATGAGAACCTTTCAGCCTCCGTGGGCTACAAGAAACATCCCCGCTCGCCAAAACATACCATTTAGCTGCATCTTGCCACCAGTTTGCATCCTTGCTCTGACATGCACTCTTGCTGTCTTGCTCTGTCTCTCCTACTCCCCCAGAAGTTCCAGCTTTGTGGACTTGTTACAAGACAGTGGTCCTGATCCAGATCCCAAGAGAGGGTTCTTAGATCTCATGCAAGAAAGAATTCAGGGCAAGTCCACAGGGCAAAGTGAAAGCAAGTTTATTAAGAAAGTAAAGGAATAAAAGAATGGCTACTCCATAAACACAGCAGCCCCGAGGGCTGCTGGTTGCCCATTTTTATAGTTATTTCTTCATGATATGCTAAACAAGGGGTAGATTATTCATATCTCCCCTTTTTAGACCATATAGGGTAACTTCCTGATGTTGCCATGGCATTTGTAAACTGTCATGGCACTGGTGGGAGTGTAGCAGTGAGAATGACCAGAGGTCACTCTGGTCACCATTTTGGTTTTGGTGGGTTTTGGCTAGCTCCTTTACTGCAAACTGTTTGATCAGCAAGGCCTTTATGACCTGTATTTTGTGCTGACCTCCTATCTCATCCTGTAACTTAGAATGCCTTAAGTGTCTGGGAATGCAGCACAGTAGGATTCAGCCTCATTTTACCCAGCTCTTATTTAAGATGGAATTGCTCTGGTTCACACGCCTCTGACATTTCCCCCCTCCCTTTTATAAGAGAACCCTTAATTCTAAGGGTTGTAGAGGGGCAAAGATCCATATTCTCTAACTTCTTCAGGCTGAATGAGGCAATGATATTCCTGCCTAACTGTGAGGGTCTCTTGCATTCAAGGTAGAGAGGAGCTCAGTCAGAAGGCCTCGTTATGGTAAGGTCCATTCATAACGCTTGAGTTTTGACAAAAAGTGATATCTGGAAGATTAGTAAGTGTTTAATTTAAGAAAACATTCAGGCTGGGCGTGGTGGCTAACGCCTGTAATCCCAGCACTTTGGGAGGCTGAGGTGAGCAGATCACGAGGTCAGGAGATCGAGACCATCCTGGCTAACACAGTGAAACCTCGTCTCTACTAAAAATACAAAAAATTAGCCGGGTGTGGTGGCAGGCACCTGTAGTCCCAGCTACTTGGGAGACTGAGGCAGGAGAATGGGGTGAACCCGGGAGGCGGAGCTTGCAGTGAGCCAAGATTGCACCACTGCACTCCAGCCTGGGCGACAGAGTGAGACTCTGTCTCAAAACAAAAAGAAAAAAAAAAGAAAACATTCAGTAAGCTTGTCCTGTATTCCCACACAAAGAGTATAACAGCAATATATTCCACAAGGGTAAACAAGTAAAGTTATTCCAAGAAAACTAAATTAGAAAGCTTTCCATGGACTGGGCAATTGAATTGTTGGAACCAAGCTGATACGGGGTTGCTAGATGATTCCAATATGTGCCCAGGATTAGAGTATTGATCCAAATTTTTACATTACCCAACCCTCTTGTTTCTTCTGAGTAGCAGTCAGAGATTACTAGTTGTTTCACAGGAATAAGCAGGGTTAGCCTAAATTGCAAAGACAAACTTAAAAACAATTGATAAGACTAGAATCTAATAATTCCAATTTTTACTAAAGACAAAGCATGATAAGACCAATTTGTTTTATTATACTTGGCCTGATTATTTGTATAAAGTACAGCAAGAATAATTATTTTTCATGTAAGCTCTTTTTAAGTTGGCTTTGATGGAACTCTCTTCCATAGAACAATCTCAGATAAGACTTTTTTAAAGCCGAGCCCTGCCATAGGTTTTTATCCTCAAATACCTATGAGTTGGGTAAATTTCTCTCCTTTTGAGGTCCCAAGGTAACCTGGGGCTCCTGGACCTGTGAGAACGTGGCATTCTTTACCTACCGTTATTTACTTAACTTCTTTACTTACAGGCCAGAAACCCTGTACAGGGATTGTGTAGGCAAGGTATGAGGCCAGTTCCCCAAAGGGCTTTTATTGGCTCTACAAGTCAAGTTTGATTCCTTAAAGGAAAGCACACCATTCCAGTCAAAGCCTTGGTAAAATAATCAATTTCTCCAATTGTGTCCTGTTACAAAAGAAAACAGATTCTTATTGCACTTATGCAAATAACTATATTGCTATAAATTAAGAATACTCTCAGTTTCCAAATTTTGGAGAAATCAGGTAGAGAGAAACAAATATGCTGCAAATTTTGTTCACAGTAGCTTACTCTACTCAATTGCTAAAACCTGTAAATAGCTCAAAAAAAAGTTTCCTCGATTCTGAAAAACAAAACAAAGGATCAGCAATATTTTAAGCAAAGTTAAAAAGATTAGGCTTCTTCAGCTTAGTTCATGTAGTTAACTTCTGTTTAATAGTTATGAACATTATAGCTCTCTATGAGAGTTCTGAAAATGTTTTCCTCTATTCTGATGTCACAGTCTCCACTTATCAGAAAACCTGCATTTAAGAATACCAGTTAGAGTTCTATAATTGATTATAAACCAACTTCTAAAGAGGATTAAAACAAGGTAACAATCATTTGTGGATGACAAAACGTCTTAGGATAGCCACAGTTAAAAACATGATTGACAAAGAAATTTGGTTACCTCTGTGGCATACAATAATTCAAAACAACAATTATAATCATTACTGATAATGTACACTAAGTCATATCAAAATTATAGGAGTTTCCCATAGTTTTGGAACACATATACCAATAACACATTTATAGAAATACAGCCCAAAGAAAACCAAACACCGTTTTTACAAATTTTTGTTAAAGAGCAGATCATAAGCAGGTTTTTGCTCTAAGAAAAACCTGGTTTGCATTTATTCCAATGTTCAGTTTACAGAAAAACTGAATACCCCTTTAACTTTAGCCAGTGTGTTCACGCAGAATCTCTTTTACAATTAATGTTTCACAAAACTTTTACAACTTGCTTAAACCTTCAGATTTATCCTAACTTAAAACAATCCTTTAATCCTTTAATCTAGGCAAGAAAAATCCACATTCCCATGCCTTCTTACAATCTTTTTTTTACCATAAACACATTTTACTTTTCTTACACATCTTGCATATAAAACTGTTTCTTCAAGAGTCTCAATTACATGTTACAGTGTTAACGCTTAGCAACTTTTATTTTTGATGAAAACCTTGACAAGTTCAAGATTTTAATTATGTGCCAGGTGTGGAGCCTAGCCTAGGAGACAACAGGCAGAAGTGCAGATAAGAGCTGACTCCAGCATAGCTAGGAGGCTAACTCCACATGTCCCAAGGCCGTACCTTACTTAAGCAAGCAAGTTGTAGAGTGAGAGTCATAGTGGCATTTTATGAGGCATTTAGGAGGTCTAACAACCTTTGAATTGTACAACATTTCTTGCATAAACCCTTTCATGGCTTACACAGACCATCTGAGACATTCTTGGACTTTCTGACTTGCCCTAAACATCCCTCCTTTTAAACAACCAGTCATTTTACTTTAGGACAAGAATTTAACATATGAGATCCTTTCTTATATAAAATCTCTCTATTTATAATCTTTGTGTAGCTAGGGGACATGGCTAATTCCACATGTCCCCAGGCCTTATCTAGAATCTAATGGCTTTAAGGTAGGTAAATTGAACAATTTTTAAAAGTTAAAGAGGTGGTTTATGACCTTAAAGCATTTAGCAAACTTAATCTGACCTGCATAATTTAGACTAAATGTTTTTCTTTTATCAATAATTTTTAATAAATTGAACACTTTTTAAAAGTTAAAGAGGTGGTTTATATGACCTTAAAGCATTTAGCAAACTTAATATCTGACCTACATAATTTAGACTAAATGTTTTTATTTTATCAATAGTTTTTAAAGCTGTTTTTATTTCCCAAAGATTACTAAAGTTACCTGAAGTAAAAAGCGTTAGTTTTTATTTAACTTTCAAAATATTTGATTTAAGTGCTTATTTTTATTTAAGGCAATTAATTAGAGTTTTTTTATATAAACATTACACACAACACATATATAGCTACACACAAAGACAGAAGAAGATTACTACAGTAGTTGTAAGATTTTTCATTTGCCGGTTTTTAAGTTTCTTAATTGGATTACTAGCTTTAGGGTGGAGCCCTTGGAAGAACAGGGCCAGGAAAGGGTCTGTGGTGCCTCCTGTTTACCCCAAGGAGTCCAGGCTGTTAGAGCTTGAATATCTGTTTTTAACTAAACTGATTTTAACCATAGCACTCTTTAATAAAGCCCTTTTAGAATTTCTTATGCCAAATGACTGATATTTCTGGCTTTTGAACTTTACCAAAGATAACCTCCCAGGTGCTTAGAGAAAAGAAAATTTAAGACAGTACAGGGAGGAGAAGAGAATAGACAAGGTCACGCATATATTAAATCAGAGATTACTTACTTCGTAGGTGGGGAATCAAACCTGGATTGCCACTGTGAAAGTGCAAAACCTTGGCTAGTGAGCTACAGCATGGGGCAGTCTCCATTTCCTTTCCTAGAAGAAGTCTAGGGTCATTAATTTTGAGTTTTCAAAGACTTTTAACTATTTAATATGATTTTTTAGAGCTAACTATGACATGAACCCTAAAATTTCTGTTCCCTGGAAGGCAGAGACCAAGAGAAAGTACCGCCACATGATCAAAAGGTCAAGCTTCCAAGGACATATAATGAGGTGGAGACTTCATCCGGTTTTTTTGTTTGTTTCAGGGACCTGCAGCCAAGTTTGTTACTGACCAGCTTGTTGGGTTGTCTTGAAAAGTGGGCTTACAGGTGTTCTAAGCCCATGTTTTATCCTAAAGTACCCCTTGACACAGAAAAACAAATTCATAGCACAAAATATACCAGCTTAAGACTAGCCTTAGAATTCTTTTTCTCATTGATCAAAATTTTACAGAGGAGATAAACACTGATTTTTTTTCCCATTCGTTCAACCGTTTGCACAGAGAGAGAGAAGCCAGAAATCTGACTGGTAAGAAATTCTTACCCTTTTGCCAGCATGCCAGGTTTCTGGGTTCTCTTTCCCTGAGTGGCCCTAGTGATCCAGCTTGTTGCACCATCACCCTGGGGGCCAAGCCACATCATAAAGGAAAAAATTTTTTTTTTCTGGCCAAAGCAAAATACATGTGATAAAACATAGTCATTAGCCACTCTGCTTAGCACCCATTATCAAACTGGCAAGGCTTAAATTTGCCCCTAGATGGGCCCCGTCATCTTTAATCCAACCTCTGACGTGGAGTTTCAACATGTGGTCTCTGGGCAAGATGGTTGCCCTGAGTAACAGAAAATATAGGAAAAGAAAAGTAGAGAAGTAAAGTATTGCCTGTGGCAGCGTGGGGAAGGTGAAGCACTTAGGGAGGCCAGAGAAAAGACCCCCTCATTGCAGCCAACAATGAAAAGTACAGTTGGCCGCTTGTCGGTAACAAAGGGATCTTTTCCAGCAGTCCCATCAGCTCTCAAATTTCTCTTTTTAGGGAGGAAAAAGCTCCCCATGCCCCACAATCCTGTACCTGCCTAACCCTGTAACCCACAGCCAACAGCAAAGCATGCAAGGCAGATTATTCCAAAGAGAATAGCATTTAACATCCTATAGTGCCAAACCTGTACTTAGCCAAGAGGGACTTTACCAAATGGGGCCTCTAACCCCCTAAATCTTAGAAAGGACTCTAACCCTCATAAGTTGGGCCTTTAACCCAACGTTGGTCAAGCATCCTTGCCTTTTATGAAGAGGGGCCTCTAACCCACTCTGTCTTAAGGAGAGACATTAACTCTCCTAAGTTGGGCCTCTAACCCAATCCCATTCTTTACCTGAGTATATGCACTCCACTTACCCAAAGTCAGCCAGTCGGTGCATGCAGATGATTTTCCTATGAGTCGGGGGTCTCTTCAGTATCATCCCTTCTGTGGTTCGCCAGAAATATGTTACAGGACACCAACACTTACCCAAAGGTAGCCATTGGGTCAGGGTTTCTGCACTATAGTCCCCTATGGGCTGCCAGAAATATGTTACAGGACAAAGGTCCCAATCCAGACCCCAAGAGAGGGTTCTTGGATCTTGCACACAAAATAATTCAGAGCGAGTCCACAGTGCAAAGTGAAAGCAAGTTTATTAAGAAAGTAAAGGAATAAAAGAATGGCTACTCCACAGACAGAGCAGCCCTGAGAGCTGCTGGTTGCCCATTTTTATGGTCATTTCTTGATGATATGCTCATCAAAGCTTGGGTTATTCCTGATTCCCCTTTTTAGACCATGTGGGGTAATGTCCTGACATCACCATGGCATTTGTAAATTGTCATGGTGCTGGTGAGAGTATAGCAGTGAGGACAACCAGAGTGACCTCTGGTCAGCTGGTTTTGGTATGTTTGGGCCAGCTCCTTTACTGCAACTTGTTTTATGAGCAAAGTCTTTATGACCTGTATTTTGTGCTGACCTCGTATCTCATCCTGTGACTTAGAATGCCTTAACCATCTGGGAATGCAGCCCAGTAGGTTTCAGCCTCATTTTACCCAGCTCCTGTTTGTTGGGGTGATCACACCCAACACCAGGTCATGGGGGCGACGAAGTCCGGTGGAGTCAAAGGATTGAGAAAAAGACAGTTTGAGAGAGAAAGTGGGACCAGGGGGCCATCGCAATTGTGGAGGCTGCAAAGGCCCCGAGCTCTGGGAGCCATGCTATTTATTGGTAATCCAACAAAGAAACAGCTGATGAGAATGTGGGGGTCAAAAGGGCAGGCACATGATCTACAGCTGTGACAGTTTAGCATTTATATGGAACATGTTCTGCTACTTGAGATAATGGGCATACAATTGATCTAGGAGCCTGGGAGGGCTAGAAGCAAGGAGCCAGCAAGTCTAGACACATTCCAGAGGACATTATGTCAGACATGCAAGCCCTGCCTCAGCTTTTTTCCCAACACTCAGCTTTTTCCCAACATGCTCCCCTTCTCTTTTTTGTAAAGGAGAAGGTATCATTATTACTATCATTATTACTAGCTATCATTATTACTAGCATAAAATGTGGCCTCTTTTAACTGAGCAAGGCAATTGCAGGCTGTGCAGCCCTTAATTGCTGCTCAGTGCTCCAGCTTCATTTTTCTTAGCCCTTATTCAAAATGGAGTCGCTCTGGTTTGAATGTTTCGCACATATCTCCCCTTTCCCTTTTACAAGAGGACCCTTAATCCTAGGAGTTGCAGAAGGATGAAGGTCCATTTTCTGTAACTTCTTCATGCTGAATAGGGGCGATGATATTCCTGCCTAACTATTAGGGTCTCTTGTATTCAGGGTAGAGAGGAGCTCAGTCAGAAAGCATTGGTCCATTAAGCATTGTGACTCTGGTCGGTCCTCATTCCATCCTCGCATTCAGATTCAACTGGCTCATACAGGGGTAACCCCATCCATGGTTGGATCCATGGGTCCCTCCAGTCTCCCGTTCCATGGTCGTACACATCTTGAGGGCATCCACGTGGTTCGTTCATCTCCTGCAAAAACACAAGCATACCCTTACCCCCACGTTAGTAAATCTACTGAAACAGAAGCAAAAATTTTTGTGGCTGTAGCCAAGAGGCCACTGATAATGAGAAACAGACCCCTTCTAACAGAAGGCACAGAGAAAGCAAATCAAGGCTTCTCAAACCTTCAATTCACACTGTACAGGTGGGTCCACTAGATGCTGTGGCTCATGATAGATCTTCAGATGTTTGGTGGGCACCCACACAGGCACCTCATGGTCACCTGGAGAGACACAAGCAAATCCTCTTCCCCATATAATTCTTTCCTCTTTCCCAGCTCTTAGTATGTGCATCCCTCCACCATATATCTTGTCCAGCCTTTTTATTTTCCTTTTGTCCTGTCAGGTGTTGTTTTGCTGCAGTTATGGGTTGATCTTTTTGTAAATTTAAAAAATGTAATGTTAATAAAGCTAGATGCAATTGCATATGCAGTGTTTTATGTTCCTGGTCTCCTGCCTTCTGCTTGTGTATTTGAGTTTTGAAAGTATGATTAGCTCTTTCCACTATTGCCTGTCCTTGTGGGTTATATGGATTACCCATAGTATGGGCAATATTCCGTTGTTGAAAGAAGGTAGCCATGGCTTTACTACACTATCCTGGCCATTATCAGTTTTGATTTTTTTTCTGGGATTCCCAAAACACAAAAGCAAGATAAAAGATGTCTTTTAACATGAGCTGTAAGCCTCCCCTGTTTGACATGTGGCCCAGATAAAATGTGAATAGGTATCTACTGAAACATGAACAGAGGACAATTTTCCAAAAGCAAGAATATGTGTTACATCCATCTGCCGAGGGAATTTGGAGATAAACCTCTAGGGTTAACTCCTGTTCCTTGATGTGGCAAATGCAGGACTTGGCAGGCAGAACAGTGTTGCACAATTTCTTTAGCTTGTTTCCATGATAGATCATATCTTTTCCTAAGGCCTGCAGCTTTAAGATGGGTTAAAGAATGAAATGTTTGTGCATCAGCAAAAGCTGCAGACACCAATGCATCCGCCCTTTGATTAAGTTTAGTTAAAGGGCCAAGGAGGTTAGTATGTGCTCTCATGTGAGTGATATAGAAAGGTGAATGCCTTTGTTGTACTGCTTGCTGTAAAGAATGAAATAAAAGATTAAGTTGTTCATCAGTCACATTTCGAATTAAGGCACATTTAATATTTTGTGTGGCTTGCACTACATAGGCTGAATCGGAAACAATGTTTACTGGCTGTTTAAAAGTTAACACTGTTATCACAGCCATAAGTTCAGCCCTTTGAGCAGAAGCAAAGTCAGTTTGCAAAACTTGTTGAGGTCCTGCAAATGAGGCTTTTCCATTACTAGATCCATCAGTAAAAAGAGTAACGGCCCCTTTGGATAGGGGCTTTTTGAGTAATAGAAGGCAAAATCCAGGATGTTAATTTTAGAAACTGAAATATCTTAGATTTAGGATAATGATTACCAAGAATGCTGACAAAAACTGCCAAATTAATTTACCATTCTTGGGAATTAACATAGGCTTGTTGAATTTGTTGTTTAGTTAATGGAACTATAATCTGATTTGGATCATATCCCATTAGCTTTGTTGTGCGCAGTCTTGCTTGTCCTACTAGCACAGCAATTTGGTCTAAGTACAGAGTGAACGTTTTAGTCGTATTGAGAGGTAGAAAAAGCCACTCAACCTGATCATCCTGTTGAACTATAACTCCTGTAGGCAAATGCTTAGTAGGAAAAACTAAAAACTGTAATGGTTGTATTGGATTAATTCATTCTACTTGTGCTTACTGAATTTTTTCTTCAATTAATTGAAGTTCCTCCAATGCTTCTTTGGACAGGGAGCGTTTACTGTTAAGGTTAGAATCACCTCGTAAAGTAGAAAAGAGGT
Source organism: Homo sapiens (assembly GCF_000001405.40). Classification (NCBI taxonomy): domain Eukaryota; kingdom Metazoa; phylum Chordata; class Mammalia; order Primates; family Hominidae; genus Homo; species Homo sapiens. The sequence goes on from NC_000002.12 coordinate 84,473,611, forward strand.
GAGACATAGCATAGGTAGGAATGCCTAAAGTTGGATGAATCCAATTAATGTCTCCTAATAATTTTTGGAAATCATTTAAGGTTTCTAAATTATCTCTTTGAATTTGAACCTTTTGAGGCTTAATAGCACTTTGTTCTACCTTCATTCCTAGATATTGAAAGGGGTAGAAGTTTGGATTTTATCGGGGGCTATAATTAACCCTGTCATATCTACAGCCTTTTCTAACTGTTTGTAGCACAACATCAATTCTTCCCTAGTTTCAGCTGCACACAGAATATCATCCATGTAGTGGATGATATAACATTTTTTAAACTGTTCTCTAACTTGCTTAATAGCTTTCCTGACATAAGTTTGGCAAATAGTCAGACTATTTAGCATGCCTTGGGGTAGTACTTTCCAATGGTATCTATTTGCTGGTTCTTTATTATTTATGGCGGGAACAGTAAAAGCAAATTTTTCATAATCTTGGGCAGCTAAAGGAATGGTAAAAAAGCAATCCTTTAGATCTATCACTATGAGAGGCCAGTATTTTGGGATAATTGTTGGGGAGGGTAACCCTGGTTGTAGTGCACCCATGTGTTGAATTACAGCATTAACAGCCCTTAAATCTGTTAACGTTCTCCATTTCCCTAATTTTTTCTTAATGACAAATACAGGAGAATTCCAAGGGGAGCAAGTAGGCTCTATATGACCCTTTTGCAATTGTTTCTGCACCAGCTCTTTTAAAGCATCCAGTTTTTCCTGTTTCAGTGGCCATTGCTCTACCCAAACCGGTTTGGCAGTTAGCGAAACAAGAGGAATGGGAGCCAGAGGCTCAACAATGGCTGCTTCTAAAAATGACACCCCAATCCGGTCCAATCTGTTTGTCCTATTAACTCTAAAGGTTCTGATTGGCCATTTTTATCTTTTCCTAGTCCTTTTCCTGGGTTATATCCCATATTTCTCATCATTTGTCTACTATTACTACTATATTGATCCATAGGAATAGATATTTCAGCATCCCATTGTGTTGCAATAAGTCTTTACCCCATAAATTAACAGGAATAGATGAAATGATAGGCTGAATTGTGCCTTCGTGACCATCCGACCCTTGACATGGTAAAATCAAGGAACTTTGAAAAACTTCTGAGGCAGCTCCTACTCCAGCAATAAAAATGGATGCCTTTTGCTTAGGCCAATGCTCGGGCCATTGGTTTATAGCAATAATAGAGACATCAGCTCCAGTATCTACTAGTCCTTCAAAATCTTTTCCCTCAATAGTTACTGTGCAAATAGGTTTTTTGTCAGACACTTGATTAACCCAATATACAGCCGTTCCTGTTGGATTAGTACTACCAAAGCCTCCTGTTCTTTTCACTGTGCTTCTTCTAGTTTTATGTAAGGTAACAGCAACAACTGAGCAATTCTTTCCCCTGGGGAGGCAGACCACGGAGTTGAGGAACTAATAACTTATTGAATTTCTCTGGTATAATCACAGTCAATTATTCATGTATGTACAGTAACCCCTTTTAAATTTAGACTAGACCTTCCAAGTAATAGACTGACTGTTCCTGAGGGTAAGGGTCCCCTAACTCCCATGGGGACCTTTTTTGGTGGCTCCCCAGGAAGTAGGGAGACAGGAATTGTGCTGCAGAGGTTTACAACAGCACTGCCTGCTGAGGCAGGGGACAATTTTTGTACATTTGTAAGGGCACTGGCTGTGCTGGGTATGCCTGAGTTTGTTGAGGGGCTCAAGGCAGCTCCCTCTTCCCATTTCCCAAAAGCAGTCCATCTTTGCTAAATGTAGAATGACACTGACTTGCCCAGTGATGGCCTTTTTCACAATGGGGACATACACTGGGACTTTTCTGTTGATTGATGGTAGCTCTTGCCTTTTTATTTCCTTTTCTACGTTCCTTTTTTGTGTGTCCAAATTGCCCACAATTAAAGCAAGAGCCTGAGAAACGGGGCATATTCTTTTCTACTCTTAATCCAGCCATAGCCTGAGCTAAAAGAGTAGCCTTATGTAAGTTACCTCCAATGCCATCACAAGCCTTAATATATTCAGTTAAATGAGTCTTCCCTCTCAGGGGTCTAATAGCAGTTTGACACTCTGCATTAGCATCGTCATATGCAAGAAGCTGTATTACAGCATCTTGAGGTGTTTTATCAGTTACGGCTTTATACACAGCCTCTTGGAGCCGAGCAATAAAATCAATATATGATTCTTTAGGTCCTTGTCGGACAGAACTGAAAGAAGGATATTTTTCCTCTGTAACATTTATCCTTTCTCATGCCCATAAGCACACAGAGCACAGCTGAACAATGGCAACATCCTCCATTACTGCTTGATTTTCTAATCGACCCCAATCAGGTCTGACTCCCATTAACTGTTCAAAGGAAACAGGCACAGGTAGTTGTGCTTGTGTATTTTCCCTTACCTGAGTTTGAGCTTCGTCAGCCCACCAGGTTTTAAACTGCAAGTACTGAGGTGGAGTGAAAACAGATTTTGTTAAAGTATCCCAATCATATGGTATTAATCTATTATCAAGAGAAACTTTTCAATTAAGTTTGCACAAAAGGAGAATTTGGCCCATATTGACTAATGGCTTGAATTCCTTTAACAGCTTAAAAGGAAAGGTGGTCCAATTAGCTATATTCTTTCCTCCCTGCTGGACTATAGTTACGGGAAATTGCCATGCTTCAAGGTCTCCCTCGGCTCTAGCCTTTTGAATAGAATTTTGTATAGCACCACCAATTGCTCCAGGTTTTAATGTTGCAACTACAGGAGCAGTAAGTTTTGTAGCTAATTCATCTTCTGGCCCATTAAGGGGAGAGAAAGGAGGTGGCCTTTCACTTAATTCAGCAGTTGGAACCGACGGGCTAGTAAAACATACTTTTTTCAGTTTCCCTTTCTTTTCTTTAATTTTCTCCATTTTCTGTTCCTCACATTCAGAATCTGAAGTTAGATTTTTACACTCATCCTCCTCTTCTTCATCTGAATCTGCCTCATCATCTGTTTGAAATGGCTCAAGAGCTGCTTTTATTAGCGCCCACATTGACCAAACTGAGACTGGAATTTTTGCTCCATCCTTATACGCGTTTTTAAAATCTCTGCCAATTCTCTCCCATTCATCCAACTCCATAGTCCCTCGTTCCGTGAACCATGGGCAAAACTGCTTTACTGCACTACAGAGTGTTAACAAATTCTGAATACTAACTTTCACTCCCCCTCTTTGTAATAATTGCCTTAGGAAATTTAAATAAGCAGAATGTGTGCTTTCACTTTGTCCTGTTGTTACCCTGGTTCTTCCAAGCACTCAGCTTTCCCACCGAGCTTCTTTTAAATGTCCTCAGGTGTCCTTTGACGGCGCATCCTCCACTTTCACATGCTCTAGCGTTCCTTCACTGGGGTCTTTGTCGCCCCACGTTGGGCAGCCAGGAATGTTGGGGGCAGGTGGGGGCAACAAAGTCCAGCAGAGTCAAAGGATTGAGAAAAAGAGTTTGAGAGAGAAAGTGGGACCAGGGGGCCATTGCAATTGTGGAGGCTGCAAAGGCCTGAGCTCTGGGAGCCCATGCTATTTATTGGTAATCCAACAAAGAAACAGGTGGTGAGAATGTGGGGGTCAAAAGGGCAGGCTCATGATCTACAGCTGTGATGGTTTAGCATTTATATGGAACATGTTCTGCTACTTGAGATAATGGGAATACAATCAATCTAGGAGCCTAGGAGGGCTAGAAGCAAGGAGCCAGCAAGTCTAGACACATTCCAGAGGACATTATGTCAGACATGCAAGCCCTGCCTCAGCTTTTTTCCCAACACTAAGCTTTTTCCCAATACTATTTAAGATGGCGTTTCTCTGGTTCACATGCCTCTGACAGACCCCTCAAACCTGTCTGGTAATTCTTTTGACTACCCACCTCCTTTCAAGTACATGCTGGGGTAGTGGGGATGGGGGGATAGCACCTAAGCTCTCATGGTTTCCCTTCTTCCCTAACCCGAGGATCCTTTACTGATCATGGACACATTGACTCACATTTTTGTCCTAAATCTAAGTTATTTCTTTCCTGAGGTCTTTAAGTTACACATTCCCTTCCTGAAGCAATGGACCAAGAAAGCCAAACAGAAATTGACTGGGGAAAGGGGGCTGAATATTTGTGAGGAGAGAGTGAAAGAATAGAAGGTAATATGGGAAGGAAAAGCATTTGCTAGTATTACAAAGTATCTTACCTCTAGAATCGGGATGTGCTAAAGCTTTGTATGAATTCACCCAGGCAATCTGACTCTGCCACATGGAAATGGAACAAAAAGAACCTTCTCTATGCCCAGTTCTGACAACTTCTTTCTGGAAAAAGAAAATCTGCCTTCTAAAGGAAAAACAGCTGCTTTGTCCCCAGTGTACTTGTATGTACACTTGAAGAGAAATGTAGTGTAACCAAGAGAGACAGGCTTCCGGGGCTGATGAGCCAGCTTAAGCCCTCAGGCCCCACTGTAGGTACTACTAATCCCTTCATAAAACCAGCAGAGGGATTAGGGAGCTTGTATCCTTCACCTTATTTAGGGAAGATGGTACAACACAAATCAGAAACACTTAACACTTCCTCCTAGGAGAACTATGAGGAAAGATGAATCAGGAGGGCCATGGATTATTTTCATCTGAAGTGCAGCCTCCAAGAGAGACAGAATCACACAGCACAATTCTAAGAAAGAACCAGCTAATACCACTGGGCGATTTGAGCAGAGGCAGATTCTTTCCTTCTCCTCTGACAGAGAGTGGCACTGCTTGTTGGGAGGTTGCCTTTCCCAAAAAATGAGGACAAGGAACTTTCTGAAATGCACCTACAGGGCCCTCTTGGAATCCAGTGACAGTTTGTTGAATGCTTGATCCACTCAGCACCTCTGAAGGGGAGGTTCCATCTGCATTGGACCTTATAGGAATGTCAAGAACTTTGACCTCTCCTCCAGAAGAAATGGATTCCAAATATAGTTTTCTTTCCTCATATTTGAGCCCTATTGCAGATTTGGCCCCCTGAAAAGCCAAAGTTGAATACCCTGTGTGCAAGAGTACCCCGGGGACCAAGCATGTTGAAAGGAAGCGAAGAGAGCAAGACTGGGCAGTGGGAGAGGTCCAGCTGTTTGTTATAGGCCCAACAACAATCTTGGCCAAAACCCTTAGAATTTCCCTGAATTGGGCCAAGATGCTCAGACCACCTGAGTTCCTGCCCAGTATCCAGGAGGAAGGAGGTCACATGAATGAATTGAAGATGGTAAATGAGGGGAATTTTACTGCTGTTGAAAGTGGCTCCCAGCAGGAAGGGGAGCTGAAAAGCAGATGGAGCAGGAAGGTAACCTTCCCCTGGAGTCCAGCTGTCCCCAGTTGGACTCCTCTCTGATGCTACACTATCAGCTGTCCCCAGCTGGACTCCTCTCTGATGCTACACTATCAGCTGTCCCCAGCTGGACTCCTCTCTGATGCTACGCCATCAAGCTGTCCCTCTGAAGTCAAGCTGCTTCTCTCTGATGTCCAACCGTAGTCTCCAACATTCAGCTGCTTATCCCCTCTACCAGCTGAGTTCTGGGGGTTTTACAGGCACAGGATCGGGTTCAGGGCAGGTGGTTTTAGAAAAGGCAACATTCAAGCAGTAAAACAGGGATGTATGGTCTCACTTTGGGCTGCAGTATTAGACTTTTCGGCTTGAGGGTGGGGCCCTTGCCGGGAACCTTTTCTGCCCAGAATGTCCCTGCCTCCTGTCTCTACCACTCTCATACTGTCCAGCACTGGATCCAGCCATTCTTCCACCACTTCTCTGAACTTCTGAAGACTTTTGCCCTATTTTCAGGGCAATGCTGTCTCAGAGGGATTAGATACATTAGGGCTTTTACCTAGTTTAATAGATAGCCTCTCCCAAATTACATGTTTGCAATCTAACAGAGATTACCAATGTCTACACACAAGAAGTGATTCATGTTGAAATTTCTGGAAAGAACCAGAAAAAAGCAAGATTCCCTGAGACCCTGAATGTAGCTGAAGACATTGTAACCCACTCCGTACCCACTCTGTAGTGGGAAGGGAACCATAAAAGAGACCCAAGAGTTGCTACTGAAAAGAGAGAAAGTAGGGCCCTGGGGCCTATGGAGAAGAAAGAAGAGAGTTCTTGGGAAGCTGGTTGTGGCCTGAGAAAGGACTCCAAGGTAGAAGAGAATAACCCCCCTTGTTCTTGAAGGACAAAGGATACCACAAAAATCAAACCCAAAGCTACCAGGTTATGGAAGCTCTGGCTCAGGCTCCACCATTCATCTTCTTCAGCATTTTCGTGGCTTAAGGCTGTAATAGTTGCCTTTTTCATTGGAGCTTTATATAGCTGTGAAATTAGTGAGAGTGCTGGGCTTTGCAGAGTGATGTCACTTAACAGCAATTGATGGGGTCTGTTTGGCCTTAAAAGGAAGCATGCCCTTTCAGTGCCATTCTGCAACATTGTCTAACAAGCCCACCAAAGAGTTATTCTATACAAAGATGAGCCTTTACTTGATTTGGCTTTACACTTAATACAAAAATTATGTGCTGCTTCATTATACATTTTATAGATAATTTCTACTTTGGGATTTAATATTGTCTTCCAAATTTTCCCCGAGGTTACTCCGTTACTTTTATAAAAGAAAGAATAATCAGTAGGTTTTTTTTAATAGATGAAGAGATGTGGTTAGGACCCAGACTCTGTGAAGCTCTGTTGACTTATAGACTTTTATTCTGATAGAAATGCAAATTATTTCTATCCAGCAGAAAAGAAAACCCCAAAGATTATGGTTTTGTTGCACTGTAAGTACATTCCTCAGTTTTATATCTCACCTGGAAACCTGTGTGCCTCAGCTCCTCACTTGTAAACAGGGATAATAATAGTACCTACCTCATATAGTTGTTATGTGGATTAAATGAAATAATCTATGTCAAGCACGTAGAAGAGAGACTAAATCCTAGTAGATAATAGTAAATACTCAACAGATGTAGACCATTATTTTCTTAGGCTCATTTAACTGAAAAACTAGTGCAAGCCTTCAGACATAGCTGGATCCAGTTACTTAAAGAAGTCATGGCCAGGTGCGGTGGCTCACGCCTGTAATCCCAGCACTTTGGGAGGCCAAGGCGGGTGGATCACCTTAGGTCAGGAGTTCAAGACCAGCCTGACCAACATGGAGAAACCCCGTCTCTACTGAAAATACAAAAATTAGCTGAGCATGGTGACAGGCATCTGTAATCCCAGCTACTGGAGAGGCTGAGGCAGGAGAATCGATTGAACCTGGGAGGCGGAGGTTGCAGTGAGCTAAAATTGCACCATTGCACTCCAGCCTGGGTGCCAGAGCAAGACTCTGTCTCAAAAAAAAAAGAAAAAAAAAAAGTCGTGAGGGCTTATCTCACTCCAGGCCTGCATCCTCACAGTTCCATCCAAATCCTTCAATAAGAGAATGTCTCTGTCTTGGATCCTCTAGCAAACACATCAGGACTAACGGATTGGAAAGACTTGTGTGTACTTGTAGGGCCAGATGCTAGTGGGTTGGGCAGCAGTGGGCAGCAGACATGCCAGGCAGATAGCTCCATATCCTTGAATCTGTGTCCTGCTACCACCACTTAAGACCCCAAAGCCTTACACTAACCCCTGTGTCCCAGATTATTTCATTTACTCTATGATTTTAGGCAAAGACTTTCAAATGCATGCTAACACTGAGATGATATCCATCCTTTAAAAAAATTTCTCTGTGAACTTAAGAGAAACAAGATAAAATGGTAAGTAGAAAAGAAACAAGATGTACTTTGAAAAACAAATGAAAATAGCCTCACATGTTCACCCAGTGCTGATGAAAGTGATAAAGCTCACTAACATGTGGAAAAGAATACACATGGACTTCACCATCAACAGTTCGGAACTCAGATCTCTGCTTCAGCAGAGATCACAGCAGTGTCACCTTGGGAAGATCACCTAATTTCTCTGAGTCTTAGATTCCCCACTTGAATTTAACAGGACACAAGGAGCAACTCATATGCTTGGCTTTGTTCCCCATATGCTGCAAACACCAAGGAGGTCAGCTGTTCAGGTCTACCTCCTCTATCCCCATTTGTGCCTCTTGATGCTTATGACAATCATAAGGAGGCAGGAAGTGACCTACCGGTCTATGCCACTCTGGCACAAAGAGTTAGAGGTGACAGAGATTAGGCCGTAGAAGCCTGCATTCTCAGGCAGCATTGCTGAGCAACACTTTCCTACTGAGCAGTACCACAGTAGCCCTAGAGTACTGGTTCAGCTATCACGTTGCACATCCACCATCCTCCCTTGTTTCTGTGACCCACTCTGTTCTCACCAGACAATTGTGGCTCTGCCCCTACACATTCCTCTAAGAGAAGTCACACCCCGTGATGCTAGATGGGTCCACCCTGCAGCCGTTTTCAAAGGCTCCCAAGTGGTTTCCTGCCTCTGCCTCTCCTGTGACATAGCTAGCAACTTTTTTTGCCAAAGAAGAGGGAACCCACCTCCTGACACAAACACAGACATATGCAAACACCTTCACAGATTTAATTTTTAGGGGGCATTCCTCTTGTATAGCTTCCACTATATATAAAATATGGATCATAACGCCTACCTCACAGGGTTGTGATATAAAATAGAAAGAACAACACACAAAAAAAGTATATTGCACACTTCTTGGCTCAAGGAAGGTCCTTGGCAAATGTCAGTTCTCTTTCCCTCTGATCCAATTAACTTATTTTTACAGTGGTATTGGAGCTGACGTTTAAGTCATGCTTCCAGGTGAAATAGATGGCCAAAGTTTTGGATCTTCCTGAAAGTGAAATAAAACCAGACAGGCATTTAATGTGTCAGGCTATTGAATAGCATCACCTCATTTTAAAAAGATAGACCAAGAGAGAATGCAAACTGCTCCCTTCTAGAGGAAGCTGAGAATTCTTTGTCTTCCTGCAGCCTTAAGACAGTCCGAGGGATCTGTCCAGACCAACCACTGTCTCACTCATGACAGGCAACAACCCCAGATTCACAGCTCTATTTTCTCCAACAACTGCTACTCAGGAGGTAGCCCCTTGGGGCAGACGTGGTTGTGACTTATCAGGGCCTAGCAGATGTGGCTCTAAATGACACTCTAGGTTTTTTGGTCAACTCGTTCTTATTGTTGAAGGCAATCATAGTTCTGAAGGAGCACAGATTGAGTGTAGGGGGCCTGGGAAGCCTTCCATGCCTCCTTGGCTTACTTTCCTGCCAGCAGGATTCAAGCCCTGAGGAGGAGACACTTAAAAATGCAGGTGTCAGACAAGTGGGAGGTAAACACAAAGCAGTGAGGATAACATATTTTATGTTACGGTTTTTTTTTTTTTTCTTTTTTGAGACAGAGTCTCACTCTTTTTCTCACTGAGGCGGGAAAGCAGTGGTATGATCATAGCTCACTGCAGCCTCCAACTCCTAGGCTCAAGTGATCCTCCCACATCAGCCTCCCAAATAGCTAGGACTACAGGTATGTGGCACCATGCCTGGCTAATTCTTTAATTTTGGGGGGTAGATACGGGGTCTCACTATGTTGTCCAGGCTGGTCTTGAATTCCTAGGATCAAGCAATCCTCAGGTGTTGGCATCCCAAAGTGCTGGGATTACACGTGTGAACCACTGCACCTGGCCAATAATTTGTATTTTTAAAAAACTCCCCACCTGACTCTTATCCAGTCCCTGGCATTTGGCAACTCCCTGCTTTTGACCAGTAGCTCTCAGGATTTTATACTCAAAGCCTTGATATTCCTCCTTATGCTATTTACATATGTGCCAGCCAATATTGAGGATAACAGAATGCCATAAAGACAGACAGTGTTTCAAACTACCTACCAACTGTGAAACAATCAACCTAGAGATAGCACAGACTTGGAGATGGGTCTTAGAAATTTGCACAGTCATGGTGGGTTATGTGCTCTCTCTCTTTCCTCTTCTCTTTCCCCATGTTTCTCCCTACTCCCCCACCTCCCCGAGATATATAATCACCTAGAATAAGTATGAGGGCATGAGAAAGCACAGCAAAGTTTATGGATTTAATATAAAAACCTTATTTTAAAATAATTATAGATTTATAGGAAGTACCATAAACATTCAGGACATGGAGTATGCCTAATGGTGACATTTCCAGCTTCTCATTTGCCCTCCTCTGATATAACAGGCAGGAAGAGGGAAGGGTACCTCATTATTGTTGGGCGGGAAGTCCAGCATCTTCGTGTGTGACCTCCACTGACACCTTTGGGGGAGGGCTTTATTATTTCTGAGTAGGAATAAAAGTCCCAGCTCCCCACAAAGATATCACCCTACTATCCTGGTTTCTGGGGGTGCAGGGGACACCTGTTACAGCTGAACAATAATGGAAATCTAGGTTACCCACTTGGTTTTTGTTGACAGAAATGGGGATGAGACTGTGTTTTTGCCCATGGTGTTTGGCTGGGGTAGGGTATAACTACTCTAAAAGATTTGTCTTGCTAAGCTGACCCTTTCCCCATCTTTTGGCTAGAGAGAGCTTGCTTTTCTATTCCTGTCAGCGTGTCTGGGTTGCTGACATCTGCATCTAGTCCAGGATATATGAGGCAGAAAGAAAATCCAGGAAACCCATCATCACATCATCCCTTAGGTCCCTAGATCCCTAGTCAATCTGCCATCTTCTCTCCACATTTCAGAGTCTCCTTATACTTATTTTATAATGTACAGGAATTGTAGCTGTACTCAATTAGAAGAATAGGGTAAAGTGTGTCTATTTCATCTTGGTCTTAAACCAAAATCTGAGAACAAAGTGTTGTACTACATGATGCAGACACAATGTTCACCAAAACCAAAAGTTGGTATTTGAGCTCAAGTCAAGATGTTAGCAAGGCCACTTTCTCTACTGGAGGTTGTGGGGGAAAGTTTCTTCCTTTGCCTCTTCTGGCTTCTAGAGGCTGCCCATATTCCTTGGTTTTGTGGCCTCTTTTTCCATCTTCAAGGCCAGTAATGCTGCATCACTCTGACCATTCTCTTGTAGTCACATCTCCCTCTGAACACAGCTGGGAAAGGTCCTCCACTTTTAGGGACTCATCCAATTAGATTGGGCCTACATGAATAATCTGATATAATCTCCTCATCTTGAGGTCCTTAAGTTTAGTCACATCAGCAAGTCCCTTTCACCATGTAAGGCAGCATGGTCACAGATTCCACAGATGAGAATGTGGATATCTTTGGGGAGCCATTGTTCTACCTGCCACAGCACTCCAGTTATTCAAGTGTGCATCAGGGTTGCAAATACCAGACTAAATGATATCAACAGGTTTTCTTGTATTCCAGAGATTCTATAATTCTGAGTTCTGAACCCAGTCCTGTTCTGAGTGCTTCGGGAAATTCAAGAGAGGGCAAAAATTCAGCTTTTGCTAACAGTCTAACTCAGAAGATAAGGCCAAGGCACAAGAAGCAGTTAAATAACTGTAAAAGTATGACAGAATAGAGTTTGAGTCTCTCTAACCTCCTTTATTCTTCTCCATCCTAATCTCTAATGAAAGGGGAATTTTTAAAACAATAATGTGTTGAATTTATGCCATGACAGTGATCAATGTTATCCGATGGGGGGTTTGTATGTAGGTGCTGTACTCTTAAGAATTAGCGTATTAGTCTATTCACCATTGTCCTTCCAGGAGGGAGCCTGGAATGAGTTTCACTGTCTCAAACACAGCATGGAAGTGGGGCAGGATGCAGGTAGAACCCTGGGGAGGGCAGAGGGGTAGAAAGTAAAGGAGAGAATAAGGAAGGGAAGGAGACTGGGGCCTTTGGGTGTCCACTCAGGGCTGACTCTGATGGAATGAAAGACCTTATGGGGACAGTAAAGAAGTGATTTGCACCATCATCTGGACTCTAGATGTTTTCATCATCTTCCTGCATTAAGACCTAGGATGAGTAAGTTGGATAGTGGGTGGAACCTATAGAGGGGCAGAACAACAAGATTACATGAGGCTGTACTACGTGCTGCTGTAAACATCCTTTCTGCTCGAGGGGTTTTGGTTTTTTCTCCAATATTGGAGATTTACACCCTCCCAAACTCTTCCTAAAGGCCAATTATGTGCCCAGTTCAGTGTTCAACCCAGCTCTATCTCTTTACGGCAAGAGTGGGTCTTAGTGCAACATATGTCTGCCCATCTGAATTGATATTTCTTTGGGATCTTCCACCCTCTCCACACTAATACACCCCCAACCACTGATTCCTGCTCATCTGTGGGACTTGGAAATATTTCACGGCACACAAGATGCATTGCTGGCCTTGTCCCCAAACTCCAACCTCCTAAATTGATTCCCATGCTTTCAGAAGCAGAATTGAAACAAAAGTTTTAAATGATTTGATGTGTCCCCATGTTCAAAAATCTTCATTCCTCATAGGATAAATACTTGCGATACTAAGTTGTTAAAAAGGAGTTAAAACTGTGATTTTGCCAATGATATCAACTTTGTGTGATAATATGGAAAATATTTTATCTTAGCTGGTACATTTACCCTTTTGAGACTTCCAGAGCTTCAGCTCAAACTCCCTTTCCTGCCTCATTTCTCATGAAAAACATTAGTTTATCCCACACACTACCCTTAAACTACTCAACCTTTCTAAAACACATGCTAACATATTCACAATTCTGTACCTTTACTTTAAGTATGGAATACAAGAACCCCAAAACCTTAAAAGCCACCAGTGGGGAATAAGCTTGGGGCTCTCCTTAAATGGTGCCCAAATAAATTTGAAGTCATCAGTTTCTTGAGGTTCCGCCTCCTCCAGCTTTACTCACCCCTTAGCCTGCAGACTGCCTGCCTGACTTCTTCCACCTCAAGCTGCCTGGTGTTTATTATAACCTGGGGACACCTGGATACAGTTGGAGAAAGGTAGGGAAAACAAATGTACACTGTGATTGCCCAAGGCCTTAATCTTACCACTCTGGGCTGGAAAAAGTCAGGAAAAGGCCTCCAAAGGCAAGTGACTAGAGTGTGATAAGCAGCTGAATTATTTTCTCTGTTAGTTAATAGCTAACTGGCTTGCCTCCTTTATTGCCCATACAAACCTGGCAGTCTTCCAGGTCTACATGGCTGTTTGCCTTTCCCATGGCAAGAAAGAAGGAGTTTTATTTCACCACATATGCAATAGAAGAACAAAACATTCAGCAGACAAGAGACAAGGAGGCCAGAGGAAACTGCTTCTACAAAACCATATACAGTGTTCCCTGGACTCAGTGGCTTAGGAGTTTAATGATTAGAATCAATCAATCACTTGTTCATTCAACAAATATTTATTTAGCATCATTTATAAGTCTGGACCAGTGCTCAGTGGCGGGTTACAAGGGTGAGCAAAAGAGGCTCTCTGATACCTGGAGAGCAAAGACTCAACTGGGGATGCCAAAGGAGCCCAGAAAAACCCGGCCACAGGTCTGACAACATAAAATTTAGCTTCACACAGGTTTGCATTTTTCTTTCTTATTCATTTACCATAGACAAAAAGAGTAAATGTGGTCTGGGAATCAGGAGACCCAAAATTTTTGTCCTGGCATTGATTACATAAGACTTTTAAAAGTACAATTTCTCTTTGCATTAAATTTCTCATCTGCCAAGTGGCAACATTTATATCTACCCATCCTCTGGTCCAGAACTATTTCGAGGATCCAATGTGCATTGAAATTCCACTGGACAATAGAAGATGCTGCTACATAAATATAGGATATTATCTGAATGCCTCAAATCCAGGCACCACAGTTATCATGGCCACAGCCTCGACTAGAATAATATGAACCCTGTGAAGAGTTGAGAAAACCCAACTTATCACTGACAGCTTGAGCAACTGCAATGGTATTCATCCCCCTAGCCACATGGAGTCTGGCTCCTGTTGTATCCCTGGCTAACAAAAAGTAATTCCTGCAGAGCCAACAATGCTTGTTATTTCCAGTCCCTGGATGGAGGAGACAGAACTCAAACTTATCTCTTGTATTAAAGTCATAGACAATATAGGAAAGATTTGTGGTTAAATCTTGAGCAGCCCTTGTAGACACTTGCCAAATAATGCTGCCTGTGAATAGGGGCCTAAAGTCTGCCCGTAATGAAGCACAGCTTGAATTTCACAAATATTTGGGCCCACTGGTGGAAGAAGCCAGAGAGCAAGGGCAGGCCCCTTTCCAGGTCAGCGGGAGACCTGAGGTCAGCACTTAAAACCTGTTACTGAATTGCTGATTATACTCTTTGGACCTGGTACCAAGTCCCTGTCTATGGGGATAACTGTGTAGAGAGAAAAGTACATTCCTGGGGACAAACAACCTAATCTAGGACATCCTGACACAGTGGGATATTTGTACATGTCAAAGCTGTCTTTTAAAAGAGATCCTGTCTTGTCAACTGACACACTCTTAGGATTCCAGTCTACTTTTGTACTCAGTTTGAGGAATATAAATTGAGTACTCTGTTTTTAGGCATTAAAAAAACATCCTAAGAAAATAATTCATCCATGCTTACAAAGATGTGCAAGGGAAAATAAGAACTGGTCTAGATGCCCAACGATGGGAATACTAGGTAGGTATGTTAGTTTTCTACAGTGGGAGTAACAAATTACCACAAAGGTAATGTTGTTTAAAACAACACAAATTTATTCTCTTACTGTTCTGGAGGTCAGAAATCTAAAAGTTAGTGGGTGCAGTGCACCAGCATGGCACATGTATACATATGTAACTAACCTGCACAATGTGCACATGTACCCTAAAACTTAAAGTATAATAAAAAAAATTAAAAAATAAAAAAATAAAAAAATTAAAAAAATTAAAAAAAAGAAATCTAAAATTAAGTTAAATCTAAATTAAAGTATTGGCAGTGATGCATCCCTTCTGGAGGCTCTAGGAGTGAATCTTTATTTTTTCCAATTTCTAGAGGCCACCCACATTCCTTGGCTCCTGGCCGCTTCTTTCAGCTTTAAAGTATACCACTCCAACCTCTACTTCCGCCGTCACTTCTTTTTTTAATTTGATCTTCCTGCCTCCTCCCTCTTATGTAGACCCTTATGATTACATTGGGCCCGCCTGAATAATCCAGGATAATCTCCCCATTTCAAGATCCTTACTTTAATCACATCTGGAAAGTCCCTTTTGCCATGTAAGGAGACATATTTACACATTTACACATTCCAGGATGAGGACCTAAACATCTTTAGGAGCTATTATTCTGTCTACCATAGCAGGCATTAAATTAGTGATGTAGGGCCATTACGTCTGATCCAAACTTTATTTGGGGTGAGCTACCTCTAGGTATAGATTGGAGGTGGGAATGTAGATGATGAGTGGCAGGGAGCACAGATAAGCCCTCACCATAAGCTCTCTCCCTCATAATAGCTTTATCAATGATAAAGATGATATAGATTATTTACTTAGCTCCTGTGTCTATTTCTCAAATAGGTCTGAAATCATTCAGGGAAAAGTGGGGTATGTTATTGGCCTCCCTATAACTTCAACAGTGTGCATATGTAAGAGTTTCTTTTTTGCTTTCTTTTTTATCTTTTAAATTTCTTTTTTACTTTCTGGAAGTTATTGGTAGAGAACATGAGAGTGTCTTTAGGGTCAACATCTAATTGAATAATTGCTACCTGGGGCACATTGTAATTCCCATTCCCACTAGAAAATTATGTATTCTTCAATTGTTGAATCAGGGAGGCATCATTATTTCTTGAGAAAGACATAGGAGTCAGAGTGATGCTGAAAAAAATTCATTCCTTATATATGATATACTTTTGAAGTTAAAAGATATGTATCATATCTTTTATGATATGATAAACCTAAACCTACAGATGCAGGTTTAGTAAGTATTGAATGGAGCTTAGGCTTTAGGATCCTTGCTTGGACAAGTTCCTTCCAAGGCCTTCCAAAGGCCCCAAGCGATATCTTCACATACTCACAGGTTTCTACAAATGTATTCTTTCTCTTTCCTTTTTTTCTTTCTTTCTCTATTCTTCTTTCTTTCTCTTAAAGAAGCTCTATAAAATTAGCTCTGCCTTGCACCTCCTTATTCTTAAGGCTGATTAGAGAATATGGTCTGTGAACTTGCTAGAATTCACTCTGAATTGGTTAGACCCACAGTTCACTCCTTGACCTATATTTGTTTAATCTAGAGCAGTGTTCTCAAACTTAGCATGCCTCAGAATCACCCAGAAGACTTGTTAAAAAATGGGTTGTTAGACCTCATCCCCAGAGTTTCTGATTCAGTAGTTCTGAGATGGGGCTGCAAAATTTTCATTTCTAACGAGTTCCCAGGTAATGCTGATACTGCTGCCCAGGGAACACACTTTGAGAACCACTAACATAGAGACTCACTATCAACAGATGCTTGAAATGACACCACTGTTGATGTTTCTGAATCTTGTGTCCCTCAGGCCCCAGTGAAGACCAATACCCCCACCATACACTGTGAATCCCAGAACAAAGCATTTTTTCAGTTTTTTACATTTTTTTAATACTTGGACTTTTTGGCCTGAAGCAGCAGCAGAAATGTTTGTATCTACCACATATTGTTTTCCACAGAAATAGGATATGTCTTTAGTGTTCTACTTTCATGTTATTGCTGAACTTCTTCCAGAAAGTCTTAACGCTTGGTTTTCTTTCTTTCTGACTCTTTCTTTTCTTTCTTCTTTCTTTTCTTTCTCTTTTTCTTTTCTTTTCCACTTTTTCTTGTATAATTTAATGTGCATTCAGTAAACAGCACCCTTTTAATGTACAATTCTTTGCATTTTGAAAAAGGTACCCAGTCATATAACCATCACCACAATCAAAATATAGAACTCCTCCCTCACCTCCCAAATTTCCCCATGCTTCAATGAAGTCAACCCCTCCTCTTACCTCCAACCATTGGTAATCACTGACCTATTTTCTATTGCTATAGTTTTGCCTTTTCCAGAATGATATATGAGTAGAATCATGAATATATTATTTATTTTTAAGATGGAGTCTCACTCTGTCACCCAGGATGGAGTGCAGTGGCATTATCTCAGCTCACTGCAACCTCCACCTCCCGGGTTCAAGCAATTCTCCTGCCTCATCCTCCCAAGTATCTGGAACTACAGGTGTGTGCCACCACACTCGGCTAATTTTTATATCTTTAGTAGAGACGGGGTTTCACCATGTTGGCCATGCTGGTCTCAAACTCCTAACCTCAAGTGATCCACCCACCTCCACCTCCCAAAGTGCTGATTTACAGGTGTGAGCCACTGTCCCTGGCCCATGAATATATGATTTTTAATTGGGTTTCTTTCACTTAGCATAATGCATTTGAGATTCATCCAAGTTGTTGCATATTAGTAGTTTGTTCCTTTATATTGCTGAGTTGTATAGTGCATTGGGTAAATGTACCATGGTTTGTTTATCAGTTCATCCATTGATAAATCTTTAGGTTGCTTCCAATTGTGGAGATTAAAAATAAGGTAGCTATAAAACATCTGCAATACAGGTTTTGAGGTAAACATATATTTTTATTTTATCTAGGAAACTGTCCAGGAGTGGAGTAGGTAAGTCATCCAGAGAGTGTATTTTTACCTTCATAAGAAACTGCCAAACTGTTTTTCAAAGTGTCTGTATCATTTTGTATTTCCACAAGCAACGTATGTGAGTTCCAGTTTCAACTATATTTTTAACATTTTAACCTGCTTACTTTGGTTCGTATGGCAGACATATTTTCCATATAGCTTCTTTTTTGCCTATTCTTTCTTGTCAGTAGAATCCTATGTTGTTTCTTTTTTAGGGTGGGAGGGGGAGTGGCCATGAGCCCAGGGAATGGATCATGACTGTTAAAAGCCACTTACAACAATTCTGTTCTCTACCTTCTCAGCATTCCTTTCAGCAAGGTGTGACTGTTGGATCCAGTCCTGGCCAATGAGACATAAGTCCAAATCAAACATAGGGGCTTCTGGGAGAGCTTTTACTTTTTTGCCGTAAAGGGACAAGTATATTCTTTAAGCTTATTCCCTTCATTCTATCTTCATTGTGGACATGATGTCTGGGACTGCAGAAGAAGTGTTCTTTCTCCCAGATCCACATTTTAGAATTCAAGATAAAGACTCTGATCATTGCAATTTGAATCATGTGCCTACCTCTCAAGTTGTTTTTTCTGTTGAATGTTTTGGTTTCTGTCTTTGGTGTTAGAGGCTTTCCTTGAATTTTCTAACAGTCTTTAGTTGTCTGCCTATTTTTAAGACAGAGGGTCTAAAAACACAAAACAGTACCCAGGTAAAACTTGTTTACTGTATGCTTCACTGCAGGGTTGATCTGGCTGGGCCACTTAGTCGTAGAACTTGGCTGCCCACACATTCAGGTCTTCCCCGTTGCGCCGGTCAGATTCCGCCGAGAAGATTCTCCCAGTCTACTGCTCAGAAGGTGGAGGTCTAACTACCAGTGCTTTAAGGCTTGGGTAACCAGCTCATCCTTGTTTGCTCAGGCCTATCATAATTTTAAAATAGACCCCATCTTGGGAATGCCTTAGGTCTAAAGAAAATTGTAATGATTCAACACACTATGTCACCTTTCTGAGAGCTAAGTAGGGAAAGAGGGTTGGGTGATCTTGTCATTTTGCATGCTCACATTCAGATAATGACACTGTTTTTAGTAGGCTACCCACCTTCAAATGTGCCTACTGTCCCTTAGAGTAGAGACCTTCTGTTTTACTCATTCCAGAGAATAAATTTCCAGTCTTGTCCTGTAACTGGGGGAGGATGGAGCAAATCTGAAGACCCATTCAATCCTTGAACAGACTGTCAACCAACCCCCTTGTTTCAACCCTTATTTCCAGACCTGTGTGGTGCCACAAATTCCAGAGGCTTGAAGGATTCTATTATGTATATTAGTTGGTTATTTTCTTTTCTCACTATTGCTTAGAGTCCACCTTTATTTTTTGTTAAATCACTTACTATTCATATTTCATATTTTTGTTTCTTTTCCCATTCTTCTAATTTTTCTGAGTTTCCAACTTTAAAGAAATTCTTTTAGTGGGGTTTTAAGAAGAAATAAAATTAGTTTGGTATAGTCAAAATGCCATATTGCTCTTACATCTATGGGAATAATCTTGTCATACACTTTTTATCCAAATACCTAAGTGCCTCGGGGAATGAATTCTCAGAGCTTACTGCTATTGCCCACTGTGTGTCACTATCTTCTTACCATTTGAAACCACAATTTCTGGAGTCTTTCTAGTATTAACTTACTGAGTTCCAATATGTCTAAAGATAATAAAAAATAATGACACAAACTACAAAATCATAACACAAGCAAAAGCTGACAGCAATGAGAAATTTTCTAGAAGATTCAGTCTCCTAAAATAAAAATGGTACTTTATCTTGACATGGTGACCGCTTTCTATATATACTGTATATTCTATATATTTTTCTATATACTACATGTATATATATTTACTATAGCAGGGGTTGGGAAATCTTTACTTTAAAGGACCAGATAGTAAATATTTTTATTTACTATTTTAAAGGGGCATGGCTATGATCCAGTGAAACTTTATTTACAAAAACACAGGTAGAAGTCTGGATTTGACCCATAGATTAGAGTTTGCTAATCCCTGCTCTGTGCTATATGTAGATAATATATGTATACAAATTCTGTACCATAAATATAGACTATATACCATATGTATATTTTTAAACAAAATGAAATAATGTATAATATTCTGAAACTCACATTTTCACTTAGCAGTATATTGAGTATATTGCCCCATGTCATGTCAATACATATAACTCTCCTTCATCGTTTTAATTGGCTAGAGCAACTTATTGGGAATCATAGTTTAGATACTATATTTTATTTAAATGTAGCTTCCATTAAAATCCTTAAATAAATATCTTTGTGCCTCTGATCACATATTTTTAAAGTCAAATTTATAAAAGAGGAACTACCTTTAAAAGATACACGTAGCTTTCAAAACTCAACAAATGCTGAAAAATTTCTCTCCAAGATGCTAATTTGAACTCTATAAGCAAAAATCGTTGGCTGAGCCTACATAGTTTAAATTCCTGGAGTTAAAAAGTTATGTAAATGAGTCATCACTGAAAGGCTCCAGAAGGAATCGGCGCCAGAAGACTGGATGGCTATACAAGTGACGCAGATGGTCCAAGAGGAAGCTAGGCTGGGACATCCTTGGTAGACACAACAGCTTCAGGCCCAAAGATGAGTAAAGGGGTGAGATGCTGATATCAAATATTCTAACAAGGATAACTGATATGAAACTGGTCCATGATAGGCTGTTTGTTCAGTTTGAAGAGACTGTGACAACAAGCAAGGCTCCCCACCAAGGCACACAAGGTGTATTATGGTCAAGCACGAGGAACTAAGGCCACAGTAAGAACAGGAGTGGTTGTCATTAGTTTGAGTTTGGAGTCAAAGGCAAGACAGAATGGACAGAGTGAGATCAGAGGCAGCAGTTGCGTTTTGCAGGTTTTCCCTGTCAGCCACACTGAGGGAAGGGCTGTCTTTGTGAAAGGATGTGGTCCTAGGAGAAGGGGATTGGGGACAAGAGTCTGGCTGCACTGGAGACAAAGGTCCAAAAAACCTCAGCCCAGGACTCACACGTTGGTCTCTCTCTGAGAGCTCAGGACACTATTAGTGGTAGCATATGAATCATCTGAGGCCCTGGGACCATCAATGTTGATTTGTTTGCCGGATACAGGTTCTCTATAATGTAGCATTTGACGAAGACCATGACTAATATCCTGATTTTCAGGAAGCAAAAAGGAGACATTAGCAGAATTTCTAGATGAAGGGGAATCATTTTCCTACTGTACTCATTATGTCACATCACATCGAAAATCCCACTTTCAGTCCCAAGAGCCATTTTTAGTGTAGAATTACTAAAGAGAGTTCTGCAAAAATATCATACACGGACTAAAGAAACTGGAAGGTTAGGAGGGAGAGATTTAAAGAAGGAAAATTAAGAGTAGAATAATATCTGCATTCAAACATTAGAAAAAAACACGGGGACAGTTTGTAGAAGTGACTAGAGAGTAGATTTTGACATCTACCCAAAACAGAACTTTCTGAAAATTAGAACTATCTAACAGAGGCACAGATATAATGCATTTCCTGTAACTGGATGTGATCAAAGATGAGAAACTCACCTTCCAGGCACCATTCCAGCCTTCCATATCCAGCAGACTTACTGGACACCAATTCTGTTCTCCATGGCAGCACTTCTAAAATTTAATATGAACTGAACCACCTGGGAATTATTAAAATACAGATTGATTCATGAGGTCTGGAGCAGGATCTGAGATTCTGCATGACTAGCAAGCTCTCAGGTGATGCCAATGCTGCTAGTCAATGGATCACACCTTGAATAGCAAGCTGCTGTGGCAGAGGCTCTCAGATGTGTCTCTGTGGAATCACCTGGGGTAGGGGACACTTTAGAAAAACTATCAATGTCTGGATCTCTCACTCTTAGAGAGTTTAATTCATATGATGTGTGGCCTGGGCATCAGAATTTTTCAAAGTTCTCTAAGTGATCTTAATATGCAACTAAGTTTAAATGCCCTTTGACCATTTATTTATTGAGACAGAGTCTTGCTCTGTTGCCCAGTCTGGAATGCAATGGCAGTCTCGGCTCACTGCAACCTCCACCTCCCGGGTTCACTCGATTCTCCTGCCTCAGCCTCCCCAGTAGCTGGGATTACTGGCATGCACCACCATGCCCTGCTAATTTTTGTATTTTTAGTAGAGACAGGGTTTCACCATGTTGGCCAGGCTGGTCTCGAACTCCTGACCTCAGGTGATCCATCCACTTTGGCCTCCCAAAGTGCTGGGATTACAGGCATGAGCCACTGCGTCCAGCCTCTTTGACCTTTTCAAATCACAAAAACACTAACTTAGAGATCACCTCTGCAAAGACCTTTAAGTCTTGAAATGTAATTATCTAGGCTTGGCAGGGCTCATCACTCATACATATTCACATTGGTTCAATATTTTGAAGGAAAACTTTATAATAATTATTAATTCTCATAACTAATGGGGCATTAGACCATATAATGCCTCAAGTTCCTTTCAGATTTAAGAAACCATTGCCCTGATACAAAATCTGGTAATGCATATATTTGACCACGAGGTGGTGATGAAGCAACAGAATACGATATCACAAACCCCTCAGAAAGTTAAGCAGCCCGTGACTTATGCCAACACTTAAGAGTGCCCCACTTGCAGACTATGTCTAATTCTCATCTTTGAGAGGTGATTGGTCACAGACTCTTTTAAGAATCTTATCAACGTTACAGACAAAGAAATACACGCACACAAACATGAATACAATTGTAAGCAGTTCACAGACCCTGAAATTACACTGGACAGCCAAGGCTGAAGAGACATTAACTCCCGTATAAATTATATGACGCCTCTCCCACTCCCACCTCCACGCTTCTCAGCAGCTGACCACATCTCCTGCTTCAGAGAGGAAATAGAATAAATAAGGCCCCAAATCTATCACTTTACCTAACCCACTGCCACCTTTCTTCCATCTACATGGGACAGATGTCATTTCTTTTTATCAAAAACTAAATCTTTCAGCAGTGCTCCTGATCCATTTCATCCTGGCCTCCACCAAGTTCATGGTCCCTCCACTTTAAGCCTTCTTATGCTAATTTAAAAGTAACTAATTTTTTCATTGTAAAAGTAGGATATGGTCTTTATTTTTAAACACACAGAATAGCAAAGGGCATCACATAAAAATAACCATAAATCTCCTAAATATTTATGTTTTTCTTCTATGTAGTTTCTGAGTTTATATATATTCTGGGCTTACAAAAATATAATCATGTTATGCAAACTGTTTTATGACATTAATACTTAATGTAACTTTAAAATATTTTCATCTTTATATTTCTTCACCTGCAGATGTGGTTCTAAACCAGAGATATTCATGTGAATCACCTATAAGAATTTTTCAAGCAAATACTTGCCTGGGTGCCAATGCCAAAGATTCTAATTCATCAGATCTGGCATGAGTCCTGGAAATCTGTATGTTTAGAAACTCCCACCTGTGATTTTGAGGTCTAATACTAGAAATATAATTTTAAATCAATTTTATTGTTATAAGTTACATATTATAAAATGCACATGTTCTAAGAAATTCAGTACAGTGAATTTGTACACATTTATATACCCATGTAACCACCAAAGTTACCAAGATATAAAACATTTCCATCACTCCCCAAAATTTTCTTGTTCCCCTTGCCAGTTAATCTCCTACCCCTCTCCCAGCCCCAGGTAATAACTGATCTATTCCCTATCACTGTAAATTAGATTTGTATTTTCTAGAGATTCATATAATTGTAATTAGACAATATGTACTCTTTTTTTTTTTTTTTTTTTGACGGAATCTCGCTCTGTCACCCATGCTGGAGTGCAGTGACACGATCTTGGCTCTCTGCAACCTCCACCTGCCGGGTTTAAGCAATTCTCGTGCCTCAGCCTCCCAAGTAGCTGGGACTATAGGTGCGCACCACCATGCTCAGCTAATTTTTATATTTTTAGTAGAGACGGAGTTTCACCATGTTGGCCAGACTGGTCTCAAACTCCTGACCTCTAGTGACCCGCCAGCCTTGGCCTCCCAAAGTGCTGGGAATACAGGCATGGGTCACCACGCCCAGTCACAACAATATGTACTCTTTTGTGTCTGGGTTTTTTTTTCGTTCAGCTAATGTTTTTCAGATATGACCATGTTGTTGTATGTATCAACAGATTGTTCCTTTTTATTGCTGAGAAGTATTACAAATAAAGCTGCTATGAAAATTCACATGCAAGTGTTTGTACAGATATAGACTTTGTTTCATTTCGCAAGGGTAAATACCTAAGAATAAAATACCTAGGTCATATGGTGACTATGTCCTTTACTGGCAATTTACTGACTGTGTAGCCTTGGAAGAGTAACTTTACCTCTCTGAATCTTAGCTGTGAAATAGGATTACCAACCCAGAATTTTAAGCCATTGAACTGCCGTAGGATTCTCTGTCATAGGCTATTGCTAGGGTGTATTTAAAACAGTAAAAACAAGTTGGCAAATTGGATTTTTATAAGCTCAGAACATTAGTATGATAACATATTTTTATGAGTAGGCATACTGTAATTTAGCAACAAAATCATTATTGAATAACCAAAGGCCTAACATTAGGATGAAAATAAGCAGAAAGGAACCAGGTAAGAGTATTAAGGCATCTGGGCAAACTGGCAATAGATGGCATTAGAATTGCAGCCACAGACCCAAAAGTGATCCCTGAAAAGCAACATGGCCTCCAGATCTCAGCTTGTCCCTACCCTTTGGCATATTGCCCACATCCCTAGAAGAGGTCTTGGCCCTTCCCAGCCCTTCCGTTCTCCACCATGAGCTCTGGGCCATGTACACTATGTACAGCAAGGTCCTTCCAGACAAGATAGGTTTCTGTACCTAAACTTCCATAGGGCCACCAATCAGGTACTGCAGAAAACCAAACAACTTGTCCTGAATCTCTGTGCTTCATTCTGTACTTCCCAAAGGTCTTGCAGAGACTAGATACTACAGCTGGGATATTTTCCCAATCCCTCTTCCATGAATCTGTAGGCTAAGGGACCAAGGAGTCTCATGCTAGGTCACACCAGTTATGACACTAATAGAGTTCTCAAACTCACTTTTTTGGCAGCATGTCTAGACATCACCCTGTCTTTAGACTCTCAGCCTTACTCTTCAGAGCACCTGGCCCTGATGTATTGCTTATTCAGAGCAGGCTCAAAAAGGCTTCTTGGTGTGCATAAAGCCCTAGTATTTGTTTGAATCATTTTACATTTGCTTCATCAAAAAATTCTAAATCTAAAGCTTTTTTTGTTTTTAGAATAGAAACCTGCTCAAGTAAAAAAAAAAAAATTTGAGAAGTTGGGTTTCTTTTAAAACTGAGTAATTTAGTGAGGTTGTGGAAAACACCCAGATTCAAGCCAAAGGCCTCCTGCTTCTAAAGTGACAGTGAGCAGAATTCAAAAGCAGCAAAAATAAGCAAGAGCACACTGCATTTTGTACTGCTCAGACCCAGAGTCCCATCTCAGCACCTGCCCTGCTATTCATGTGCTACTTTTTTTTTTTTAAATAGCACCACAGCCTCAGACATGGGGTTCACATTCCTCTTATTTGGTGGCTGTCACCCCTCACTGTCCCTTAGGTTTTTCCTTACTGACTGGGTTAGCTGTCAAATGGTAAAGTCTCTTATCTTTCATCTTCCCAATTGTCACCAAAGAGAGGCACACATCCATTTGCTGTTTTTAAATTTTTTTAATGTTGTGGGTGCATTGTAGGTACTTATATTTATGGGGTACATGAGATGTTTTGACACAGGGATGCAATGGGAATAAGCACTTCATGGAGAATGGAGTATCCATCCCCTCAAGCATTTGCAAACAATCCAATTTACACTCTACAAATTATTTTAAAATGTACAATTAAGTTATTACTGATTATAGTCACCCTGTTGTGCTATCAAATAGTGGGTCTTATTCATTCTTTCTATTTTTTGGTACCCATTAACCATCCCCACCTCCCCACAAACCCCCCACTACCCTTCCCAGTCTCTGGTAACCATCCTTCTACTCTGTGTATCCATGAGTTCAATTGTTTTGATTTTCAGATCCCATAAATAAGTGAGAACATGCAATGTT
Source organism: Homo sapiens (assembly GCF_000001405.40). Lineage (NCBI taxonomy): Eukaryota > Metazoa > Chordata > Mammalia > Primates > Hominidae > Homo > Homo sapiens. The sequence continues at coordinate 84,499,298 of NC_000002.12, forward strand.
TGTCTTTCTGTGCCTGGCTTATTTCACTTAACATAATGATTTCAGTTCTACCCATGTTGTTGCAAATGACTGGATCTCATTCTTTTTATGGCTAAATAGTACTCCATTGTGTATGCATACCACATTTTCTTTATCCATTCATCTGTTGATGGACACTTAGGTTGCTTCCACATCTTATCTATTGTAAACAGTGCTGGAACAAACATAGGAGTACAGATATCTCTTCAATATACTGATTTCCTTTCTTTTGGATATATCCAGCAGTGGGATTGCTGGAGCATATGTTAGCTCAATTTTTAGTTTTTTGAGGAACCTCCAAACAGTTCTCCATAGTGGTTGTACTAATTTGGATTCCCGCCATCACTGTACAAGGGTTCCCTTTTCTCCACATCCCCCAGAGTTTGTTATTGCCTATCTTTGGGATATAAGCCATTTTCACTGGGGTGAAATGACATCTCATAGTAGTTTTGATTTACATTGATGATCAAGGATGTGGAACACCTTTTCATATGCCTGTTTGACATTTGTGCATCTTCTTTTGAGAAATGTCTATTCAAACCTTTTGCCCATTTTTTTGATCAGGTTATTAGTTTTTTTTTTTTTCCAATAGAGTTGTTTTAGTTCCTTATATATTCCGGTTAGTAATCTTGTCAAATGGGTAGTTTGCAACCATTCTGTGAGTTGTCTCTTCACTTTGTTATCGTACCCTTTGCTGTGCAGAAGCTTTTTAACTTGATGTGATCCCATTTGTCCATGTTTGCTTTGGTTGCCTGCGCTTGTGGGGTATTGCTCAAGAAATGTTTTTTCCGAGACCAATGTCCTGGAGATTTTCCCCAATGCTTTCTCATAGCAGTTTCATAGTCTGAAGTCTTAGATGTAGCTCTCTAATCCATTTTTATTTGATTTTTGTATATGGTGAGAGATGGGGGTCTAGTCTCATTATTCTGCATATGAATATCCAGTTTTTCCAGCATCATTTATTGAAGAGATTGTCTTTCCCCAGTGTATGTTCTTGGCATCTTTGTCCAAAATGAGTTCACTATAGGTGTGTGGATTTGTTTCTGGGTTCTCTATTCTGTTCCATCGTCTATGTGTTTGTTTTTATGCCAGTACCATGCTGTTATGGTTACTATAGCTCTGTAGTATAAACTGAAGTCAGGTAATGTGATTCCTCAAGTTTTGCTCTTTTTGCTCAGGATAGCTTTGGCTACTCTGGGTCTTTTTATGGTTCCAGATAAATTTTAGGATTGTCTTTTCTATTTCTGTGAAGAATGTCATTGATAATTTGATAGGGATTCCATTGAAACTGTAGCTTACTTTAGGTAGTATAGATATTTTAACAATATTGATTCTTCCAATCCATGAACATGGAATATTTTTCCATTTTTTGGTGTCCTCTTCAACTTCTTTCATCAGTGTTTCATACTTTTCATTATAGAAATCTTTCAGTGGTTTGGTTAATTCCTAGGGAATTAATTTATTTGTGGCTATTATAAATGAGATTACTTTTTAATTTCTTTTTCAGATTGTTCACTGTTGGCATATAGAAATTCTACTGATTTTTGTATGTTGATTTTTGTATCCTGCAACTTTACTGAATTTGGTTATCAGTACTAATAGTTTTTTTGTGGAGTCTTTACATTTTTTCATATATAAGATCATACTGTCTGCAAAGAAGGATAATTTGACTTATTCCTTTCCAATTTGGATGTCTTTTATGTCTTTCTCTTGTCTGATTGCTCTAGCTAAGACTTCCAGTACTATGCTGAATAACAGTGAGAAAAGTTGGCATCCTTGTCATGTTCCAGATCATAGAGGAAAGGCTTTTGATTTTTTCCCAATCATTATGACACTAGCTATGGGTCTGTCATTTATGGTTTTTATTATGTTGAGATAGTTCATTCTATCCCCAGTTTTTTGAGGGGTTTTATCATGAAGGGATGTTGAATTTTATCAAATGCTTTTTCAGCATCAATTGAAATGATCATATGGTTGTGTCCTTTCTTCTGTTGATATGGTGTATCACATTGATTCATTTGCATATGTTGGGTCATCCGTGCATCCCAAGGATAAGTCCCACTTGGTTGTAATGAATGATCTTTCTAATGTATTGTTGAATTTAGTTTGCTAGTATTTTACTGAGGATTTCTTACATCAAAATTTATCAGCAATATTAGCCTGTAGTTTTCTTTTTTTAAAATGGGTCTTTCTCTGGTTTTGGTATCAGTGTAATACTGGCCTTGCAGAATGGGTTTGGAAGTATTCCGTCCTTTCCTAGTTTTTGGAATAGTTTGAGTAGGATTGGGATTAGTTCTTCTTTAAAAGTTTGGTAAAATTCAGCAGTGAAGCCTTCAGGTCCTGGGTTTTTCTTTACTGGGAGACTTCTTATTATGACTTTGATCTCATTACTTGTTATTGGTCTGTTCAGGTTTTGGATTTCTTTCTGGTTCAATCTTGGTAGGTTGTAAGTGTCTAGAAATTTGTTCATTTTTCTACATTTTCCAATTTATTGGCATGTAATTGGTCATAGCAGCCACTAATGATCCTTTGAATTTCTGCAGTATCAGTTGTAATGTCACCTTTTTTTATTTCTGATCTTACTTATTGGGATCTTCTCTCTTTTTTCTTCATTACTCTGGCTAAAATTTGTCACTTTTGTTTAACTTTTCAAAAAACCAACTTTTTGTTTCATTGGTCTTTTCTATTGTCTTCTTCGTTACAATTTCATTTATTTCTGCTCTGATCTATATTATTTTTCTTCTACTAATTTTGGATTTGGCTTACTCTTGATTTTCCAGTTCTTTAAGAAGCATCATTAGATTGTTTATTTGAAGTTCTTCTTTTTTCATGTAGGCACTTATAGCTATAAACGTCCCTCTTGGTACCGCTTTTGCTGTATCCCATAGGGTTTGGTATATTGTGTTTTCATTATGATTTGCTCAAGAAATTTTTCAATCTTCTTCTTAATTTCTTCATTGACTCCTGGTCATTCGGAGCGTATTGTTTACTTTCCACCTATTTGTATAGGTCCAAAATTCCTCCTGTTATTAATTTCTAATTTTATTCCTTTGTGGTCAGAGAAGATACTTGATATTATTTCAATTTTAAAAATGTTTTCAGGCTTGTCTTGTGACCTAACATATCGGCTTTCCCTGAGAATAATTCATGTGCTGAGGAAAAGAATGTGCATTCTGTAGCCATTGGATGAAATGTTCTGTATTTATCTATTAGATCCATTTGCTCTATAATGCAGATTAAGTCTGATGTTTCTTTGTTGATTTTCTGTCTGGAAGATCTGTCCAATGTCGAAATAGGGTGTTGGAGTCTCCAGCTATTATTGTATTGGAGCCTATCCTAGCTCTAACAGTATTTGCTTTATATGCATTGGGTGCATATATATTTATAATTGTTATATTTTCTTGCTGAATTGACCCGTTTATCATTATATACTGACCTTCCTTGTCTCTTATAGTTTCAGTCTTGAAATCTATTTTGTGTGATGTAAGTATAGCAACTGCTGCTCTTTTTTTGTTTCTATAGGCATGGAATATCTGTTTTCATCCCTTTATTTTTCATCTATGTGTGTCTTTACAGGGAATATGTGTTTCTTATAAGCAATGGATCAATGGGTCATGTTTTTCCTTCATTCAGCCAGTCTATGTCTTTTGATTGGAGAGTTAAGTTTATTTACATTCAATGTTATTATTTAGAACTAAGCACTTACTCCTGCCATTTTGTTATTTGCTTTCTGGTTGTTTTGTGGTCTTCCCTTCCTTCTTTCTTTCCTGTCTTCCAGTAGTAAAGGTGATTTTCCTTGGTGATATTACTTAGTTTTGTGTGTGTGTGTGTGTCTTCGTTGTATGTTTTTGGTTTGAGATCACCATGAGGCTTGCAAATACTGTTTTATATGTTATGTTAACCTGATAACAACTTAACACTGTTTGCATAAACAAACAAAGGAAGAGAAAACTAATAAAAACTCTATGCTTTAACTTCATCCCCCAAATTTTAAACTTTTTGTTGTTTCTAGATATATCTTATTGTACCGTGTCTTGAAATGTTGCTGCAGTTACTATTTTTGTTATTGTTTCATCATTTAGTCTTTATACTTAGGACAAGAGTACAAGAGTCATTTACACACCACAGTTACAGTGTTATAATATTCTGATTTTTTGTGACTTACCAGTGAGTTTGTAGCTTCAGGTGATCATTTATTGCTCACTAATGTTGTTTCTTTTCTGACTGAAGTATTCCCCTCAGCATTTCTTGTAGGACAGGTCTGGTGATGATGAAATCCCTCGGCTTTCATTTTTTTAGGAAAGGCTTTATTTCTCTTTCGTGTTTGATGGTGGATATTTTCACCAGACAAACTATTCTAGGGTAAAAGTTTTTTTTTTTTTTCTTCAACACTTTAAATGTCATGCCACTCTCTCCTGGCCTGTAAGTTTTCCATGGAAAAGTCTCCTGGCAGATGTATTGAAGCTCCATTGTATGTTATTTGTTTCTTTACTGTTGTTGCTTTTAGGATCCTTTCTTTATCCTTGACCTTTGGGAGTTTGATTATTAAATGCCTTGAGATAGTCTTCTTTGGATTAACTCTGCTAGGTGTACTGTAACATTCTTGTACTTGGATATTGATGTCTTTCTCTAAGTTTGGGAAATTCTCTGTTATTATCTCTTTGAATACATTTTCTACCCATATCTCTTTCTCCACATCCTCTTTTAGGCCAATAACTGTTAGAGTTGCCTTTTGGGGACTATTTTTTAGATCCTGTAGGCATACTTGTTTTTTGTTATTTTTTTCTTTTGTCTCCTCTGACCGTGTATTTTCAAATACCCTGTCTTCAAGCTCACTAATTCCTTCCTTTGCTTGATCAATTCTAATATTAAAGGACTCTAATGCATTCTTCAGTATGTCAGTTGCATTTTTCAGCACCAGAATTTCTGCTTGATTCTTTTTAATTATTTCAATCTCTTTGTTAAATGTATCTGATAGAATTCTGAATTCTTTCTCTCTGTTATCTTGAATTTCTTTGAGTTTCCTCAACACAGCTATTTTGAATTCTCTGTCTGAAAGGTCACTATCTTTGTTTCTCAAGGATTGGTTTCTGGTGCCTTATTTAGTTCATTTACTGAGGTCGTGTTTTCCTGGATGGTGTTGATGCTAGTACGTGTTCTTCAGTGTCTGGAAATTGAAGAATTAGGTATTTATTGTAGTCTTCACTGTTGGGGCTTGTTTGTAGCTATCCTTCTTCAAAAGGCTTTCCAGATATTTGAAAGGACTTGGGTGTTGTAATCTAAGCTGTGTCTGCTTGAGGGAGCACCCCAAGCCCAGTAACACTGTGGTTTTTGCAGACTCATAGAGGTACCTCCTTGATGGACTTGGTTAATATCCAGAAGAATTCTATTATATTCATCTATATGTCTATTCTTATTACATTACCACACTGTTTTGATAATTGTAGCTTTGTAGTAAGTTTTCAAATGGGAAAATGTGAGTGCTGCAACTTTGTTTTTCCTTTTCAATATTGTTTGGGCTACTTAAGGCCCCTTGCAATTCCATGTGAATTTTAGGATTAGCTTGTCAACTTTTATAAAAGACAGTTGTAGTTTGGACAGGGATTGTATTGAATCTGTACATCAATTTGGGGAGTATTGCCATCTTAATAATAGTAAGTTTTCAGATTCATGAACACATGATGCCTTGCCATTTACATAGGTCTTAAATTTCTTTCAGCAATGTTTTTCAGTTTTCAGCATGAGTCTTGCATGTCTTTGATTCAATTTATTTCTACATATTTTATCATTTGCAATGCTATTATACATGGAATTGTTTTCTTTTTCATTTTTTGATTGTCCATTGCAAGTACATAGGAATACAACTGATTTTTGTGGGTTGATCATGTATCCTGTGACTTTGTTAATCTCATTTATTAGTTCTAATCATATTTTGTCAATTCTTTAAGATTTTTATATAAGATAATTTGATCTATGAATACAGATAGTTTTACTTCTTCCTTTCCAACCTGGATACATTTTATCTCCTTTTCTTGACTAATTTCCCTGGTTTGAAATTTCAGTACAATATCAAATTGAAGTGGCAAGATCAGACATACTTACTTTATTTCTAATCTTAGCAGGAAAGTTTTCAGGCTTTCAGCATGGAGTATGATGTTAGCTATGGGTTTTTCATATGCCCTTCATCAGGTTGAAGACGTTTTCTTCTATTCCTAGTTTGTTTAATGTTTTTATTTTTTTAAGTTCTTTTTTTATTATTATACTTTAAGTTTTAAGGTACATGTGCACAACATGCAGGTTAGTTACATATGTATACATGTGCCATGTTGGTGTGCTGCACCATTAACTTGTCATTTAACATTAGGTATATCTCCTAATGCTATCCCTCCCCACTCCCTCCACCCCACAACAGGCCCCGGTGTGTTATGTTCCCCTTCCTGTGTCCGTGTGTTCTCATTGTTCAATTCCCACCTATGAGTTAGAACATGCGGTGTTTGTTTTTTTGTCCTTGCAATAGTTTGCTGAGAATGATGGTTTCCAGCTTCATCCATGTCCCTACAAAGGACATGAAATCATCATCTTTTATGGCTGCATAGTATTCCATGGTGTGTATGTGCCACATTTTCTTAATCCAGTCAATCATTGTTGGACATTTGGGTTGGTTCCAAGTCTTTGCTATTGTGAATAGTGCCGCAATAAACATACATATGCATGTGTCTTTATAGCAGCATGATTTATAATCCTTTGGGTATATACCCAGTAATGGGATTGCTGGGACAAATAGTATTTCTAGTTCTAGATCCCTGAGGAATCACCACACTGTCTTCCACAATGGTTGAACTAGTTTGCAGTCCCACCAACAGTGTAAAAGTGTTCAAGTGTTCCTATTTCTCCACATCCTCTCCAGCACCTGTTGTTTCCTGACTTTTTAAAGATTGCCATTCTAACTGGTGTGAGATGGTATCTCATTGTGGTTTTGATTTGCATTTCTCTGATGGCCAGTGATGGTGAGCATTTTTTCGTGTGTTTTTTGGCTGCATAAATGTCTTCTTTTGAGAAGTATCTGTTCATATCCTTTGCCCACTTTTTTGATGGGGTTGTTTGTTTTTTTCTTGTAAATTTGTTTGAGTTCATTGTAGATTCTGTATATTAGCCCTATGTCAGACGAGTAGATTGCAAAAATTTTCTCCTATTCTGTAGGTTGCCTGTTCACTCTGATGGTGGTTTCTTTTGCTGTGCAGAAGCTCTTTAGTTTACTTAGATCTCATTTGTCAATTTTGGCTTTTGTTGCCATTGCTTTTGGTGTTTTAGTCATGAAGTCCTTGCCCATGCCTATGTCCTGAATGGTATTGCCTAGGTTTTCTTCTAGAGTTTTTATGGCTTTAGTTTAACATGTAAGTCTTTAACCATCTTGAATTAATTTTTGTATAAGGTGTAAGGAAGGGATCCAGTTTCAGCTTTCTACATATGGCTAGCCAGTTTTCCCAGCACCATTTATTAAATAGGGAATCCTTTCCCCATTGCTTGTTTTTCTCAGGTTTGTCAAAGATCAGATAGTTGTAGATATGTGGCATTATTTCTGAGGGCTCTGTTCTGTTCCATTGGTCTATATCTCTGTTTTGGTACCAGTACCATGCTGTTTTGGTTACTGTAGCCTTGTAGTGTAGTTTGAAGTCAGGTAGCGTGATGCCTCCAGCTTTGTTCTTTGGCTTAGGGTTGACTTGGCACTGCAGGCTCTTTTTTGGTTCCATATGAACTTTAAAGTAGTTTTTTCCAATTCTGTGAAGAAAGTCATTGGTAGCTTGATGGGGATGGCATTGAATCTATAAATTACCTTGGGCAGTATGGCCATTTTCACAATATTGATTCTTCCTACCCATGAGCATGGAATGTTCTTCCATTTGTTTGTATCCTCTTTTATTTCATTGAGCAGTGGTTTGTAGTTCTTCTTAAAGAGGTCCTTCACGTCCCCTGTAAGTTGGATTCCTAGGTATTTTATTCTCTTTGAAGCAATTGTGAATGGGAGTTCACTCAAGATTTGGCTCTCTGTTTGTCTGTTATTGGTGTATAAGAATGCTTGTGATTTTTCCACATTGATTTTGTAACCTGAGACTTTGCTGAAGTTGCCTATCAGCTTAAGGAGATTTTGGGCTGAGACGATGGGGTTTTCTAGATATACAGTCATGTCATCTGCAAACAGGGACAATTTGACTTCCTCTTTTCCTAATTGAATACCCTTTATTTCTTTCTCCTGCCTGATTGCCCTGGCCAGAACTTCCAACACTATGTTGAATAGGAGTGGTGAGAGAGGGCATCCCTGTCTTGTGCCAGTTTTCAAAGGGAATGCTTCCAGTTTTTGCCCATTCAGTATGATATTGGCTGTGGTTTTGTCATAGATAGCTCTTATTATTTTGAGATACGTCCCATCAATACCTAATTTATTGAGAGTTTTTAGCATGAAGCATTGTTGAATGTTGTCAAAGGCCTTTTCTGCATCTGTTGAGATAATCATGTGGTTTTTGTCTTTGGTTCTGTTTATATGCTGGATTACATTTATTGATTTGCATATTCTGAACTAGCCTTGCATCCCAGGGATGAAGCCCACTTGATCGTGGTGGATAAGCTTTTTGATGTGCTGCTGGATTTGGTTTGCCAGTATTTCATTGAGGATTTTTGCATCGATGTTCATCAGGGATATTGGTCTAAAATTCTCTTTTTTGGTTGTGTCTCTGCCAGGCTTTGGTATCAGGATGATACTGGCCTCATAAAATGAGTTAGGGAGGATTCCCTCTTTTTCTATTGATTGGAGTTGTTTCAGAAGGAATGGTACCAGCTCCTCCTTGTACCTCTAGTAGAATTCGGCTGTGAATCCGTCTGGTCCTGGACTTTTTTTGGTTGGTAAGCTATTAATTATTGCCTTAATTTCAGATCCTGTTATTGGTCTATTCAGAGATTCAACTTCCTCCAGGTTTAGTCTTGGGAGAGTGTATGTGTCGAGGAATTTATCCATTTCTTCTAGATTTTCTAGTTTATTTGCGTAGAGGTGTTTATAGTATTCTCTGATGGCAGTTTGTATATCTGTGGGATTGGTGGTGATATCCCCTTTATCATTTTTTATTGCGTCTATTTGATTCTTTTCTCTTTTCTTCTTTATTAGTCTTGCTAGCGGCCTATGAATTTTGTTGATCTTTTCAAAAAACCAGCTCCAGGATTCATTGATTTTTTGAAGGGTTTTTATGTCTTTATTTCCTTTAGTTCTGCTCTGATCTTAGTTATTTCTTGCCTTCTGCTAGCTTTTGAATGTGTTTGCTCTTGCTTCTCTAGTTCTTTTAATTGTGATGTTAGGGTGTCAATTTTAGATCTTTCCTGCTTTCTCTTATGGGCATTTAGTGCTATAAATTTCCCTCTACACACTGCTTTGAATGTGTCCCAGAGATTCTGGTACGTTGTGTCTTTGTTCTCGTTGGTTTCAAACAACATCTTTATTTCTGCCTTCATTTCGTTATGTACCCAGTAAGTCATTCAGGAGCAGGTTGTTCAGTTTCCATGTAGTTGAGCAGTTTTGAGTGGGTTTCTTAATCCTGAGTTCTAGTTTGATTGCACTGTGGTCTGAGAGACAGTTTCTTATAATTTCTGTTCTTTTACATTTGCTGAGGAGTGCTTTACTTCCTACTATGTGGTCAATTTTGGAATAAGTGCAGTGTGGCACTGAGAAGAATGTATATTCTGTTGATTTGGGGTGGAGAGTTCTGTAGATGTCTATTAGGTCCACTTGGTGCAGAGCTGAGTTCAATTCCTGGATATCCTTGTTAACTTTCTGTCTCGTTCATCTGTCTAATGTTGAAAATGGGGTGCTAAAGTCTCCCTTTATTATTGTGTGGGAGTCTAAGTCTCTTTCTAGGTCTCTAAGGACTTGCTTTATGAATCTGGGTGCTCCTGTATTGGGTGCATATACAGGATATGCACTTTAGGATAGTTAGCTCTTCTTGTTGAATTGATCCCTTTACCATTATGTAATGGCCTTGTCTCTTTTGATACTTGTTGGTTTAAAGTCTGTTTTATCAGAGACTAGGAGTGCAACCCCTGCCTTTTTTTGTTTTCCATTTGCTTGGTAGATCTTCCTCCATCCCTTTATTTTGAACCTATGTGTGTCTCTTCACGTGAGATGGGTCTCCTGAATACAGCACACTGATGGGTCTTGACTCTTTATCCAATTTGGCAGTCTGTGTCTTTTAATTGGAGCATTTATCCCATTTACATTTAAGGTTAATATTGTTATGTGTGAATTTGATCCTGTCATTATGATGTTAGCTGGTTATTTTGCTCTTTAGTTGATGCAGTTTCTTCCTAGCCTCGATGGTCTTTACAATTTGGCATGTCTTTGCAGTGGCTGGTACCGGTTGTTCCTTTCTATGTTTAGTGCTTCCTTCAGGAGCTCTTTTAGGGCAGGCCTGGTGGTGACAAAATCTCTCAGCATTTGCTTGTCTGTAAAGTATTTTATTTCTCATTCACTTATGAAGCTTAGTTTGGCTGGATATGAAATTCTGGGTTGAAAATTCTTTTCTTTAAGAATGTTGAATATTGGCCCCCACTCTCTTCTGCCTTGTAGAGTTTCTGCTGAGAGATTAGCTGTTAGTCTGATGGGCTTCCCTTTGTGCGTAACCCGACCTTTCTCTCTGGCTGCCCTTAACATTTTTTCCTTCATTTCAACTTTGGTGAATCTGACAATTATATGTCTTGGAGTTGCTCTTCTCAAGGAGTATCTTTGTGGTGTTCTCTGTATTTCCTGAATTTGAATGTTGGCCTGCCTTGCTAGATTGGGGAAGTTTTCCTGGATAATATCCTGCAGAGTGTTTTCCAACTTGGTTCCATTCTCCCTGTCACTTTCAGGTACAAAAATCAGACGTAGATTTGGTCTTTTCACATAGTCCCATATTTCTTGGAGGCTTTGTTCGTTTCTTTTTATTCTTTTTTCTCTAAACTTCTCTTCTCGCTTCATTTCATTCATTTGATCTTCCATCACTGATACCCTTTCTTCCAGTTGAGTGAATCGGCTACTGAGGCTTGTGCATTCGTCACGTAGTTCTCGTGCCTTGGTTTTCAGCTCCATCAGGTCCTTTAAGGACTTCTCTGCATTGGTTATTTAGTTAGCCATTCGTGTAATTTTTTTTCAATGTTTTTAACTTCTTTGCCATGGGTTCGAACTTCCTCCTTTAGCTCGGAGTAGTTTGATCGTCTGAAGCCTTCTTCTCTCAACTCGTCAAAGTCATTCTCCATCCAGCTTTGTTCCATTGCTGGTGAGGATCTGCGTTCCTTTGGAGGAGGAGAGGCGCTCTGATTTTTAGAGTTTCCAGTTTTTCTGCTCTGTTTTTTCCCCATCTTTGTGGTTTTATCTACCTTTGGTCTTTGATGATGGTGACATACAGATGGGGTTTTGGTGTGGATGTCCTTTCTGCTTGTTAGTTTTCCTTCTAACAGTCAGGACCCTCAGCTGCAGGTCTGTTGAAGTTTGCTGGAGGTCTACTGCAGACCCTGTTTGCCTGGGTATCAGCAGCAGAGGCTGCAGAACAGCAGATATTGGTAAACAGCAAATGTTGCTGCCTGATCATTCCACTGGAAGTTTTGTCTCAGAGGAGTACCCGGCCGTGTGAGGTGTCAGTCCGCCCCTACTTGGGGGTGCCTCCCAGTTGGGCTACTCGGGGGTCAGGGACCCACTTGAGGAGGCAGTCTGTCCATTGTCAGATCGCCAGCTGTGTGCTGGGAGAACCACTATTCTCTTCAAAGCTGTCAGACAGGGACATTTAAGTCTGCAGAGGATTCTGCTGCCTTTTGTTTGGCTGTGCCCTCCCCCAGAGGTGGAGTCTACAGAGGCAGGCAGGCCTCCTTGAACTGCGGTGGGCTCCACCCAGTTCGAGCTTCCTGGCTGCTTTGTTTACGTACTCAAGCTTCGGCAATGGCGGGCGCCCCTCCCCCAGCCTCACTGCTGCCTTGCAGTTTGATCTCAGACTGCTGTGCTAGCAATGAGTGAGGCTCCATGGGCATAGGACTCTCCAAGCCATGCGCGGGATATAATCTCCTGGTGTGCCGTTTGCTAAGACTGTTGGAAAAGCACAGTATTAGGGTGGGAGTGACCCAATTTTCCAGGTGCCGTCCATCACCCCTTTCTTTGACTAGGAAAGGGAATTCCCTGACCCCTTGTGCTTCCCGGGTGAGGCGATGCCTCGCCCTGCTTCGGCTCACTCTCGGTGCGCTGCACCCACTGTCCTACACCCACTTTCTGACACTCCCCAGTGAGACGAACCCAGTACCTCAGTTGGAAATGCAGAAATCACCTGTCTTCTGTATCGCTCACGCTGGGAGCTATAGACTGGAGCTGTTCCTATTCCTTGTTTAATGTTTTTATAATGAAAGAGTGATGGATTTTTATCAGATGCTTTTTCCTGCATATATTGAGTTGATCATGCTGTCTTTTTTCCCTCTTCTTCTGTTAATATGATGTATTACATTTATGATTTTTTTATGTTGAAATACTTTTACATTCCTGTGATGAATCATACTTACCCATGGTGTATAATCCTTTGAATATACTGCTGGATTCAGTTTGCTAGTATTTCTGATTTTATTTCATGTGGTCAGAAAAGATATTTTGTATGATTGCAGAATTTTAAAATGTATTGAGACTTGTTTTGTGACCTAACACATGGTCTTTCCCAGAGAATGTTTCATGTGCCCTTGAAAAGAAAGTGTTTTCTGTTTTTTTGGGGGGTGGGACATTTTATAGATGTTTTTCAGGCGTGTTTGTTTTATAGTGTTTCTCAATTATTCTATTTCCTTATTAATCTTTTCTATAGTCCCTTAGTCAATTTGGTGTGACTATAATGGAATACATAACACAGGCTGGATAATTCATAAAGAACAAAGAGTTATTTCTTACAGTTCTGGAGGCTGGGAAGTCCAAAGTTGAGAGGCCAGTGGCATCTGGTAAGGGACCTCATGTTGCATTCCCCCATGATGGAAGATGGAAGGGCAAGAGAATATATGAGAGAACAAGAGAGGGTCCAACTCACTTTTATAACAAGCCTTCTCAATAACTACCCTACTCCCAAGAAAACGACATGAATCCATTCATGAGGTCTCTGCATTACGTCTCCATTTTGACCTAATCACCTCTTATTAGGCCCCACCTCTCAACACTGTTGCATTGAGGATTAATTTTCCAACATATGAACTTCAGGGGACACATTCAAACCATAGCAATGGTTTTTCTATCATTACTGAAAGCTAGAATCTTCAACTGCTGTTGTTGAATTGTCTATTTCTCCCTTCGATTCTGTTGGTTATTACTTCATATGTTTTGGGACTGTGTTTTTAGGTGAACATATGTTTTAATTGTTCTAGCTTCTTGATGGATTGACTCTTTTCATAACCTTTATCTCTCATCACAATTTTTGTCTTAAAGTCTATTTTGTTTAATATTAGCATAGCCACTGCCACTTTCTTTTGCTTACAGTATGCATGAAATATCTTTTTTCCTTTATTTTAACCTATCCTGTTTTTGAATCTAAAGTATGTCTCTTATAGACAATGTGTATTTGAGTCATGTTTTTTATTCATTCTGCCTTTTAACTGATAGGTTTAATCAATTTCCATTTAATGTAATTACTGATGAGGAAGGACTTACTTTTGACATTTTGTATTTGTTTTCTATATGTTATTTTTCAATTCTTTCACTATTGCCTTCTTTTGTATGAGGTAGATTTTTTTAAGTGTACCATTTTGGTTCACTTTTTATCTATTTTTTTTTAGTTATTTTCTTAGTGGTTGCCCTGTGATTACAATTAACATCTTAATTTATAATTAATTAAGTTTTTCTTCCTGTAAGTGGACCATACTTTCTTTGTTTGCATGTCTCATACTTTTGGTTGAAAATTGGATATTGGATATGTTGAATATTATAATATGGTAACTCGGGAAATCAGATTCTCCTGCCTTCTAAGAATTTGTTGTTTCTGCCTGTTGTAGGTTGTATTTGTTTGTTGCTGACTTTTGTAAACTATTATTTAAAGACTGTATGCTTTGTCACATGTGGTTACTGAAATCTCTAAAGTCACTGAAGTCTTACAACTTTTGTGGAAGGATGGACTTTTAGAGTTCCTTACTCTACCATTTTTGCTAATGTTATTCCCATAATTACTTTTAAATTTTATATTGTCATTATCCTTGAACATTTCATAAATATTTTATGTATTCTATATTTAAGAGTTCTAATATATAATGTGTTTGCCTTTTAAGTCTTGTTTATTCTGCTAACTCTTGTTTGGAGTGGCTTGTTTTCTTGTATGCTTGGGTTTTTTTTAATTGTAAATTTATATTTGGCTGAAACTAACTTGTGAGAATTCTAAGGACTCAGAGTTGATGATGCCTTTCTCTTCATGGGTATTTCCTAGTAGCTTGCATTTTTTTCCCCAGACCACATAGGTAGTGTAAATGAAAAACCCAGAACTAGTTTTGTCTATACTCCTAAATTCCTGGGGGAGACTATTATATTTTTAACAATTTTTTCCCACCTGGATCTACAGGTAGAAATATGCTGGTTTTCCTGTAGGTTTTTGTCACTGCCAGTTTTTTCCTAGTCCAACCTATTACTGAGGGGATAATTCTTCCAACAGTCTCAGATGTGTGTGGCAACTGTAGTTTGCTCTTCCATTTTGTGTAGACTCAAGCAAGGCCTAGTCTTCCATTTCTCCTCAGCATTAATCCCTGAAGCTATATGTTCTTTGTATAGGCATTTGTACCCACAGCACCCACAGCTTCCATGTTATTTATTGCTCTGGTTTCATCTGATTATTATTTTGACACTTGAGGATTCCCTTATTTCTGTGAGCCCTGCTATACTCCACTATATATCCAGAAGCAGAATTCTATGATTCAATAATCTTGGGCTCAAATTCATATAGAAATTTAAGTTGATGGATCTGGATTTGTATCTCAGCTCTGCCACTTACTACCTCTGAAGTGACTTGGGAAAGTCACACAACCTCTTTAAGCCTCAATTTCCTATCTGTGGAATAGGTATAATAATACCTCTAACATAAGGTTATTGCAATGATTAGTGGAATAGCACCCATCACAAATGGCCTGGTATATAAATCTTAACCTAATGCTAAAAAAATTTTAACTGCATTTCCTTTTACTATTAAAGATGTGAACTTGTGAGTAACCATTTGTAACCTACTTCTTTAGCTGTGAAATGGGAATTTCATGTTTGTTAGCAGTACTTAAGAAAATGAATGGGAAATATAAAGCACAGTACTTGGCACATAAGAAACAACCAATGAAATGTAACAATTATCTATAAGAACTATAAAAATAGCAGGCTATACACAAAGCTGCTACATTGATTTAGTAAGTGGTCAGTTGATAATGAAGATAACATCTTGCCACATTAAAAAATAAGCTTGGAGAGATTTGATGAGTAGTGTTTCATATAGTAATATCTTTGTAAAACTATGTCTGTGTCTTCCAATCCTCCCACCCCCACTTCACCACAGTCACACACACACACACACACACACACACACACACTTCTTAGCTTTTGGAATGCTTTCAGCTGCACATGGTAACAGTTGTGTACAATCCACCTTAATCTAAAAAAGGGAGTCTAGGATTGAGGAGCAATAGATTTGTCTCCATTGCATAAACTTTGAAGGGAACAGATTAAAATTTTCACTGCACATCTGAAATGAAATCTATTCTGAGGATGTGTCTAACATTGCTTGTTATTATAACTTTATGCTTCGATGTACTGAGTTGGCTTTGAATTTCTTTTTCCATTATTAGTTTATATCAATGATTGCATTTTACTAGCTGACTAGTTTTGTGTGTATTTTTCATCTCTGGGGAATTAATCTTTATTTTGTCTACATTTGAAGTTTTTCAGAATTTTTAAAATTTTTTCTAAACTGACTTTACTCTCTTGCTGTTTCCAGTTTCTCATTAGGGATTGGGAGATCTGCATTCTAGTTTTGTCTGTGGCACAACTAGCTGCCTGACCTGGAGTAAAGCACTTGCTTTCTCTGGGCTTCAGTTCCCTTACAAATCAAATAGGGGAGTTGGACTATGTGACCTGTAATCTCCATTTTAGCTCTATCTGTGATTTAGAGAATCATACTACCATATCAAATACATAACTGAATATGTTAAGATTGAGAAGATGCAGGCTGTGAGTACAATAATGTAAAGAACTTCACATAGAGCAAGAAACAAATATCAAGGTAACAAAGAGCAACCGAAAAGAGCAAAAGAAAATGATGATTATGTCATTTTGGAGACAAGGTTGAAAACCAGAGCTCCTCCATGTGGTGTAAGGATTCATCAAGACAGGTGAAAGGATTTCTTCCCCTGATCAGTAACTGGGATAAGGCATCCCGAGTAAGCAACAGGCCCTGGCCTTCGATGGGGTCGCTCCATACAAAATTAGCAACAGTCACTTGGGAACTTAAGTGAGATTAAACGCCAGAATAAGATCCAGGGTCTGCTTTGGTAGAAGGGGCACGGGAACCAAGTAATACGGGCTCATCCTATGCCTGACACCTAGGTTACCTTCCAAGTGGAAAAGGACATTAGTTGGAAGGCCACAGTGGAGTTTAAGGGAAGAGGAGGCCACATTTCTTGAGCCTTAAGACACTCGGGAGGAGGTTGGCGGGTAGGGCAGGGATGCAGAGTGGTTGCTTCCTTGGAGAGTGGGACCTCATTTGTCTACACAACCCACATTCCTCTCCTGAAATTCTCGACTCTTTCGGATAAATTTCTATTAAAGTGAACGTCAAGTCAGTCTTACGCCTCTTGAAGGAAAACAGAAAAGAAATTCCTGTAAGAGGTTGAGATGGGTGTGAGTGGTCGATAAGCAACGAAGCAAACAGAATTAACCACCTCCTTTGGCTGCTCTGCCTACACCTCCTGGCACAGTACTCAATTCCCAGCGCAGAGGAGGAACCAGGCTGTGCGGCTTCTCCAACAATCAGCGAAGTAGGAAATGTTTCGGAGACACTAATTGGCTCGATTGCCTGGCGCGCTCCTGGACCGAAAGCTGTGGCTGGTTGAGGCGTTGCCTGGCGACGTGTTACTCAGTGGCGCAGTGCTTCCGTAGAGGCCAGCTGGTTGCTACGCAGCAACAGGAAACATTCCGCGCTACCGAGTACTTTCTACTCCCGACCAGGCATTGCTCTCTCTGGAGACCCTCGGCGGTGGTTGCTGTATTTTGACTTGGTGAGTCCTGGGAACCGACCCTCGGGCCTGGGCTCCGATTTCTGGGCCAGAAACAAAGTCTGACTTTCGGAGAACATAAAGGCTCAAAGAGGCAGAGAAAATCAATGGAAAGGCATTTCAGTGATTGTCTGCTATCCGCCCATCATTTTAGAGGGGTGGAAAGTGAGCAATAGCGATATCAAAAGACTTGTCCAAGATCTCACGCTGAGTGGTCAAATCTGGACCTGCGCTGTTAAATACGGTAATCTTTAGACCTCGTGTGGCTAGTCTGAATTGCAATGTGCTCATATGTAAAAAGCACACTGGATTTTGAAGGCGTGGTACCAAAAGACAACATAAGATATCACTATAATTTTTATACTGTGTGTTCAAATGATTATGTTTTGTATATGGTAAATAAAACATATTATTAAAATTAATCTCACCTATTTCTTTTTTAAAAATGCTATTGCTTGAAAATTAAAATTGCATACAAAGCTCTCATATTTCTATTGGCCAGCACTGATCTATATAAAACCTAGGTCTGCCGACACCTGATTCAAGACCTCTTGTGCTAACCCTATTTTGGAAGGTGTTTCGAAGTATCTCCACTCATCTAATGGGGTGAAAGTGTGCGTGGTGGTGCAGAGTGCAAGACCATTACAAAAGGCTCATATTTCTAGTGTTTTAGGACCTTGCTACTCAAAGTGTATGAATCAGAACCTTCATTTTAACAAGCTCTGCAAGTGATTGTCCTGCACGTTAAAGCTCCAGAAGCACTGTGTAAGAAATTAGCCCTCAATTCTTTTTTTTCCCTTTGTTTCTTCTTGAGTACCTATACTGTATTTTTCAGACTGCGTGTACTAGAATTAGCTGCATTTTGAACAAGTTCCGCAGGAGATGAGAAACATTGATCTCAATACTAATTACATTTCCTTTTGTCCTTCCAAATCTAGACCAGTGTGGTCTCCAGATGAGCAGCAGCAGCAGCATCCGCCAAGAACTTGCAAGAAATGCAAATTCCTGGGTTCCACCCTAGCTACAGGGGTTCTTGAAGCCTAGGCACAGTTTCTAATTTTTTATTCCTTTGGTTCAAGTCCTCAGTTCGGGAAGACTGGGGTAACTTTGATGGGTTTTATTTGAGGGAAGTGAGCGAATTCAACTCTTCCTAGTCCTTAAGTCCCTCTCCAGTAGCCTCCTTCCCCAATCCTTTTGATCTACTTTTCATTTTCTTTTTCCTCACCTATTCTTTTCAGGAGTAAGGATGACTTTTCGGGCCACAGATAGTGAATTTGACCTGACAAATATTGAAGAGTATGCCGAAAATTCTGCACTTTCAAGACTGAATAATATAAAAGCCAAACAAAGAGTGAGTTATGTGACATCCACAGAAAATGAATCTGATACACAAATCCTAACGTTTAGGCACATTACAAAAGCTCAGGAGAAGACAAGAAAACGACAGCAGCCTATAAAACTAGAGCCTTTGGTAAGTTCAAAAACCATTGTTTTAGCCTCTGTAGCCACAGAGGAAGTTGTAAAATTGCTTTGGAGGATAGAAGTCATGTCCAGACTCTGAACTGACAAAGAAGGAATGAAAAGCTAAAAGATAATAACTGCTTATGTAGTTGTAAATACGGTAAATATTTATTAAACAAATATTAAGTTCTAGGCACTGTTTAAGTTGAAGGATACAGTGGTGAACAAAGTTTTCAGGCAGATAAGTCCTCTCTAGGATTATGTACAATACAGATACTTAACTATGTATGCTATTAGGCACTTTTAGATATTAGGGTACCATTTAACACTGAGAAGTTTAGCAAATGTTATATTTAGTTATATAGTTTTATTATTTTCAAAGTACATGCCTTTGTATTTAAAAAATTGTGTGCATGTTGAAAATACTTAATTTTTAGAAACCATTTATGCCCTTGGATAATTATAAACGCATGTAAAGAGCAGTGAAAGCGAAAAAATTAAAAAGTAAAAGTTGTCCTCTCCACCATTAGACGTTAGCTACATCTATTTCTCTCTGACGTATTTGCCTTCACTTGACAAAAGTGTATCACTAACCGTTGATGATTAAAGTTGTTTAATTTGTCACCAATGCCATCTACTCATGTATATTAAAAGTTTGTTATGTGCGTACTCTGTGCCAGGGTTTGAGCCATGCTCTGAGGAATGAACAAAGCAAATGAACAAATATAAATGAACAAAATAAACAAATATAAATGAACAAAAATGAACAAAGCAGACAAGATTCCTGTTGACATTCTAGTAATTCTAAATAAGCAGACTGAACAATTTCACCTAGTGATAGTAACTATTTAAAAAATAAGCCAAACGCATGGGCTCATGCCTGTAATCTTAGCACTTTGGGAGGCAAAGGGAGAGGGTCATTGAGCCCAGGAGGTAGAGGCTGCAGTAAGCTGTGCTTATACCACTGCACTCCAGCCTGGGTGACAGAGTGAGATCCTATCTCTAAAAAAAGAAAAGAAAAGAGCACATGGACTATGGTAGAGACTCAGAAGAGACTGCTTTAGATTGGGTGACTAGAAAGGTCTCTCTGAGGAGATTTTATCTGAACAAGTCTCAGCCAACAGCCTGTATCAACTGACAGATATCTGCAATTTAGGCAGAGCTCAGTGGGGACAGCTTGCCTCTACTCCACTGGGCACCAGCTGAGGCATTGATGCTGTCCCCACTGAGCTCTGCCTAAATTACAGAATTTTTAGCAAAATAAATGTTAGTTTTTAAGTTACTAAGTTTGAGGCAGTATGTTATATACTAACATAACTTGCACAGTATAAATAATACATGAATAAAATAATTCATACAATATTAAAAAATAACAAGGAAAAAAGTGAAAATGACCTGAAGTTTCACCATGCAGAGAGAAAGTAGCTTAATAGTCTAGTGACTAATTTCACACCTGTGGGTGTCTGCAGTTTGACTTCTTTTTATAGAGTTGGTAAGAATGTATTTTTGTTATTGACTTCCCTCCCCTCAACTGCCTTCTCCTCTCCCTTTCCCTTCCCCTTCTTCTTCCTATTCTCCTCTTCCCCCCTTCTTTCCCCTCCTCTTCCTTCTTCTTTTCTTCCTCCTCTCTCTCTTCCCTTACCCCTCCTTCTCCTACTCTCTTTCTTTTCTACTCTTCTTCTTTTACATTTTTTCCTTACCTCCAAATTCCCCAATCTCTGACCCCCTTTTCTATGCCATCTAACATTGATGACATCTAGTATATGTCTTTTCTTGCCTTTGTCCATGCTGAAACAATTTTATACAAATTTATTTGTAATTTTGTAATTTTACAAATGTATGAAACTTACAATTTGTAATTGTGTGTATTTGTAATATTTTCATGAAAATATTACAAATAAATACAATACTCTCCATCTAGCTTTTTACACTTAGTGGTGGCATAGTATCTGATTGTATGAACATTCCATAATTTACTAAATCATTCTCCTCTTTTGAGACATTCAAGTTGTTTTGCCAGTATTTCAAATGGTACAGTAAAATTGTATTATCCTTTTGTATTGGTGCTTATATTCCTATGAGACAGGGCCCTGTGAGTGGTGTTGTGGAGTTGATGAAAAAGTTACATATATGTATAATTGTATTTAATTGTATATTAATTTCCATATAATTATATTTAACATACAATTTTACTTAATTCACACATATTTTACCTGGAAACCAGTTTCTCAATCCAATGTACACATGTTGCCTAAATTAAATTGCATTTTCACCCTTAACCTAAGTTATACTATAATCTCTTCCAACTTTTTGTTGCCTGATCTGCATAGGTGAAACTGCACCTTCACACAGGATGCAGCTAGTGTTTTTATGTGTAACTTTTTTAACGTTTATTTTAGATTCAGGGGTATATGTACAGATTTGTTACATAGGTAAACTGAGGTCATGGGGGTTTGTTGCACAGATTATTTCATCTCTCAGGTACTAAGTGTAGTACACAATAGTTGTTTTTTTCTGTTCCTCTCCCTCCTCACACCCTCCTCCCTCAAGTAGACTCCAGGGTCTCTTGTACCTCTCTTTTTGTTCATGTGTTGTCATCATTTGGTTTTCACTTATAAGTGAGAAAATGTGATATTTGGTTTTCTGTTGCCAAGGATGATGACCTCAAGCTCCATCCATGTTCCTCTGAGGAACATGATCTTGTTCTTTTTTATGGCTGTGTAGTATTTCATGGTGTATATATACCACATTTTCTTTATCCAGTCTACCAATAATGGGCATTTAGACTGATTCCATGTCTTTGCTATTGTGAATAGTGCTGCAATGAACATACACATGCATATGTCATTATGATAGATCAATTTATATTCCTTTGGGTATATACCCAGTAGTGGGATTACTGGCTCGAATGGGAGTTCTGCTTTTAGCTATTTGGGGAGTCACCATGCTACTTTCCACAATGGTTGTTATTTTTTATTTTAATTTTTTTATTATTTGTCATATTACAAATAAATACAATACTCTCCATCTAGCTTTTTACACTTAATGGTGGCATAGTATCTGATTGTATGAATATTCCATAATTTACTTTTCTATTTTTTTTAATTTTTCAGTAATAGCCATTCTGACTGGTATGAGATGGTATCTCATTGTGGTTTTGATTTGCGTTTCTCTAATGACCAGTGATATTGAGCTTTTTTTCATATGCTTGTTCGCTATGTCTATGTCTTTTTTTGAAAAGTGTCTGTTCATGTCCTTTGCCCACTTTTTAATGGGTTTGTTTGTGGGTTTTTTTGTAGATTTGTTTGTTTCTTGTAGATTCTGGATATTAGACCTTCAAAGATGCATAGCTTACAAATATTTTCTTCCATTCTGTAGGTTGTTTTTTCACTCTGTTGATAGTTTCTTTAGCTATGCAGAAGTTCTTAAGTTTAATTAGATCCCATTTGTCAATTTTTGATTTTGTTGCAATTGCTTTTGGTATCTTTGTCATGAAATCTTTGCCAATTCCTACGTTCAGAATGGTATTGCCTACGTTGTCTTCCAGGGGTTTTATAGTTTGGGGTTTTACATTTATGTCTTTAATCCATCTTGAGTTAATTTTTGTATATGGTGTAAGGAAAGGGTCCATTTTTAATCTTCTGCATATGGGTAGCCAGTTATCCCAGTACCATTTATTGAATAGGGAGTCCTTTCTCTATTGCTTGTTTTTGTCAGCTTTGTCAAAGATGACATGGTTGTACATGTGCGGCCTTATTTTTGGGCTCTTTATTCTGTTCTGTTGGTCTACATGTCTGTTTTTGTACCAGTACCATGTTGTTTTGGTTACTGTAGCCCTGTAGTATAGTTTGAAGTCAGGTAACATGATGCCTCCAGTGTTCTTCTTTATGCTTGGGATTGCCTTGGCTATTCAGCCTCCTTTTTGGTTCCATATGAATTTTAAGATAGTTTTTTCTAGTTCTGTGAAGAATGTCATTTGTGTTTGATAGGAATAGCCTTATATCTGTAAATTGCTTTGCACAGTATGGCGATTGTAATGATACTGATTCTTCCTATCACGGAGAGCATGGAATGTTTTTTCATTTGTTTGTGTCATCTCTGATTCCTTTGAGCAGTGCTTTGTAATTTTCATTGTAGAGAACTTACACCTCCCTGGTTAAAATATTCCTAGGTATTTTAGTCTTTTTTATGGCAATTGTGAATCGGATTGGGTTTCTTATTTGGCTCTTGGCTTGACTGCTGTTGGTGTACAGGAATGCTAGTAATTTTGGTACATTAATTTTTGTATCTTGAAACTTTGCTGAAATTGTTTATCAGCTGAAGAAGCTTTTGGGCAGACTATGGGGTTTTCTAGATATAGAATCATGTCATCTGCAAACAGGGATAGTTTGACTTCCTCTCTTCCTATTTTGATGCCCCTTATTTCTTTCTCTTGCCTGATTGCTCTGGACAGGACTTCCAATACTATGTAGAATAGGAGTGGTGAGAGAGGGCATCCTTATCTTGTGCCGGTTTTCAAGAGGAATGCTTCCAGCTTTTAACAATTGAGTGTGATGTTGGCTGTGAGTAATATATGGCTGTTATTTTGAGGTATGTTTCTTTGATACCTAGTTTATTGAGTGTTCAACATGAAGGAATATTGTATTCTATCAAAAGCTTTTTCTGGATCTGGTGAGATAATCATGTTTTTTTTGTCTTTAGTTCTGTTTCTGTGATGAATCACATTTATTGATTTGCATATGTTGAAACAAACTTGCATCTCAGGGATAAAGCCTAATTGATCATGATGGATTAGTTTTTTATGTGCTTCTGGATTCGATTTGCAAGCATTTTGTTGAGGATTCTTGCATCAATGTTTGTCAAGGATGTTGGCCTGAAGTTTTCTTTTGTGTGTGTGTGTCTCTGGCAAGTTTTCACATCAGGATGATGCTGGCCTCATAAAATGAGTTAGGGAAGAGTCCCCCTTCCTCATTTTTTTTAGAATAGTTTCAGTAGGAATGGTACCAGCTCTTCTTTGCATATCTGGTAGAATTTGGCTGTGAATCCATCTGGTCATTGCTAGGCTATTTATTACTGACTTGAGTTCGGAGCTCATTATTGGTCTGTTCAGAGAATCAGTTTCTTCCTGGTTCAATCTTGGGAGGGTGTATGTGTCCAGGAATTTATCCATCCCCTCTAGGTTTTCTAGTTTATGTGCATATGGTATTCATAGTAATCACTTGTGGTTATTTGTATTTCTGTGGGGTAAGCAATAATATCCCTTTTGTCATTTCTGAATGTGTTTATTTGGATCTTTTCTCTTTCCTTCTTTATTAATCTAGCTATTAATGGCCTATCTGTCTTATTAATGTCTTCAAAAAACCAACTCCTGGATTTTTTGATCTTTTCCATTTTTTTTATTTCTCAATATCCTTCAGTTCTGCTCTGATTTTGGTTCTTTCTTGTCTTCTGCTACTTTGGGGTTGGTTTGCTGTCACTTTTCTAGTTCTTTAAGTTGTGATTGGAGGTTGTTAATTTGAGATCTTTCTAATTTTTTATATGGGCATTTAGTGCTATAAATTTCCCTCTTAACACTGCCTTAACTGTGTCCCAGAGATTCTAGTATGTTGTATCTTTGTTCTTATTAGTTTCAAATAACTTTTTAATTTCTGCCTTAACTTCATTATTTACCCAAAATTCTTTCAGGAGCAGGTTGTTTATTTTCCATGTAATTGCATAGTTTTGAGCAATTTTAGTAGTCTTGATTTCTGTTTTTATTGCACTGTGGTCTAAGAGTGTGTTTGGTATAATTTCAGTTCTTTTGCATTTACTGAGGATTGTTTTATGTCTGATCATGTGGTTGACTTTAGAAGATGTGGCAATGAGAAGAATGTATATTCTGCTGTTTTGGGGTGGAGAGTTCTGTAGAGGTCTATCATATTCATTTGGTTCAATGTTGAGTTCAGGTCCTTAATATCTGTGTTAATTTTCTGACTTGATGATCTGTCTAATACTGTCAATGGAGTGTTGAAGTCTCCAACTATTGTTCTTTGGGAGCTAAGTCACTTTGTAGGTCTCTAAGAACTTGCTTTGTGAATCTGGGTGCTCCTGTGTTGCATGCATATATATTTAGGATAGTTAGGTCTTCTTGAATTGAACCCTTCACCATTATGTAATGCCCTTTTTTGTCTTTTTTTTTTTTAATTTTTGCTGGTTTAAAGTCTGTTTTGTCTGAAATTAGGATTGCAACCCCTGCTTTTTTCTGTTTCCCATTTGCTTGGTAGATTTTCCTCCATCCCTTTTCTTGAGTCCCTGGGTGTTACTGCATGTGAGATGGGTCTCTTTAAGACAGCATATCATTGGGTCTTGTTTTTTTAATCCAACTTGCCAAACAGGTTATTTAGCCCATTTACATTCAAGGTTAGTGTTGATATGTGTGGATTTAGTCCTGTCATTGTGTTGTTAGCTGTTTATTACACTGGCTTGTTTGTGTGGTTGCTTTAAAGTGTCACTGGTCTATATACTTAAGTGTGTTTTTGTATTGGCTGGTAATAGACTTTTCTTTTTGTATTTAGTGCCTTTCTTCAAGATCTCTTGTAAGGCAGATCTGGTGGTAATGAAATCCCTCAACATCTGCATATTTGTTTTCCTTATTAATTTCAGTAGGTTTTAGAGAAGGGTTTTCCAAATGTGCATTAATCTTAACATCATTTTTATAGATCATTGTTTGGTCTCTGTGAAGTCACCCTGTGTAAACAGACATTTTTTCTTCTTGTTCTCAACTTGTGATCCTGTTCTCTATTCCTATTTAGCACTATTACATAACTTAGCTCTCCTTCATCTTTGTAGCAACAGCTAGCCTTTTCCTTTCTTCAGTGAGTGGCTCAAAAGGGATTTTTATCTAAAAACAAGTGCAATGTAACTGAAAAGTTAACTGCTGTTTCCTTTACTTAATCTCAAGCCTTTTTTTCTTATCCCAGTATATGAGAGACTAGCAATTATGATAAACTCATAATGCTTAGTAACAAAAAGCCATTATAATGAATTCTTCACTTTATTATGTTAAAAGCTGGGGTTTTATTGCCATAATTTTCAGTTGAATAGCCTAAGATAATGCCACCTATTTTTTTTAGATCTTCAATAAGTTATGGCTATGAGAAGTGGTTGATGATTTTGATTTTGGTGGGAGAATTCTGCACTTCTTCCCATAGTAGCAGTATTAGTAAATGATGGGGGTTTGTAATGGATAATTAGGGAGTATATGATTTCATACTTCTGAGCCTTTTCTGTTGTAATTTATTCTTCTAAGTATTCATTGATAATTTCAAGTATAAAATTAATGGAAGCTAGGTAGAAAAGTCTTACTCAAGCAATAGGCCAGGGACAGGCAATGGTGGTAGTTAACTATTAGGACTGCATCTTTGATAGGAAATTAGTCCAAGGAGATCAATTTCCAACAGGAGAAAGAGTCCAAAGGTAGTGAAAAATAAAACAAGTTTATACGAATGTTAATAAAAATTAACATGTCTCTCTATTTCCCAAAGCCAGTGCTAAAAGTCTACCAAGATCATAAGCAGCCAGAATACATACATGAACAGAACCGATTTCAGTTAATGACTGCAGGAATCATTAAACGTCCAGTAAGCATAGCAAAAAAAAGTTTTGCCACATCATCTACTCAGTTTCTTGAGCATCAAGATGCTGTGAAAAAAATGCAGGTATAATATTAAAATACTTAATTGATTCTTTTAACTTAATTTTGTTTTGTATAGCATTGCTAGCATACTTTTAACTCATAAGAATAGAAGCAAAGTCATTTTCTATAAGGTTGCATAATGAGTTTGGGAAATATAACATTTCTTCATCCTATTTAAGGAAAACTCTTACAGTGGAAGAAAATCATAAAGGAAACTTTCACCATCTGTACAGTGCCTTCTGACCTTCTTTTGTATGATAAAGAAGATATAATAGTATTTTGAATGTTATTATAACTTTTTTGAAATTTTCATCATTTTTACCAAAAATGGTAATCTTTGAAGACCCTGGTGAAGAGCAATAAAGTGAGACAAAGCCAGCTAGCAAGACAATTTGTGTAGCTGGTGAGAGTTGTAGAGCGAGGAAGTTGCCTTGAAAGGCATAAAGAAATGGTAGCTCAGGGAAGAAATCACCAGAGCTTGCCTTTAAATGAATATCTCTAGATAACTGAAGAAAAAAAAACAATAAGGGGAGAAAATATGAAAGGCATACCTACAGTAAAGATACCAGTAGAGCCAAGATTTCTCTGAGGTTTTGGTTGAGAGGATAACTTTGACAGTCACACACTGAGTGCTGGTTTGGGTCCAACCATTGGATTAGAACTGCTAGACGTGCACAGTTGAGGACAAGGTCTGTCCTCAAGGATTTCAGAGTCTGGAGGTACGTAGGTGGACAAGTGAACACTCAGCACAGTGGGGTATAAGAGCTCTCCTTAGTTGTTTAAGGTACAAAATAATGAAAAACTAAATAAAAGGGACTTTTACACCTGGCCATCGGGGGGCCAGTCAGTGAATAAAAAGCCACCTTTGGGAGTTGCACTAAGCTGAGAAGAATGAGTGGAAAGTTAATGGGATAGATAAGATGAGAGAGGTGGGAGCTCTAGGAGAAGCTAGATGGACAGGAGCTTATTTTGGGTTTGGGTGAGATCATCCTGAAAGAATGAAATCATATGATGAACTAGATGGAATTATAAAGCTTCAGTTACTATGGTGTCTGTGAAGTGGAGCCAGAGGGAGCTCTTTCTCCAGAAAAGATCTGAGCCAGGAAAGATTTAATTGCCTGTAAATTAATTCATTTGGCATAAAGAGGGCTTCAAAAATTTGAATTTAAAGAAAAGGAGAGAACGTGTATAGACATCTGGGATAAAAGTGGGGCTGAAAAGGAATATTAGGTTGTGAGCTATGCTTCCTGGTTGTAGCTGTCACTCAGTGAAGAACTCAGTAAAGAGTTAGGAATTAAAGAGAAATATGAAAAATGGGATGTTTTACATAAAATAAGAAAGGTATTTATTCTGAGAAAAAGGTAATTTTTTCAGATATTGATTTATCTGAATGAGTTTCAAATAGAAATGCAACAAGGAGGATTTCCTGGGAGGTAAAGGAAGGCAGGCAGGAAGGAAAGTTGGAGGCCTCTGTTAATTAAGGAAGAAATTGACTTATCGAATCAGACGGGGCATCCATCAGGGAGGAGTACTGCATTGTACAGTTTATGAATAAATGCTTTCTTTATTTCCCACCCCCAAATCTGAACCTATGTTACTGCTGAAGAACACAGCAGAACACAGTGATTAACCTCCTCCATGGGAGGAAAATGTGAATCACATTTTCCCACTGAGTTACATAATGAGAAATTAGGGCTCAGAGGAAAATATCTAACCCTGTTATGGAAGAAGTCTTCCACTTAGAATGCAGTAAGACTTTTTAAAGACTAGAACAAATAAAATAAATGCATTTTCTGTTAAAACAGTAACACTTTAGTCTCATAAAAATACTAAAGTGGACTAGCCCTCATTGAAACATTGAGATAAGGTGATGTGTGTTTTCTCTGGTTCAGGTTTGGCCTATTCATTCTCAGAAGAGAACAGTGTTATTGCTGCCATCCCTGGCCAAGAAGTCAAAGACACACATTTTACCTTTTACGTTCAAAGATGTGTTTCCTTCAGCTCTGAACTTGCTAGGTGTTGTCAAACTGCTATTGGACAAAGTATATTTAATCAGAGTTGGGGTATAATGTTCCCTGTGAGTACAAATTTTCTGGAGAAGTTGTTCCACAGAGCTTGTAGTAATACATCCCTGCAGAAATGGCAGCCTCTGCCAGCTATGTTAATAGGCAATAAAATACTCATGCGTATATTTACAATAGTTATTCAACAAAGCAGTTCTACTATGGTGACTCTTATCTTAAAGCCAGTTACTCCTATACTATCAGAGAGGCAAGGTGATGACCTTTGGAGTTAGTGTCAAATTTCTTCAAACACAGTGATTAACCTCCTCCATGGGAGGAACAGATATGGGTGATGCCACCCAAGTTTTTTGGGGGGTGTGAGTGGCACTGAGAGCACAGACAGTGAAGCCCAGAGACTAGAGCAAAGCTGGAGTGTGTGGGCATGGCACAGTGGGACTCAGCCTTGCTGCTCCAAGTGTAGTCCATGGTCAGCAGGATCCAAACCCCTGAAAGCAGGTTAGAAAGGCAGAATCTCAGGTTCCACCCTAGCTGTACTGAATCAAAATTTGCATTTTAATAAGAAACTCTGGTAATTCATTGCACATTTAAAGTTTGAGAAGCACTGGTCTAAAAAACAGCCGATATTAGTTGATAAAATCAATGCTTCTCTAAGGCTATCGCATAGTGATTCCCAACACTCAATATAACCGCCCCTCATATTCACAAAGAAGTAAAGTTATTATGAGTTACAATAACAGCTGTCCAAGACTCCACTCACTGAAGAGCATCAAGGTGGTCAGAACAGAGGGGGAGGTTGGGAGGAGAGGTCCCAGAAAAGATAGATGCAGAGTAACTAAGCAAGGAGGGAAGAGGGCTCCCATGGACATCAAAGACCTGGTAATATTTTGATGTAATAAACATTGAGTTAAAGGAGAGGAGAAGGCAATGGAAGCTGAAACTGGGACTGCTTTGTGGTAAAAGGATGCGTATCTGGATAGGGAGTACTGAGAAGGAATATGACTGCCTAACAATAGTTTGAAAATTTTCAGTGCCAAAATGCTTGCCTTTGAGCCCTAGACATCTCATGCAATATGGCAATTAGTCCTTGAAGGTAATATTTTGTTGCTCTTGTGTGTATGTGTGCAAAGACTCATTTTTTTTTTTCAAAAATTGGCTTTGTTTAGATTCATCGGCCCTATGTTGAGGTGTTCTCTCCCTCTCCTCCTAAACTGCCACATACTGGTATTGGAAAAAGAGGTCTCTTTGGGACTAGATCTTCAGCTTACCCTAAGTACACTTTTCACGACCGAGAAGAAGTTGTTAAAGCCAACATTCGTGATCCCTTGCAAATCATTAAAATAATACGTGAAAATGAACATCTTGGATTTCTTTATATGATCCCTGCAGTGCCAAGATCATCCATTGAATATGATACATATAATCTAAAGTGAGTTATTTTTTATGATGCAATTTAACATAAAAATTACAAATAAGATTTCACATATTATTTATAATTGATTGGATATTAATAATAACAATATCAAATATAATTTTGGTTATCATTCAATGATAAATGAATCCTAATCACAACAATTTTGTATTTTTTCATTTATCTTCCCTTTATCTATTTAGAAACATTAACTATCTTACCTGCACTACTGAGCTTCTCATATATTTATGTAATGTTATACCATATATTTTTAATCAGTATTACATATGTATTTTTGATACTTTATGATTACTGAGAAAAGAGGATGGCAACATATAAAAAGCAGATGATGCACGATTTGTTTTTCATGTTATTTCACCTTTGCTTTATAGAGTAGAAATAAGGATTTTTTTAATAAAATGAGCTTGATAACTTAGGGTATTCATATAAATGAATAATATCCACACACTTTCTGTGTGTTGTTGCCGCACATTTGTTGTTGATATAATTGGAAGTCACATAATTGTGAGTCTGCAAGTTGCTTTGAAGTTCAGCACAACAGATAATAGTAGGACTTAAAGATGATACTGGCTTTCCTCTGTTATTTAGTTGGGCTGACAGCAGTTCTTGAGATGGTCTTTTCTTGATGGTGATAATAGTTTAGCTTCACCACAAAATTCATTGAGCTACCTTCCCCATTCATGGCTCTCTTATTCTCCCTTATTCAGCACCATAGTTTCAACTGAGAAGATGACACTGAGGGCAGCTCTCCTGCTGCAGAAAATGGGTAGAGAAGAAAAGCTTTTTAATCAAAATTTAAAATGACAGATGTGTTGTAAATCTTAAAGAGCTTAACAGCAGTGAACAATAACTTGTAGGAAGGACAGAAATGCTTATGAAAATGCAATCGTTCAGCAAAATTTATTGAGCATGATCTCTGTAGCAGGAACTGTTTTACGTGCTTGAGACACATTAGTAAACCATCCATATCAAAATTGTTGCCCTCATGGAACTGACATTTTAGCAGAGGATGGCAATAATAAACCAGACATGAGTAAATTATGCAGAATACTAAAATGTGATAAGTATTGGAGGAAAAAAATAGAGGCAAAGAGGATTAGGAGTGCTGGGGAAGAGGTTGTGAATTAACTGGGGTGGTCAGAGTGGGCCTCATTGAGAAGCTGTCATTTGAACAAGGACTTGAAAGAGAATAAATGAATTATGTGGTGGTGCAGTTATGAGCATTCCAGGCAGCAGGAAAATGAATACAAACATCCTGAACTGGGAGCAGACCTGGCATGCTCAAAGGGCAAAGAGGAGGCTGGTGTGACTACAGTAGAGTGAACAAGAGATAAAGGATATATCGTGCAAGACCTTGTTGGCTACAACAATGGAGAACCATGGAAGGATTTTGGGCAGAAAAGTGTCACGATCTGATTTACATTTTTTAAGGAAACATTCTGGCTGCTGTGTGAAGAATAGGCTTTGAGGCAACAAGGGTTGAAACAGGAAGACAAATTGAAGGCCGTAGTTACTCAGGGGAGAAAGGGACTGGGGATGATGATGAAGTGGTAAGAAATAGGTCTGCTTCTGAAAACAATTTGAAGGTGAAGCCAACGGAATGTCTTTACAGACATTGTGTAGGGTAGACAACCAGAAAGGAGTACAGGATGAGTTTAATGATCCAGTTGTCTGAGCAAGAGGGGTAGAGTTGCTATTGACTGTGAACCCTGAAAATCTGAGACAGTTCTCAGTTAATTTAGAAAGCTTATTTTGCCAAGATCATGGAGGCACGCCCATGACACAGCCTCAGGAGGTCCTGATGACATGTGCCCAAGGTAGTACGGGCACAGCTTGGCTTTATACATTTTAGGAAGACACGAGACATCAATTAATATGTGTAAGATGTACATGGGTTCAGTCTGGAGAAGTGGGAAAACTCAAGGCCAAGATGGAAAAACTCAAAGCGAGGAGGGGGCTTCCAGGTCATAGGTAGATGAGAGACATTCCTTTGAGTTTCTGATTAGCCTTTCCAAATGAGGCAATGAGATATGCATTTATCCCAGTGAGCACAGGGGTCACTTTGAATAGAATGGGAGGCAGGTTTGCCATTAGCAGTTCCCAGCTTGACATTTACCTTTCGTTTAGTGATTTGGGGGCCTCAAGATTTATTTTCCTTTTTTTTTTTATTTTTTATTTTTTTTTATTTTTTTTTTTTTTGAGACGGAGTCTCGCTCTGTCGCCCAGGCTGGAGTGCAGTGGCGCGATCTCGGCTCACTGCAAGCTCCGCCTCCCGGGTTCACGCCATTCTCCTGCCTCAGCCTCCCGAGTAGCTGGGACTACAGGCGCCCGCTACCACGCCCGGCTAATTTTTTGTATTTTTAGTAGAGACGGGGTTTCACCGTGTTAGCCAGGATGGTCTCGATCTCCTGACCTCGTGATCCGCCCGCCTCGGCCTCCCTTATTTTCCTTTTACAACTGAGACATAGAAGACTGAATGGAGCAGAATCATCAGGGAAAAATACATGTTTGGGTTCGGATACATTAATTTTGGGATGTCAAAAGGAGAAGAGATGGTAGACGAAGGAGAATTGGGGTAAAAAAAGAGGATTTTTCCAACATGAGAGAATTCATTTTTTTAAGATGGAAGAATTAACATATAATGTAATTTAAAGCCCTTCAATTAAAAAAAACCCTTAATAATATTGTCATTCCTACCACTACTTTACTCGCTTGTATAGTTCTTTGTAAGTTTTTGGTGAAGAACTTGTAGATCTTAAGTGGAAACTGATGGAAAGTGGGTTATTTGGTGATTTTAAAACATAATTCTTGATTCATATGTGAAAATGTTTTCATAGTTTTCTCTTCAGGAAAAAAATAATCATCTAATAACCCAGATATCAAAGAGTACTATTTGTGATGCTCATTTTCCACTGTGAGAAGAGCCAGATTTTGCCCCATGTAGAACTGATTCTCATCTATTTACCAGCACAATATAAAGTATTGAAGAGGAGACTGAAAACTGCTTTTGTTCAGTTCTGGAGATTTATTTCTAGACTAATGAGCACTTCTACTAGGGAAATTGAGTTGATGTTTTATACTTTTTTGGACTCACAGAAGTGACGCTTAATAGTAATATGTAAGTTCTCATTTAAAAAGATATTTTGGAATCATGGTTTGTTATCATTATTGCAGTTTAGGGTTTGATGTTGAATCTTCCTCCCTAACTTGAACTCCAAATATCATAAACCTTGTGAGTAAAGACAATTATTTGGATGCTATGGAGTTGGCAGCAGCTAAACTGGAAGTTAAACATAGTATATACTGTGTCAACAAGATGAGGTCATGTTATTACCAAACTCCTTTTAAAAGTAATGTGATAAAATAACTGTAAGGCTGTGAGTTTGCTGTTGAAGAATGTCTTCACTACCCAACAAATGTGGTGAAGCTGTGGAAGGATTTTTTTATAATCTTTCAATCTAGAGCAATAATCTATCTCTCTGATAAGCCTATTGAATTTTTCCAGAAAAAATACGTGAGCAAAATGCAAAATAATGC
Organism: Homo sapiens; assembly: GCF_000001405.40. Classification (NCBI taxonomy): domain Eukaryota; kingdom Metazoa; phylum Chordata; class Mammalia; order Primates; family Hominidae; genus Homo; species Homo sapiens. Next base: position 84,532,707 of record NC_000002.12, read on the forward strand.
TTCTCAGTATAGAACTGAATAAAGGTGAAATTGAGATCTAAACTATGGAAATCATTTAAAGTTGCACTTCTTATAGCAAAAAACTTTTAAAAATGATATGTCATGCTATTGATGAAGCACCTATGGCAAGGTATGCTTAGAGAGAAAATAGAATAAGTTATAAGTTATTTGCAAAATTCCCTTATTAACTAACTCTATGCACATCATTATAAAGTGTGCTGACAGGTATTTTGCTTTAATCACAAATGTGCAATGCAGATATCAGTGTTTGCTGTATATACAGTACACGTATGAGAAAAATATGCTTGACAATTTTTTTTCCAATTGTCACTAAAAACCTATAGAAGAGTTTTTTCATTTAGTTGTGAGCAGGGATTTAGACTGCAAAAGGCATGTAGGAATCAGTAGTGTCTGAGCACTTAGCTGTGTGTGCAGCAAGAAAGGCTTTGCCCTGCTCAGAGACAACATTCACATCCAACAGTAAACCTCATTTTTTGACTTAGCATTGACAGAGAGTGAAAATTGTGGATCTCCTCAAATCAAGGATACTAACTGTGCACTTTTCCATGGTCATACAGTGAAATAACAAGTAAAAGATTTTATTTCAATCATGAAATATGCAGGAAATGAAGAGTAAGATTTAGAACATTTTGTGAAACTAATATTACTAATAAAGACCATTTCTATGATTTTAGGGGGCTTGCTCAAGGGTCATGTCTTAGAGATATGTTCAATATTTTGAGTAGACAGCGTTATCACTTTGGTGCCAAAATACTTTGAAGATAAGAATACAATATTGGAATTTTAGGCTGACTGAATTATAGTGTATATGGCGAATGTACCTTAGGACGGATTTGGCTCTTTCCAGCATCTTATGATTTTACTAGTTGGAGGAAAATAATTGATCATGTATTAGTGGGCATATCTATCCAAAAATCATATTTAAACTCAAAAACCTGAGGAGATAACTTTTCAATCCAAATTTAACCAAAGAGCTGATAAGAATTTGTTTACTTCCATTTTCTAAATTGAAACACTCAGCCTTGCAGCTTTATAGCATAATGTACTTATTGGCTTACCATCTGATTCAGTGCTAAAAGCAGACTCCAGTGAAATGATCAAGAAATTCTGGATCCATAGATTGTCTAGAGGTCCAGAACTATGTGACAGAAGTTCTAGTTACATGGTCTCATTTCCAAAAACTAAGGTTGTTATTGAAGATCTTTTAATTTTTTTTAAAAATTACAATGGGGAAAAGGAGCTAGCTGTGTGTGAACCCTCATCTGTGGCTCACACTACCCATCATTCAGATGGCTAAAGAGAACCTTCTTATTAATTTTTTAAAATTATGACATATTTATTATTTTAAAATTTGCAATGAGACCTTCACAAAATTTACATAACACTGATGGTCTGAGTGAGTATCAAATGCCCAGTCAGTGGTTCCAGATGCTAAATGTTTAACACAGCTATAAGGCAAAGCTTCCCAAGGAGTGTACTGCAGCCAAGCAAGTGACTCCCAGTGTGCCCTAGTTGTTTATGGTGGTAAAAACTTATTTTTTAAAAAAAAACACAATCGCTCAGAAATTTACCATGGGTGAAATTTTCTTTTTCTAATATTTGTATGGTTACCTTGTCAAACTTCCTGAATTCAGAAAATATTTCCGTGGGTAAGACTGTGTAGTCCCCGCTGCCAGAGAGCAGCTCTATAGTGGGAACACAACACAGCCTCTGCCACCTTCCTGTTGAACCATCCCACTGAGTTTGATTGTTACTGTAAACACTTCCTTTAGGTTTCTAAGACAAACTCAGTTTATCAGCAAAACTCTTTGTTTTGTGTATGTGAGAAACACAAAGAAATCCTTGTTCAGTTTTTTTTTAATTTCATTTGCTCTTTTTTTGTGTGTTTTCCTTTTGACACAATATTAGGTGTTCCTAAAAAAATAAGCAACAAGATGTTTCTGATTATTTTTTCTATCCCTTCTTTCCTCTTTTCCTCTTGTTTGGTTTTTGATGTTACCAACTGGGAAAAATCTGAATTTTAATTGAATTTCATAATTAATTGTTTTTAAAACTTAAAAAATAATTTTTCAAAGCTTAATTTTCAAATTCAACTTGGGAAATGTAATGTTTAAAATGGTTCTCATGATTTTTTAGACACTGTTGTGGGTTTGAACCTAAAGAAAGATTATTAAGTCAAATAGAATAACAGATTTAGCATTAGAAATAACATTTCTTTATTAGAAAACATATTCTAATAAAATTATCTTGGTAAAGAGCACTGTAGGCTTTCGTAATTTTCAAAGGTCTTTTTGATCCTATATGAGTGTAATTAATGTTTATTTTTTTAATTTTATAATTTTACTTCTTAAATTAATGAAACCTATATACCAATACTTTATATTTTCTTACCACATCCTTGAGTTTTTAAAAAATTTTAAATCATTTGCTGATATTAAGGTCTACAATTCTCTTGAATACTTCATGGTAATATGGATTTAATTTTGACATTTATTTATCTTTTTGCTCATTTATAAGGAAAATTTTCTGTTAAAGCTAGAAAACTATCAGATCTATATGGCAAACACAGAAGTCAAAAGAGATGAGAAATTAGGCAGCATAATTAGGATTATCTCAAACTTAGATTTGTAAACTACAGTAATAGACCTGTCCTTTTGCCTAAATATCTTATTTGTATAAAAATGTTATCAAATTAACCAGTGGTGTCAAACAAGTTATTTCAACACCTTTTCAGAGATATCCACCCCACCCAGAAAAGGGTTTGAGCTTTTAAAAGCATTACAAGAACAAAATATGAAACAAATTTCTGTTTTTAGATTAGTATCAGATAAAGAAGCTCAAGAAGCTAGGAGTGCAAGAACACATAATATCTAACATCAGAATGAATCACTATTGTAGAATTGTGATTTTACCAGCTTGTGTGGAAGTTTTTTATACTACTTGGAACCAGAAAAGCAAAAAAAAAAAAAAATCAGTAACATCATTAGTAGACCAACATATTAGATGATATAGATGATCATAATCCAAGACATTATTAAAGTTTTATTGCAATATTTAATTGCATATTGATGAATCTGTAGACATTAGTAACTGCTAGACAACAGCACTATTTAGAGTCTCTGAGGTGAAATGTCTGGAAGAACTTTGTTTAGGAAGAAGAAAAAAGAACTCTCTGGGGATTAAATATTCAAGGCAAATGAGGTATTATGAAAATACTTCTTAAAAATGTTTGTTACAACCAAGGTTTACTCTGATAGCACTGGTATTCAAGTAATATGTTATTTGCAGAGGGACTTCCATATGTAAATGGTTTCCTAAAATTATGAATTACAAATTTAAAAATATTGTCAAAATGATGTCCATGATAAAATCCAAGCTATCAACCACATAACCATTTGTTTTTAGCTTTCTACAAAAAACTGAGAACAAATACTATTTTTCGTTGTTTCATAGTTAAGTGCATTGGCAATCCAAAGGATGAGTTTTATCAAGAATTGGGAAGTATTTTGCAAATGATCCAACTTTGCAGATTTAGTAAAGGTTAGTTCTTAGTTACACACCTGGGTTACTTAATTGACATTTGACCACCTGAATAGCTTAACTGAAAAATTACGGCAGCTGCCAGGAAATATATTAACACTTACTGACAAAGATTAGGAATCGACAGCAAAAATTCAACTTGGGAAACGTAATGTTTAAAATGGTTCTCATGATTTTTTAGACGCTGCTGTGGATTTGAACCTAAAGAAAGATTATTAAGTCAAATAGAATAACTTCTGTGTTTGAGAGAAATCTTCACCATTGTTTCTAAAATCATTACAAGAAATGTCAACACTGCATCAAAGAAAGACAAGTAACAACTGTTAGAGTTAAAGAGTGGTGGTACCTTTGGTGAATAATTTCAAGAGAACAAGGTATCCAAATTTTGACTAGTCGAAAAGGGAGTTTTCATCTGTCAGAGACAAAACAATAAATAAATCATCTTCTGCCATTTGCTGCCTGCTACTTTTACAAAGTTTCTTAGGAGTGGTGACTTCAAGAACTTGGACAGATCATTCATCATGTCTTGATTAGACATGATGTAGCTACTTCAAAAAAGTTATGGTCACAGCTGTGGTTGCTTATGAGCTAGACATAATTGGAAGTTTTATCAAATATTATATCCCTAATTTGGGATAATTATGTCCCAAATTAAAAATTATATAATCTCACATATTATGTGCATTGTGTTTTGTCATATTATATAAAGAAATTGTAATTAATGTCTTCACCAAGCCCCTGCAGTTTATATCAGTGTGCCTTATAAAATGTTATTATTGCATGGGTTTTATAACATTCAAAGTTTGAGAAGCATTGTGCTAGAGGATTGTAGAATGATTTTCTCCTGCATAAGAATCTGACCTTTGGCTAATCCTGCAGCTGTGTACCCTCAATAACCTAAAAAACGTAAAATATTGTTTATAGGCAACATTGCTTATGATAAAAATGACATCAATTAGTAAATTATAGCTGCATTAGGAGGAACTAAGAAATAATTATAAATACCTTATGGGGAGTCATAGCTTTTGACTTCCCATAGTTCAGATTCTTTTTTTCTGAGCATGTGCCCTGTAGGAATGCTGAAATCTATGCTTATGGGGTTATTGCAAGAGATGCTGGCTCCTGTGAGTAATAAGGCTTTTAGGCCAGAGTGGCTTTCATATGCACTCAATGTGGATCTCATCTTTTTGCATCTGAGTTGACACCTAGGGAGAAGATAGCTCCCAGGTGGCTATTAGACTGCTGCAAGGACTCCAATGGGAAAGTAATGTCTGATGCTGCCCTGAAGGCAATAAGTGGTTCCGGGTTTTTCTGAGTAGATGGATGCCAAATAGAAGTATATGAAAGTCTTGTGAGTTTTAACATTTAGTTGTATCTAAGAAGACCCCTGGTGAGGCAATTTTTAAGTATTCCTTTTTCAGGTTGGTATAAAAGGACCCACTGTTGATATTAAAAAGTTCTCTCCCTAGTAGATGGTAGGTGTTTTTCATATCTACGTAACCCTTCACCTCACCATTATTTCAATTATATAAATTCACATTTTGCTGTTTTTTGTTTTGGCCATTGAAATATAAACTTGCTCACACTGATAAGGAACTGTGGGTGCTTTTATAAGGCATAGTGGGGTACTAAGTCTTTGTGATGTTAATGGGTGAGTACTGCAACATGATAGTATTAACACCAACTATAGTATATGCCAAATCTTGTTCTAAATGTTTTATATGTATTAGCTCATTTAATCTCCACAGCAACTCTTTAAGGTAGGTAGGATTGATATACCCATTTTACAAATGATGAAAGTCACAGAATTAAGTTCACATAGCTAGTGAGTCATGGAGCTGAGATTCAGATTATTTGGATTTTAGAACCCAAGTCCTCATGCACGCCACTTAATATACTCATCCTCATAATGACAACTACTCCTGCATTTGTGTCACACACACTGTGTTAGGCATTGTGCCAAGTGCTTTCTGTACATTAATCTTCTTTCTTCCTCATAAACATCCCATTAGAATGGCATTATATGTAGTGGAAAGATAAGAAAATTGAGGTATAGATTAAAGACTTTTCTATTTGATATTGTTTTGTGATTTGCAGTAGGAAATTCAGAATAATGTCTGATGCTCCCATCTTTCAATTCTATGATTTCATTCTCTGTGCAATGTCAAGTTTAAAGCTATTAAAATCTAACAGATAGTTCAGATTGTATGGCGGAGCCTTCCCCCAAATCTGAGCATCTTTTGGGTCCACAGAATGCCATGAAACAGGACACCATGTCTCCTATACCTCAGTGTTTCCCTATGTGTCTTTCCAAGAACATTAGACCTAAATGATTCTCATTGATAGATGGTTAACAGATGTGTTCTGTGATCATGTAAATTTGAGAAACTTTGTTAAGTCAGTAGTTAGGATTAGGATTCCAATTAGAATCTTTGAAACACAGGTACATGACTTGGGATATTAGAACTATATCAACTTCTACTTTAAGCTTAGGACATGTTCCTTCTAAACAACTAATTTTGGTCTCTGGTTGTTTCTAAACTTGTTAAAAGTACTTTTTAGGCAGCTTTTAAAATCTCACACTAAAGCTCTTTTATCCTTTAAATTATATTACTATTTAGTGGCCAAGAACAGAAAACACAGATGCCAGCTTGAAACCTTCTGAAGTAGAGGCATTCTAGTTTATGTGTGAAGTTATAATTATTTTTAAAAAAACTTTAGAATTAGGTATATATATTATGCAATAAGGAACAGATCATTTTGAAGCCATATTATCAAAAAAACCTCACCAGGTTGTCTAACACAGTGGCAGTTTTCTTAGGCTAATCTACGAAGAAATTTAAATCTATTAAGTCAAATTTGAGTCAGCAAGTGGAAACACTATGGGCCGTTTGGATTTTCATTTGGAATAATCAAAAACCCTCCTTCTGGTTAATCAAACCAGAAATAAAACAAGCATTTCTCTTCCCTGGTTTACATTAGATCTATTTTTTCCCAATACAGTTAGATCTAGACTCCAGATTGTCTCCCTACCCTTCCTTCAAACACATGCACACACAAACATACATGCACACACATCCTGGCACTGCTCTGGAGCTATGGTGATTTAGTGGATGATGGTTTCATTTCATACAAAAATCTGAAGAAACTAGAGCAGTAGCTCTTAGCCTTAGCTGCTCATTAGAATCACCCAGGCTCTACTTCCAGTTAATTATGATTTATCTGATCAGTCTGTGGTGGAGCCTGAGCAACAGCTTTTCTTTAAAACTTACCAGTTGATTCTAAGATTCAATTAGAGTTATGCATCATGGACCTACAGCAGCATTTCTCAAGCCCTAAAAGACTTGCTAAAACACAGATGGTTAAACCCCTAGATGATTTAACAGGCCTAGGGTGGAGCCCGAGAATGTGCAATTCCCACATTGTGCTCATGCTGCTCTTCCAAGGACCATACATTGAGAAACATTGACCATAGAGCACTCTCCTGGTGATGAAACTTGGAAGTTTCCTCTTAGTTTTGCTTTTGTTTAATTTTCCAGGTAAAAAAAGAGTTCTTTACCAGATATTTTGCCATCTTTGGTTAATCAAACCAGAAGTAAAGCAAGCACTTCTCTTCCCCAGGTTAGGTTAGATCTAGTCTCATATTGAGTCATGGCAAGGACCATCATCAAACAGATTGAGGTTGATAAATGCAGAACTCAGGAAGTGGCCTATTTCTTCCCAAGCACTTGCTTGCTTACCTTTATTCAATGAATACACCCAAATCATAATACTTTAAAACCATGTAATAATGAAAATAGACCACTTAGAGTTGTATAGGGCCACAAGAGCTTATCTAATTCAGCCTTAAAGCAGGTAAGGAATAACTCTCTTTCTTGTAGATATCAGAAATTTGAAAGAAGCAGGAGGTAACAGGGAACAAAGACAGATGTATGCATTCAAGCATGGCCTAAAATGAATATGATGAAGAAATCAGCCTGATTGAAGAGGATGATTTGTGTTGACAGAGAAGGAACTAATGTGAAACAGGAAGAGAGTGCCACAAATACCTGGGAGAATAACTTGGATTTAATGACAGGAGCAATAAGAGGCTATTCAAGGTTCTTGAGCACAACAGTCACATGAGGCAAACTATGTTTCTGCAATATTAGTCTGGTAGATTGGTTTAAGGATGAATAGAAGCATTTTCAATCACTGCAGTGTATAACAGATTGAACTGCTATTTGAAATAACATCACATTGAGGTTTTATTGTTTTGGAAGTCAATGAATTGATTTCAGGAGGAGAAAAAATTTTTTAAACCCCAGAGGGGTTCTAAGCCCCAAAGTAGGTTCACTTTGAGTTATATCTGAAATGACTAATAATAATAGGACAATGATTGACCTACCACAAGGGCCCCAAAATTCTCTCAGTTCATGTGGTTATCTCAAATGGGACACACATACTTTTAGAAGTTAATAGAAGTCTTGAAGTCTAAGTTTCATTTAAGATGGATACAGACAGGTTCTACTGTAAAATAATTTGACAAGGGACCCCTTGATCTTCATTGAACAGCAAGAAAGCACTACATATATTTTTTGCAAGTATGAGACAGTACAGCATAGTTAAATATAATTTTATTTGAGACTTCCATCTCAATCTAATGAGTTAACTATCCAAGGATCTCTAGTTAACTAGATCCTAAAGTCATCTTCTTTATCTGAAATGTAGGAATTTTATAACACAGCAGTTGAATTTTTAAAAAGTTTTCTTTTTGTTTCTTAAAGGAAGCCTACTTTTTCTGATTATCTCCTCAAAGAAAGGCCTTAGTGGAACAAACATCCAAAACCACTCTCTAGGAGGCAGCTGAAGTTTGATCCTGAGTGCTAAGAAATGCCGAGGGAGCAGTCATCATCATAGGAGTCGTGGTTCAACTCCTGAAATGGATAAACACTTGGAGGCAGAGCATTTAGAGCAAAACACACCAGTCCAAGGAGTAGATCTGGGGGATGACCTCTCAGTAATGAACTGGAAAGTCTAAGAATAGGATTACAGAGAAATGTACATACACTGTCTTTTAAGCAAATCTTTTCCTCACCCTGCGGCCCCTTCTACCTACCGACTGGATTGGGCTTGAGGGAAGTCCTGTTGATCTTTGGAAAAATAATTCCATTAAAGTAACAGGAAACAAAACCGTTTTTCTGGAACTCTAAGAAGGAATGGATAAGGTGGATGTGGCCATTGACACACACCATTATAAAGGAAACTTAAAAGAAGAAGAAAAGTGTGGGATTTTAGTTAAGTAGGTGGCAGGGTCAAGAAAAGATTTTCTATGTGCTAAAGGGACATTCTGCACACTTTTAGATGTGGAGGAAAAGAAACCAAAAAACTAGGGAGAGTTAGAGAAAAGTGAGGTGAAACCTCTCCATCTCCATTTGGAGGAAAGCATGAGAGAAACAATCAGGGGGAAAAAACATGGTATGTTGAACTTCAAGTGAAGATGTGAGAGGGAGCTTGCCTTGTCTTCACATTTTTTTTGTTATTTGCTTTGAAATAAAGTTTGGTGGTTCACAAACATTATTGTGTATCGCAATCACCCAGGCATCTCACTATCCTTGAGTCTTGGAATACATAAAGATTCTCATTCTGCGATGGACTCAGAAATCTAGATTCTTAATAAGCACCCCGGATGATTTTGATGCTGATGATCCAACCTTTGAAAGGGCTCTCGTGTGTTCAGTTGTTCAATGAACAGTACAGATGTGTAAAGAAGGAAAAGACTTGGGGGCTTGAGAATGAAGTTCTGCGATAAGAAGAGAAATACAAATAAAAGGAATTCCTAAGTGGCACTGAGCACCAAGTTAGAATTCAACATCATGGACCACAGCTACCATCTTCTAGAAGGGCCATCAGTAGCAGATAGATCACACAGAGCAAGTTTTCCAGACATGCACCAGGGCCGTGGTCAGCAATTTGTTCTTGTTTTTAGGTTGCTTTGATGCCTGATGTTAATGAAACATCTGAAGTTTGTTATAATTTCAGTGGCAAATTGAAGTTTTACATTTTAGAGAGAATCACCCCAAGAATACCCTAATTATATCTTTAGCTATTGACAACGAGAAAAGGAAAGACATGTAAAATGTATTCCATATTCCTCACCAGCCCTGTGCAATACCTGGCATTTTTCCAGACATTTCTGGGGTGAGTTAATTAGAACACAGACAAAAAGTCAGATAGTGGTATCAGGTAAAAGCCGAGCAGGTTGAAGCTTTTCCATGGCAGCCCTGAAGTTGGAGGGACTATTCCTCTCCCACTTCGCACAGCACCATCAGCCCCCCACATCTCCTTGCAGGCTCACATGAACAGCTGTTGGTTTGGGTTTGCTTTCATTCTGGTCCCGTGTGCCATAATTTTAAAAATATTTTTGTTACTCAGTTTTATTAAAATGAAAATAGAAATTAAAAACTAAAAATGATTTATACCAGTGGTTCTTAACTTCTTTTAACAGACCCAAAACATAGAATTTTGTTCCAATGTCTTAAAAACTTATCGTACATATATACATGAATTTTCCATACAACATTTTCAGGGATTTCATGAATAACTTGAAGGCTGTGTTAAAGGGCTGTGGCCCGGACATGGTGGCTCACGCTTTTAATCCCAACACTTTGGGAGTCTGAGGCAGGGAGATCACTTGAGGTTAGCAGTTCGAGACCAGCCTGGTCAACATGGTGAAACCCTATCTCTACTAAAAATAGAAAAATTAGCCGGGCATAGTGGCAGGCGCCTGTAATCCCACTTACTCCAGAGGCTGAGGCAGGAGAATCTCTTGAACCCGGGAGGCGGAGGTTGCAGTGAGCCAAGTTTGCACGGCTGCATTCCATCCTGGGCAACAGAGCGAGACTCCCTCTCAAAGATAATCATAATAATAGTAGTAATAGTAATAATAAATAAAATAAAGGACCATGGACTCCAGGTTCAGAATGTAGAGCCAAGGACTGAAAGCCGTGGAAAATAGCTGATTTTCACTGGAGTGTTCCTAATTTCTGCCTAGTACATGTAAGTTTTGCATAGTTTTAACATAGAAACAATTTAAGGCTTTGTTTTTGCCCTTAACCTTCATCTTGTTTTACTAAGCTCTCCTAACAGAGAGAAACATTTTAGAAAAATGTTATTTTCCTAAATTCCTAAATATATTTCAATAAGGTGCTATATCATATTTCACACTTGTTCTATTACTGAATATTTCTTGCATTCAATATTTCAGCATTATAGCTAAAATTACAGAGAATATCGTTTTGCTGTAGGAAAAATTTTATTTTAAGCAGTTTTAGAGAATCGGCCCTATTTTCATTGCTTCATTTCTTTCTCCTGTCCTTTCTTCTGTTTTTACTCTGTTCTTGCTTCTTTTCTTTACTTGATCAGTTTTCTGTTAATCATACAGTTGAAGAATGTCCATGACAACAGTTGAAAGAGAGATATTATGAACTAAACAATTTATCAATAATAAATATTTTGTTGGTGATAAATTGGGCATATAATATTGGTCTTGATTCTTATCTCACCTAATTAATGTTTCCTTTTATCTTTCTCATAATTCTGTCATTACTTAATAGTGCCAAATTCTTTTATGCTATTAATATTGAATAGTTTCTGAAGAGTTAATAATAGCTCCAGATAGTTTTAATGTAGAACTATTAAATTTTATTAATTTATAGTCAATTCATTTTAATGTAAAAATCATGTAACTGAAATCATCAAGCCAATATTGCCACAGTTGTGAAATCTTTTTAATAAGCACAACTTGTTTAACTCATTTTCTTGAGTAATGTATTTAATGTGAAAGTAGTTGGTTAGAATTTTTTAACTTTAAATAATATTTGCTTTCCAGAAATGTTTTATCTCTGTAGAATAAAAAAGCAATGCAATTGCTTCATTTTGTATTGAATACTTTATTTATTAGTCCCAATTTTTATTTGTTTATAGAGTTGTAAGTTATGAGAACATCAATAAAAATGACTACTATACTATTAGCCAAAGGGCAGTAACACACATTTATAATGAAGACATTGAATTTATCGAAATTGATCGATGGGAACAGGAATATCTGTATCACAGAGAACTCACTAAGATTCCCATATTTTCACTGTTCCGGAAATGGAAGGCTTTTAGTGTATGGAGGAAGAATGTCCGCTCCAAGAAAATCACTGGATGTCAAAAATCTCTACAAAAAAATTTGTTCATTGTTAATCCTGTATGTATTTATCATTTATATTTTAAAATAATTACTTACAAAAAAAGAAAGTGTGAATCTATTAAGCTGTTGGTATAGACTGTTCTTGAAATCAAATATTTTATATTCTTAAGAGAATTCCCAGTTTTCATCCTGTCTTGTCATTTAGGAGTCTAGCAATCTAGGGGTGTTTCTACATTTTAACTAGGGTTGCAAAATGCAAAAGTATAAGAAGAGAGTTGCACAGGTCCCTTTTGATTAGAAGTCACCTCAGAGTTTTTGGATTTGTGATCCCCTTTGTTGTTGATTAGGAAAGTTATATGTCATTTTGAGCAGAGTAGGCTGGTAGCCTCTATTACCTCCCCTCATCTTTGAGACACTCTAGATTTTATAGTCCAAAATAAGTCAGGGCCTTGTTTTCATGGGTCAGTACCTCCTAATATATCATATATTTCCTTTACAATGGATTTATACAGTAGGAAAATTTTTAATATTTACTTTGGACAACAGGGTGATCATGAAAACAAAACTGTGAAAAAGTGTGACCATATTTATAATTTCTATCTATTGAATTTCAACTTGCATTGGAAGTTTCCTACTTGGCCCCTAGGAATAAACTGCAATCATCATTACTGTCACACTCAGAGTTCTGGTCCTCAGCTGTCTTATTTCTATGACACTATCTCAAGTTTGCTTTTTACTAGTCATTTCCTTCACTTTGCATATGATAATATGAAAGACTGTTATCAACATGCCAGTCACACAATAGGGAAACATTCAAGGTCTCTGGCTAACATAAATATTAGTACAAGACAAATATATAAGAGGGACTATCTCAAGTCATCCATTCCATTGTGCATTCTGAGTTGTGAAAAAATATTCCAGTCCTTCTTGACATGAAACTCAAATTTCATTAAGGATACATCAGTCATTTGAAGTTATTTTACCATCTTTCATCTTTTACCATGTCTTGAACACTACATATATCATACATTTGTTGCTAGGTATGTAAAATAGTTCATTCTTGATTTGTCTTTGAAATTACTTCTATCAGTCCTCGAGGCATGTTCTCTTATTTTATGTGCTGACAGTTTTCATTCTGTGTCCATCATTCATACCAGTGGTGTTGCGGCCTTTATAGTATCTTCTCTTAAATTTAGTCCCAGCAGACTAGAAAGCTCTCATCCTTTTAAGCAAGGATTGGCCTAAATAACAGACTCATTGCAGTCGTTTAAATATGTATTAAATGCTATAATCACCCACACACTTACCACTAGTCTTATATTTATAATTAGTTAACTAGGGCTGATTCCCCTAGACAAGGTTGAAGGGAGACATACGAGTTGTCCTCGTTTTCTTTTTATGATTTTTTTTAAAATAACCAATTTTGTTGGCACCCGTGCCTATGTCATTCCCTTATAACAGTTTTGATATATAATTTACATACCATACAATTCACACATCTGAAGTACACAATTCAATTATTTTTAGTATATTCACAGAATTGATCCACCATTACCACAGTCAATTTTAGAATATATGCATCGCTCCAAAGAAAACCTCATTACCCATTAGTGGTCACTCTCTATTTCTTTCTGACCTACCTGTCCCTTCCCCCAACTATAGGCAACCACTAATCTACTTTCTATCTCCATAGAGTGGCCTGTTCTGTACATTTCACACATGGAATCATACAATACACTTGGCTCTCAGTGTCTTGGGGAACTGGTTCCAGGACCACCCCAGCAAATACCAAAATCCACGGATGCTCAAGTCCCTTATATAAAATGGCACAGTATTTGCATATAACCTACAAAAATCCTCCTATATACTTTGTCATCTCTAAATTACTTTTAATACCTAATACAATGTAAATGCTATGTAAATAGTTGTTATACTATATTGTTTAGAAAATAATGACCCAAAAAGTCTATTCATCTTTAATATGGACACAAGCATTGTCGACCCTACTAAATTTTTAATCTACAGTTGGTGGAATCCATGACTCTGGAACCCGAGGATACAGAAGGACTGTATGTGGTCCTTTATGACTGACTTTTGTTTATTTAACTAATGTTTTCAAGGTTCTTCTTCTATGTTGTAGCATAGCATTTTTAAAAGTTGGCAAATTATGTTGGATATGCCTATTTTATTTGTCCATCTATTGATGGATATTTGGATTGCTTCCACTTTTTATCTATTATGAATAATGCTGCTATGAGCATGCATGTACAAGTTTTTGTCTAGACATGTGTTTTCATTTTTCTTTGGCACATACCTAGGAGTGGAATTGCTGGGTCATTAGCAACTTTACGTTTAACCTTTTGAGAAAACATGAAGCAGTTTTCCAAAGCAACTTGTTACCCAATAACAATTTAATGTTAAATTTGGCTTTCTTCTGTGTCCCAGCCTCTTAAATTAATAGATGGGCCTTTCCATTATCATTATGACCGGACATTGTAAAGTACTTAAGGTAACACCCAGTTTTCTATTACTTGCCCTCAGTTCCTTAAATCACTTGCCTTATTCCTTAAATAGCTGGAAGACATGTATGTGTTTTCAAAATCAAAAGAAAGGAATTCAGACAAATTATATCTGATAATTCAAGGAGTACTTTTAGAAAAGAGTTATAAAAGTGATCTTTTAACATATGCATTTTGTAGTTGTAGCAAAAGTTAACACACAGAGGTGTTTATTATCCTTAATAACTATTCTTGCTTTTTGAATGTTCTATACTTTTAAAATACAGAATATTTTTACTAAATAATAAATTCCTATTTTCATTCAGCATTTGCGACCAGCTCTTCTTAAAATAAATGAATTGTGTTATCATTTGAGTTTTATGGGACTTTGTTATATTGAAAAGTGTCACACCTACACCCTGCAGGAATTTAAGGCCGCACAAGTCATACGGCTAGCAGAGGTAACAAATTTTGTCTATAAGAATCAAAGCTTTTTTCCCTATTTTTGATACTTCAGTATCACTAACTGTACATATTCAACAATATCTAGGTGACAGAACGCCTAGGAGAATTTCGAAATGAGGCAAAATATGTAGTCAGGAGGGCTTGTCGATTTGCTTTGCGTGCTGCAGGATTTGTTCCTGATGACTGTGCATTTGGACCTTTTGAGGGTATGAAGGGGAAAGAACCTCAATATATCAGAAGTGGTGGCTTTCTAAAATTTCAGCCCTTTTTTATTTGACTTTTCTTAAGTTTAAATAATGATTCTATGTTTGAATTGTTCCAAACATTTGATGGATATTATAAATTTAATGTATTTTGTGGAAGGGAGGGAAATAGAAAATACTGCATGTTTCTCCCATTACTCCTGTTTGTATATAGTATTTCTAAACTGGATACAGAATCTTGATTAATAAGCACTTTAGAGTGGACTCAGCATCTCTCTGCTTAAAGATATGTCCAGCCTACTAGCACAGACAATAGGTTTGTTAAAATTAAGGAACTGGATTGACCTTAGGATTGACTCAGTTAGCATGTACTATAAAGGTTGACTAAATTGTAGGTAGAAAAGGAGGGTAAAGATGTTCCTAGGAAAGAGGTAGCATAATATACAGATCAAATCCTGTTAATGAGAATGTCAGTAAACTATCTATAATCTTGTTGAATTGAAATCCTTTGATGTAAACTTATTTTGGATAATTGGGCTGTTTTTCAGGTTTGAATTGCTTCGTGTACCAAAATATTTTGTTGTTTTTGAATTTTGTTTATCTTTTCTTTGAATCATATTGAAAGAGATGGAACTTTTACACAAGTACACTTGTTGTTGTTCCTTCTGTTATTCTTAGATTATCATAAAGTGCAGAGCAGTGGAAGTTTCATTAATACACCACATGAGTTGCCCACTTATGGAGACTCTGAGAAAATGACATATACAGAACAGGCCAGCAAAAGGCATTATTGCATGAGGCTGACGTGGTAAGATTATTCTCATTTTCAAGAAAAATTGTAGTACCCATCTTAAGCTGCATTAAAAATTAAACCCCAGAAAGTGATGACTATGTTAATTTGCATAACTGAAGTAATCATATCACTATGTATATCAAAGCATCATGTTGTATACCTTAAGTACACACAATAAAAAATTAAAATGAAAAGTAGAATCTTTTCTAGGACCTAAGTGATGTCTCACTTGAAAAAAAAAATGGAACCCTTCACCACATTGTTCATGAATGGTGATGAGAAATTTGTGGGACATGGTAACCTGAATGCATGGCCCAGAAGACCCCCTTTTCAAACTGCCACCAACCAAAGCAGCTCTGGGACTGTGAGCTGGTAGAGACAGAGCATGAGGCCAAGGCCAAGAGCTCCTCTTTGATCTCTCTGGCTTTGTTTCCTTCTGGCCCAGCCTGGGCATGGAGACTCGCAGTACAGCAGACTGTGGCAGGGAGAAATCAGGCACACAGATTTATGGACCTCCTCAAGTGGGCCTGAAGGACTTGCTCCATCTTTTTGGTCACAGAAGAACTATAGGCAGCTGCATAACATCACAAAGGTGCACCCAATCCCTAAAATGGGATTTGCCACTGGGAGCCAGAGAGAGAAATATCCCTCCTAGGACCTCACCAGGGGACTCTCATTAGCACTAGCTCTGACACCTGCTTACCCAACTGGATCTTGACCTTGACTGTTCCAGAATTTGGATTTCCCATCATTCTAAAACCGCATGTCTTTGGAACTATAAAATACTGATTATTGTTATTCAGTGCTCACTGACTTAATCCAACTTTTGCAATTATGTAATACATCTTAACTATATCTCAGTTTATATATGAAAATGTCTGTGTAGCAACAGAAATCAGTGAAGCGGTCTCTGAGGCTACCATAGTGGACCTAGAAGTATTAGAGGCCTTAGAGCTCCACTTGAGCAGAATAGTACTATTCTAAATGTCTTGCTGACTCAGTCTGCATTCTAAGTAAGCACTCAAGTAAGGAAACGTAAAATTCAAACCTTTGGGTTAGCAATTGCCATCAACATTTATTCAATAGCAAAGATTTTACACTTTTACTATTAGAATGCAAGTTACAGATGTTGTATGCATCGATTTCTCCTTTAAAGCATCTTTTAAAAAATATTATGGCCCTTTTAGCTAGATAAACTAGATGCATTTTCCCTAACAGCTATATCACTCATTAAATATTCTATTGAAAAGTTAGAATATCTAACTGAATTAATGCTACATATTTGAATATATTTGTGTTTTAAAAGGAAGAATATCTAAGGACAACTCTTCTGGACAGTACATTTCTGATATTGTAATATAATTAAATGGAAATTCAAGGAGAAATTATGATATTTTACATTTTAAATATTTGCTTTAGAGACACTGTCAAAAATATGTAGTGAATATAAGAAACCGAAATTGTATTAGTTTTTTTTCTTTTCAAGCTTTATTCGTCTAAACGACTATCTAATTGAGAACACAAT
Organism: Homo sapiens; assembly: GCF_000001405.40. Classification (NCBI taxonomy): domain Eukaryota; kingdom Metazoa; phylum Chordata; class Mammalia; order Primates; family Hominidae; genus Homo; species Homo sapiens. The sequence continues at coordinate 84,549,928 of NC_000002.12, forward strand.
GCACATCTTAACGGTAAATGCTGTTAATTCGCTTTTGAACCATCTCACTGACAAGCTAAAACGAACACCTTCAGCAGATGTCATTCAGAAATGGATTACTGAAGAGAAGCCTGAAGTCCCTGATAAAAAGGTATACTCACACAAAATTAAGAATATTTTATTGGTCAGCATTTATTGAGGAGTGCAAACTACGCTCTATGAATTATGCTATTTTCTGTGCACTAAAAAAAAAAGAGAAATGCATAGAGCAGCGGCCCCCAACATTTTGGACACCAGAGACCAGTTTCATGGAAGATAATTTTTTCTGCAGACTGTGGGGGATGATTTCGGGATGAAACTGTTCCACCTCAGATCATCAGGCATTAGTTAGAGTCTCATAAGGAGCATGCAACCTAGATCCCTCACATGCACAGTTCACAGTACGGTTTGGGCTCCTATGAGAATCTAATGACGCCACTGTTCTGAGGGGAGGCAGAAGTCAGGCAGTAATGCTCACCCTCTGCTCACCTCCTGCTGTGCAGCCTGGATCAGTACCTGGTCCAAGGCCCGGGGACTGGGGACCCCTGGCATAGAGTATTTCATGTTATAATCAAAGCCTACAATACACATGAAATGGCAGACTGAAAATCAGCATATCAACAAGTATCTAATAATAGAGTAAAAATCCACCATACTGAGAGAAAGTTCCTGTCACAGGAACTTGCTAAAGCTTGCTCATGTGTTCATTGACATATTTCTTAAGTATCTACTGTGTGCCAGTTCCTGTGCTGGATGTCGAATATATAGTGATGAAAAGCATAGATAGGATCTTTGTCCCCAAAAGCTTATAGTTCGTGGGGACATAAATGCTCCTTGTGGGCATAAACTGGCAGAGAGAAGCAGGAAAAGTGGTATAAATAAAAGAGATAAACAATAGTTTAGAGGTGAAAAGAAGCAAATTATTGTGCTTTGAGGGGATGGCCTTTTATGAGGATGTTGATCTTAAAGACACAGAGTACTATGAGATGTTTGGATGAAGTAGTACAAATTCGTGCATTCCAGCATAGCTAAAAGAAAGATCATATTATCTCATATTCAAATTTCCCAGTAAGTTTTGCCCTAGCTCCATCCTTAGTACTAATAGCTTCTTTCCAGAATACCTACATGCTCACCTCATTTCATCAAACCTCCCACCCTCACAGCTTAAATCTCCCACTCCACAGAAAGCTAATTATGCAATACACAACCTGATGCTCTCAGCCTGAGTTTCCCTTTCTTCCAAAAGTTAAATCATGTCATGAACTCCTTTTCATAGCTTTCTCTTCTCCCCTATTCTGAATTTCTCCTTTTTATAAATAGTATCAAAATTTTAAAAGTCACATTTATTTTTCTATTCTAAAAGTAATTTATGCTAAGTGTACAAAATTAGGAAAACACAGAAATATACAAAGAAAAGCACCTTTGCTACCCAAAGATAATTACTTCAAAGGGGAAAAAAGATATTATACTTTCCTTACTGCTTTATCCCTTGCTTTTTCCTCTTAGCAATACAGTATTATGAAATATTTCCAATGTCAATGTATATTTTTCCATGTGATATTCTCACAAAGAAATGTATAATTCTTGTAAATAATTTTCTATTATTGATCACATTCCCACTATTTCAAATAATACTGCAAAGGGTATCCTTGTCTATACATTTTTCACACATTTCAGATTTTTCCCCTTAGAAAAAAATTCCTAGATGTGGAATTGAGTCAGAAATATGCACATTTTTAAGGCTTTTGATACGTACACACTGACGTATACTCTCCAGAAAGCTTTGTCAGTTTACAGCAATGTTTAAGAATGAGCATTTAGGCCAGGCGTGGTGACTCATGTTTGTAATCCCAGCACTTTGGGAGGCCAAGGCGGGTGGATCACCTGAGGTGAGGAGTTCGAGACCAGCCTGGCCAACTTGGTGAAACGCCATCTCTACCAAAAATACAAAAATTAGCCAGGCATGGTGGTGGGTGCCTATAATCCCAGCTACTCAGGAAGCTGAGGCAGGGGAATTGCTTCAACCCAGGAGATGGAGGTTGCAGTGAGCTGAGATCGCGCCATTGCACTCCAGCCTAGGCAACAAGAGTGAAACTCCGTCTCAAAAAAAAAAAAAAAAAAAGAATGCTCAAATGATCATTTACCCACATGCATACTAAATATTACCATTCGTTTTAATCTGTGTCGGTAATACACAAGGTGGTATATCACTGCTTTCAAATGTTGTATTCTTCTAATTATGACCCCAGGGCAGGAAGCAGGGCATGGATCTAGGAATCAGAAATATCTGGGTTGAATTCTGGTCTGCCGCCTACTAGCTAGTATGATCTGGATGAAACATTCTACCTTCTGCAAATCCCATTTTCACCCTATGGGAACAATAATGGAACCTATTTAAGAAGGTTGGTGTGGAAATTACACAAATACCCAGCACTATGCCTGGCACACAGTAAACTCTCTGCAAATGTCGTTACTGAATAAACTATTTTAAGGAAGAGAAGAATAAGGAGGTGAATTCATCATTTGTATTTTGCTTTCAAGAATTCTCAGATTATGCCCTTTGCCCATTTTTTTACTTAAGTATATTTGTATTTGAATATATTTCTATGTAAAGATTCATTAATATATTATTGGCATATATTCCTATTAAGTATATCAACTATAGTTCTATTCAAATATTATCAACTTTCTATCTTCTATATACATTATTGATATGTCTTCCCAGTTTGTTTGCCTTTCCATTTTGTTGGTAGTATTTTTACAAGGAGAGAAGGTTTACATTGTTATGTAGTCTTTCAATATTTGCCTTTTTTTCTTTCTGTTCTTTATTATTCTCTGAAACACTTTCCACATGCCAAGATAATGAATTCAGCTAATTATATAAACTTCAGTTTACATGTCCCTTGTTTTTTTATTTTGTTTTAGACCTTGATACTTGTGTCTTTATAACACTGTACATATATTCATTTCAGGGGACCCTTATGGTGGAAAAGCAAGAAGAAGATGAATCTCTCATCCCCATGTTTCTCACAGAACTAATGTTGACAGTCCAGTCACTGCTCTTTGAGCCTTCTCTGGAAGACTTTCTGGTGTGTGTTTTTCATGTATTATCCACATGCAAGCACCTATTTGGAAAATGAAGCAGCTGTTTTGCTGTCAATTGGTTGTCAGAATTGCAGTTGTCACCACTCCAAGATGATCATGAGAAAGAGAGAAAGCATTGTTTTGTCACAGCATTATAGCTATATATAAACTATCTAAAAGTTTAGCACATTATCTTTAACTTGAGTCAGATTAGAGGCTTGGTAAGGTACAGAAAAACATTCTATACAAAATTTAAAAGTGTCTATAGGGATCCCTTTAAGGACAACTGAAGAGATCACTTGTGAATACCTTTTCCTTTCTTTTCTTTTCTTTTCTTTTCTTTCTTTCTTTCTTTCTTTCTTTCTTTCTTTCTTTCTTTCTTTCTTTCTTTCTTTCTTTCTTTCTTTTTCTCTTTCTCTCTCTCTTTCTTTCTTTTCTTTCTTTTTTTTTTGAAACAGGGATTCACTCTGTCACCCGGGCTGGAATGCAATGATGTGATCTTAGCTCACTGCAGCCTCAACCTCCAAGGCTCAAGCAATCCTCTCACCTCAGCCTCCTGAGTAGCTGGGACTACAGGTGTATGCCACCAGGACTGGCTATTTTTTTTTTTTTTTTTTTTTTGTAGAGATGCGGCTTTGCCATGGTGGCCAGGCAGGTCTTGAACTCCTGGGCTCAAGTGATCCACCTGCCTCTGCCTCCCAAAGTGCTGGCATTACAGGTGTGAACCACCATGCCCAGCCTGTAAATACCATTTGTGAAATCTTTTTAAAGGTATGCTGGAACTGAGAGAATTTTGTTGTCTTAGTTATCCATAGCGGTGTAACAAGTTACCACAAAGTTAGCAGTTGGAAACATCCTCCATGAATCATCTCAGTTTCTGTAGGTCAGGAGCTTCACTGGCTACTCAGATTATCGTCTGTTTCAAAGTCTTGGTCTCCCTCAGGCTGCTGGAAGAATTCAGCTCTAAGCAACTGTAGGACTGAGATCCCCATTTCCTTGAGGGGTGTCAGCCAAGGACCACCCTACTTAGGTCCGAGAAACCATCTGTAGTTCCTTGCCATGTGGCCCACTCTCTAGGCAGTTTACAATATGGCCATTCACTTCTTCAAGGGCAGATGGACCACTCTCTTAGGAAGGGCTCAATCCCTCTTTTAAGGGCTTTCACTTGATTCAGTCACATCTATCAAGGATAATCACTTTTGACTAACTCGAAAACAACTGAGTTGGGACCCTGCAATATCCCCCTACCTTTGCTGCATCACGTAACCTAATCATGGGACTGGCATCCCATCATATTCACAATTCCCACCCATACTCAAGAGGAGGGGATTGAACAGCATATGTACACAGGGGCAGGAATTTTGGGGGTCATCTTAGAATTCTGCCTACTACATTTGCATAGGTGCATAGGTTAGTAAACCAGTCAATGTCTGTATCTTCTGTTGTTAGCTGCTGTACTCTGATTCAAAAGCACTAGTAATCAGGATCTCTAGATTTTAGTCCTGCCTTTACAATTAATAAGCTATTTGACTTTAGGAAAACCGCTTCTGGGGTTCAGTTTCTGTGTTTATATGATGAGAAGGCATATGAGTTCTAGCATTGATTCCTCCTCCACAGTGTATGATTCTGTAATTTATGGGATAGGCAATTTGAAGGCATTTACAATGACAAGCAGACTACTGAGGTCCCTGTGATTGGAAGCTCGCTTAGGAGCTCTCATGCCAAGAGGCACTGGGCTCTCATGTCCCCTCCTGGCCACAAGACTCATGTCCTTCACATGGGATGCAGGTGTCCCAGACTGCAGATGACAAAAGGAGGCTCTGTCACAAGCAGCTTGCTGTCCTTTACCCCCAAGGGGTGGGCCTCAAAAAACTGGATACCCTTCTCATTTCCTATTATAGGACCCTGTTCCCCACATGGGTATTTTTAACTTCTACACATGAAACATACATGGTCAAGCTCTGGGAATAATTAGCATGCTTGTCTATTCATACCAAAATAAGATTTTATTTCATATAACCCAAAATCAGCCAATAGAAGTATAAATAGGACTATCATTCATAAATTTTCTATTTTTTCGCTATTATTTTAGTCATTAGCCTTAATCATTCCCAATGATTCCAAGCACACATACACATAGAGATTAATCTAAAGGAAAATTATATACTTAAGTCATGATTTCTTACTTTGCTCTTGCTTAGGTTACCTATCGTTTCCTAATACTTGATTCAATATATACTTTTGAATTCTAATATTTCTTGGTGTGTGAGACAAACCTCCATTGCATTTGAGTCTGTTTACTGCTTCTGCCTCTTGAAATAGACTCCTCCTTTGGTTTAATTGAAATAGACTCCTCCTCTGGTTTCTATTTCTGTAGCAACATTTTTTCCTTCTCAGTCATCTTTCCAAGAGCCTCTTTTTTATCTGATCCTTGATTCTTGCTATCCTTAAGGGCTCTCTCCTCTTCACACCCTACAGTTCTTTCTGGGTGCTTTTTTCTGTGCCAAGGATGCAGACGTAAACATATATTTATATCTATATCTACCTATCTATATCTCTACCTATATCTATATGTCTCTATCTATAGATCCAATACTTTTCTTTTAAGCCCCACTCATGGTCATCTGGAAATCTTCACCTGAACGTCCCACCAATATGAATTGAACTTATCGATTTCTTCGAAAACTTGCTCCTCCCTCCCTGTCTCCATCTCAATGAAAGGTGCCCAAGACAGCAATCTGAGAGTTCTCCTAGATGCCCAGATGCCCAAGCCAGCAATCTGGGAGTTCCCCTAGAGTCTCCCTTACCTCCTTGAGATCAGATCATCAGCTCTTGTGTGCTGAGCCATGGTTGCACCCACTCTGCCACTCCTCTCCATCGGGACCTCATCATCTCTCTTCTGGCCTCCTGAAATAGTCTGCTCTGATCTGCCTGCCTCTCTCCCTTCTAGTCCATTTTCCACATTACTGACAGCAAGATTATTCTCATAAGCAAATCTAATCATGTCCCTTTCCTGCTTAAAATTTCTCCATTGCCTGTAGTAGCATCTTTCACAAGATGTTCTGTGAGTTGTTGATAAGCATTCCAGGAGAAAGGGGGTTGTGATATACATTTGTATATTAACAGATAGAAAAAATCCTGTTTAGCAGGTCCTGAGAAAATTCCTGTTCAACTTCATGTAACTCAAGATTTCTTCTCAAATTTACCTTGGAAGTTGGGACCCTTTATCCTCTGGGTAGTACCCGGTCACAGTTTGGGTATTGCTGGCCTATGGGCTAACACTGGCATCATGCACAAGGCCTTTCATGAAGGGGCTGACTGCATCTGCAGAGTATCCTATTTCTGCACTGTAGCGCTGATGCTCCAGTACCTAAATGACTCACCTGCCTGCCCCCTTGGGCCCCACACACAATGACTTAGCAAGGATTATACTGTTGTCTGATATACTCGACAAGCTCCTCTTCATCTTTTGAGACTCATTTAAAGACTTACCTTTTCTTTATCTCATTTTCTCTAATTAGACTTTATATTTATTATAAATTACAAACTGATTCATGCTGATTGAAGAGACTTTGAAAAACACAGGAAAAGATTATTAAAATAATCCATAATATTATGTACCAAAAATGAAAACCCATTAACATTTTTATATGCTTCTGTCCAGTCTTGTTTTAGTGCATACTGATATGCTGACATACCTAACTTACCATGAGGTTATGTACAGAGATAGATATAGATACATGTTTACATTGAGATATTATATGCCAGTTTTATATCCTGCTCACTCTCTTTTATTCGAACTTAACATTATATCATAAGCTTTTTCTCATGTCATTAAATGATTTTTGGGAGATGCCATTTTGTAAGGATATGTAATTTTCCATTGTTTAAAAGCACCAGAACTTATATAACTGTACTTCTACTTTTGAACCTTAAGGGTTTCTCTAATTAGTTATTAATATGAGAAATACTGCAGTGATTGTCCTTGCACATAAATCTTTGTTTACACGTCTATTTTTCCCATAGATTAGCTTTCTGGAATATAGATTACTACTCAAAGAATATAAACTTTGAACCCTCCCTTTAAATTTTCCCATAGACTTCCTTGGCTTTCCTTCCATTATGACTTGCTAGTGTTTTGTTCACACTTCAAATATAGAACTCATCACCATGTGTTGCAATTTTTTTGTCTCTCTCAATTAGAAAACATATGTCCTGAAGTTAGGGCCATGTCTTTTGATTTGTCATATACTCAGAATCAGCACAATACCTAGCCTGGTTGAATCAGTTATTCTTATTTATTTTAGCATTTCATAAAATTCAAAAATATTTATAGGCCGGGCGCGGTGGCTCACGCCTGTAATCCCAGCACTTTGGGAGGCCGAGGCGGGTGGATCATGAGGTCAGGAGATCGAGACCATCCTGGCTAACAAGGTGAAACCCCGTCTCTACTAAAAATACAAAAAAAAAATTAGCTGGGCGCGGTGGCGGGCGCCTGTAGTCCCAGCTACTCGGGAGGCTGAGGCAGGAGAATGGCGTGAACCCGGGAAGCGGAGCTTGCAGTGAGCCGAGATTGCGCCACTGCAGTCCGCAGTCCGGCCTGGGCGACAGAGCGAGACTCCGTCTCAAAAAAAAAAAAAAAAAAAAAAAAAAAATTTATAAATATATGTGTTCACATTTATGTTTATGCTTTTCTCTTTAACAGGATGGTATTTTGGGTGCAGTTAATCACTGTCAAAACACTGTGTTATCAGTTCCTAATCTCGTGCCTGATTCGTATTTTGATGCTTTCACCAGCCCTTATATTAACAACAAACTTGAAGGAAAAACCTGTGGAACTGGGCCAAGTTTAGCAGCAGTATTTGAGGATGATAAGAATTTTCACACAATTATTTCTCAAATAAAGGTATGTTTACTCTGACTAAAACTATTCTATAATATTCTCAATTTTTATGAAATTAAGTAATATATATTTTTTCTTTCTTATCTTTAAATGTTCTACATGTGAAAATTGGCATATGCCTAAATCTCTAAATGGTAAAATTTGAAAATAATATTTGTTCTCTAGAAATTGTCCTGTTAAGCATGAAATAATTTTTTAAAAGCATTAAAATAGGGCCTGGCACAGTGGCTCACACCTGTAATCCCAGCACTTTGGGAGACCGAGGCGGGCAGATCACGAGGTCAGGAGATCGAGACCATCCTGGCTAACACATTGAAACCCCATCTCTACTAAAAAATACAAAAAATTAGCCAGGCGTGGTGGCGGGTGCCTGTAGTCCCAACTTGGGAGGCTGAGGTAGGAGAATGGTGTGAACCCGGGAGGCAAACTTGCAGTGAGCCGAGATCGCGCCACTGCACTCCAGCCTAGGTGACAGAGCGAGACTCCATCTAAAAAAAAAAAAAAAAAGGCATTAAAATATCTGGAGAAACAGTTACTTATCATTAGCAATCCATCGATCCACATGCATGTGTTTTTGGGGAAGTAATCCTGGCTGTTGAGGATGCTGAGACACAGGCAGAGCCAGGGTGACTCACCAGCCAACACAATTTCTTTTACTAAAGTCATTTTTTCATTACATGTTTAATGTTTTGTTAAAACAAAAACATGGTGTTTCACTATTTTGGGCCATAGCCACTCAAATGCAAGCACTAACTAAAGCATGCTTGAAGACTTTGAAAATAGTATTCTACACATAAAATTTTTATCTTGTCCCAATTTTTAAACTCAAAAGCTCACTTATTGAGGTGATCGATGTGAGAAGGTAAAGAAACAAGCATTATTCCTCGGCTTGCTTCTCTCCTACATTTCTGGGTAACCTAATCTCCTGTATGGAAAAATAGGAATGCAGCCCTCAATATACTGCAAATGCCTTTTCTTCTTGACACCAAAATGATACTGTAATTTTCAAACCTAAAATTTACCCATTTGTCAGTCATAAATATCCATTATATATACATTCCTATGTAACTTAAAATTAGCATAGTGTTTCAATCTCTTTATTTCATATCAACATATGATTGTAACTGTCATGGTATGATTTTAAAAGCAAACAACATTTTCCACCTACTACTGTCTCTGCTTATGGTGGAATTCTTATAAGCTAGCAGTTAATCTAAGGAGCTGAGGTTAATCTAAAGTCACAGCCAGAAAGAAGCCCATCCTACATGCAGAAATGATTTTAAAAAGTCCTGGTGTATCAGAGGACTGTCTACAGGAAGGAGGCCTAAAAGTGCAAGCTACTCAAGATGCCATTAGTTCTGGGGGAGGAAACAAGGTTAAAAATAAAAATTTAAAAATTTAAAAAATTTCTAAAGAAGATGAGGCATTATTTGAACATTGGATGGTGCAGAGAAAATGAAGCAACTACTGAAAATGTAAGTGCTGCAAAACAAAAAAGAACCTACTTGGGAGGCTGAGGTGGGAAGGTCACTTGAGCTCCAGCGGCAAAGGCTGTAGTGAGCCAAGATCATGCCACTGCATTCCAGCCTGGGCAGCAGAGCAAGACTCTGTCTCAAGAAAAAATCAAATAAATGAGAGTATATCCAACTCTTTTCCTGTTACCATAAAATAAAATAAAACATATTTCATTTTGCTCTACTGACAGAACAGAATGCTCTTGAACTAAAAATTTTATAAATCACCCAATCCCTGAGCTAAAGAAATTAAAAAAATTAACTACATGCAAGTCTACTAACAGCCATGAAGCAAAAACAACACTACACACTGAAGTAAATATTCTCAAAGAAGCATTCAAATATACAAAAAGCCACAATGAATTAAAAATTAAAAATACAAATGGAAAAGAAAAAAGACAAAATCATCTCAGAAATGAAGACTAAATTATATAGTGCTCAAAGGAGAATAAGTTCAAAAGTTTAACACTACTATAGAAGAATGATGGGAAAAAGTAATGAGTATAGAAGAAAGATAAGAAAACAACCAAGAGAATGAATGAAAATAAGATAGAGAAATCAGTAAAATGGTTCAGAGACAAAATAATTATAATGGAAGACAGGCAAAGAAGAAATAACATACATATAATTGGTGTGTCTGTAAGAGAAAATCAAAAGAAGAGGATAGAGCAAACATTTATAACTATAGTTCAGGAAAAGAAAATTTGAATCTGTGTATTGAAAGGGCCTACAGAGTTTCTTGGAAAATTACCCACAACAATCAACTCTAAGATATAGCCTTTTAAAATTATTAGATTTTAAGGCTAAAGAATTTTTCTGCAGGTCTTACAGAGACAAGAGAATTAGACTAGCATCAGACTTCTCAAAAACAACATACGAAGTAAGGCAATAATGGAGGAGCATTTAAAAAAAAACTCATGGAAAGAAAATGTGAATCAAGAATTTTATCTAGCCAACCTAGTCTTTTAAGTATCAAGGCTATACAAAAATAGTTTTCTTTTTTTTTTCTTTTTTTTTTTATTATTATTATACTTTAAGTTTTAGGGTACATGTGCACAATGTGCAGGTTAGTTACATATGTATACATGTGCCATGCTGGTGTGCTGCACCCATTAACTCGTCATTTAGCATTAGGTATATCTCCTAATGCTATCCCTCCCCGCTTCCCCCACCCCACAACAGTCCCCAGAGTGTGATGTTCCCCTTCCTGTGTCCATGTGTTCTCATTGTTCAGTTCCCACCTATGAGTGAGAACATGTGGTGTTTGGTTTTTTGTCCTTGTGATAGTTTACTGAGAATGATGATTTCCAATTTCATCCATGTCCCTACAAACGACATCAACTCATCATTTCTTATGGCTGCATAGTATTCCATGGTGTATATGTGCCACATTTTCTTAATCCCGTCTATCATTGTTGGACATTTGGGTTGGTTCCAAGTCTTCGCTATTGTGAATAGTGCCACAATAAACATACGTGTGCATGTGTCTTTATAGCAGCATGATTTATAGTCCTTTGGGTATATACCCAGTAATGGGATGGCTGGGTCAAATGGTATTTCTAGTTCTAGATCCCTGAGGAATCGCCACACTGACTTCCACAATGGTTGAACTAGTTTACAGTCCCACCAACAGTGTAAAAGTGTTCCTATTTCTCCACATCCTCTCCAGCACCTGTTGTTTCCTGACTTTTTTAATGATTGCCATTCTAACCAAAACAGCATGGTACTGGTACCAAAACAGAGATATAGATCAATGGAACAGAACAGAGCCCTCAGAAATAACGCCGCATATCTTCAACTATCTGATCTTTGACAAACCTGAGAAAAACAAGCAATGGGGAAAGGATTCCCTATTTAATAAATGGTGCTGGGAAAACTGGCTAGCCATATGCAGAAAGCTGAAACTGGATCCCTTCCTTACACCTTATACAAAAATTAATTCAAGATGGATTAAAAACTTAAACGTTAGACCTAAAACCATAAAAACCCTAGAAGAAAACCTAGGCATTACCATTCAAGACATAGGCATGGGCAAAGGACTTCATGTCTAAAACACCAAAAGCAATGGCAACAAAAGCCAAAATTGACAAACAGGATCTAATTAAACTAAAGAGCTTCTCTGCACAGCAAAAGAAACTACCATCAGAGTGAACAGGCAACCTACAAAATGGGAGAAAATTTTCACAACCTGCTCATCTGACAAAGGGCTAATATCCAGAATCTACAATGAACTCAAACAAATTTACAAGAAAAAAACAAACAACCCCATCAAAAAGTGGGCAAAGGATATGAACAGACATTTCTCAAAAGAAGACATTTATGCAGCCAAAAGACACATGAAAAAATGCTGATCATCACTGGCCATCAGAGAAATGCAAATCAAAACCACAATGAGATACAAAAATAGTTTTCAACATGCAAGAACCCAGGGAATTTGGTGCTTATTAGGAACCTACTACAGGATGAGTTTCATCTAGCTAAGAAATAACTTTGGGGGAAAAAAGCTGATGCTGATGGGGAATATTTAACATATTTAATTGTAGATCTATATAAGCCTAAAAAAAGATAGATACAAGAATAGGAAACTAGTATATAAATGTATGTTCTAATGAAGTAGAAATAGTGCAACTGTAAAAATAGAGAAGGAGGAGAATAAGAGAAAAGTAGAATAAGGTTATTGATTGAGGTACAGTTAATAGGCTGGAATTAAAGAATATCAGTAAAACCCAACAAATCAAAGTATGAAAGGTTAATAAGGAAACAAGTGACTAATGGTATTTTTAAAAAATATATCGTCACTCAGAGAAAGAAAGAAAGAAGCACACATATAACCATAAGACACATAGAAAATAATATGACCAAGCTGGAACCAAATATATCAGTAATGTGATGAATATAAATGAGCTCAATTCATCTATTAAAAGAAAAAGATTTTCAGTTTGGCTCACAAGACAAGACAAAACAGTATGCTGGATATAAGAGAGAAATCCAAAAGAAAATGATTCAAAAAGGTTAAAAATGAAAAGATGCTCAATGTTGTAGGGGCAAAGGTAAACAATAAGAAAGTGGGGCTTGTGATCCTATGAGTCATGGATCCTTAATGCCAGATGCTATGATTTGCTAAGAGACCTCGCAGGACTCAGTGTATAATTTTACTCATGGCTATGATTATTACAGTGTAAGGATATAAAGCAAAATTAACGAAGGGAAAAGGCACATGGGATAAAGTTCAGAGGAAACCAGGCACAGCTTCCAAGAGTCCTCTCCATTGGAGTCACACGGGAGGCACTTAATTCCTCCAGCAGTGGATTTTGACAACACAAGTGAAATATCACCTAGCAGGGAAGCTCATTAGGGTCTCAATGAGGAAGGTTTTATTTGAGGACTGTCTTCTTTTTGGCAGAATGATGTATTTTCCTTTGGGTATTGATATGGTTTCACCGTGTTCCACCCAAATCTTATCTTGAATTGTAGCTCCCGTATCCCTAAGTGTAGTGTGAGGGACCTGGTAGGAGGTAATTGAATCATGGGGGCGGGTTTTCCCGTGCTGTTCTCGTGATAATGAATAAGTCTCAGGAGATCTGATGGTTTTATAAAGGGCAGTTCCCCCGCACATGATCTCTTGCCTGCTGCCACTTAAGACGCAGCTTTGCTCCTCCTCTGCCTTCTGCCATGATTGTGAGGCCTCCCCAGCCATGTGGAACTGTGAGTCCATTAAACCTCTTTTTGTTTATAAAGTACTCAGTCTTGGGTATGTGTTTATTAGCAGTGTGAGAACAGACTAATACAGGTACATACCCAATAATGGGATTGCTGGGTCAAATGGTAGCTCTGTTTTAAGTTCTTTGAGAAATCTCCAAACTGCTTTCTATAGTGGATGAACTAATTTACATTCCCACTAATTGTGTATAAGCATTCCCTTTTCTCCATAGCCTCCCTAGGTATGGAGAAATAACTGTTATTTATTAGCTTTATAATAGCCATTCTGACTTGTGTGAGATGGCATCTCATCGTGGTTTTGATTTGCATTTCTCTGATGATTAGTTATAATTAGCATTTTTTCATATGTTTGCTGGCTGCTTGTATTTTGCCATTTTTTGATGAGGTTGTTTTTTGCTTGTTGATTTAAGTTTTTAATAGATTCTGGATATTAGACCGTTGTCAAATGCGGTTTGTGAATATTTTCTCCCATTATGTAGGTTGTGTGTTTATTGAAAATTTCTTTTGCTGTGCAGGTGCTCTTTAGTTTAATTTGGTGCCACTTGTCAATTTTTGTTTTTGTTCCAATTGTTTTTGCAAACAACCAACAATTCTTTGCCAAGCCTGTGTCGAAAAGGTTATTTTCTAGGTTTTCTTGTTTTCTAGGAATTTTATAGTTTGAGATTGTACATTTAAATCTTTAATCCATCTTGAGTTAATTTTTGTATATTAGGAAAGGTAGAGGTGCAGTTTCTTTCTTCTGCATATGGCTAGTGAGTTATTCCAGCACCATTTATTGAATAGGGAATCTTTTCCCCATTGCTTGTTTTTGTCAGCTTTGTCAAAGATTAGATGGTTGTGGGTGTGCAGCTTTATTTCTGGGTTTTCTGTTCTGTTCTCTTGGTCTATGTGTCTGTTTTTGTACCAATACCTTGCTGTTTTGGTTACTGTAGCCTTGTAGCATAGTTTGAAGCCCAGGTAATGTGCTGCCTTTACCTTTGTTGTTTTTGGTTAGAATTGCTTTGGCTAGTTGGCTCTTTTTTGGTTCCATATGAATTTTAGAATAGTTTTTTCTAATTCTGTGAAAAAAGATATAAATAGTTTGATAGGAATTGCATTGAATCTGTAAATTGCTTTGGGCATTATGGCCATTTTAACAATAATGATTCTTCCAGTCCACGAGCATGGAATCTTTTTCCATCTCTGATTTATTTCAGCAGTGTTTTGTAGTTCTCCATGTAGAAATCTTTTATCTCCTTGGTTTGGCTGTATTCCTGGGCATTTCATTTTGTGCGTATGTGGCTATCATAAATGGGATTGAGTTATTGATTTGAATCTCAGCTTGACCATTTAAGGTGTATAGAAATGCTACTGATTTTTGTACATTTATTTTGTATTCCAAAACTTTACTCAAGTCATTTATCAGTTCTAGGGGCCTTTTGGCAGAGTCTTTAGGGGTTTTTAGGTATAGAATTATATCATCAGCAAAGAGAGATCATTTGATTTCTTCCCTTCCTATTTGTATGCCTTTTACTTCTTTCTCTTGCATGATTGCTCTGACTAGAACTTCCAGTACTATGTTGAATAAGAGTGGTAAGGGTGAGCATCCTTGTCTCATTCTAGGTCTCAAGGGGAATGGTTTCAACTTTTGCCCATGCAGTATGATGTTGGCTGTGTGTTTGTCATAGATGGCTCTTATTATTTTGAAGTCTATTCCTTTGATCCCTAGTCTGCTTAGGGATTTTATCATGAAGGGATGTTGGATTTTATCAAAAGCTGTTTCTGTGTCTATTGAGATGATCATATGATTTTTGCTTTTAATTCTGTTCATGTGGTGAATCACATTTATTGATTTGCATATGTTAAAACAGCTTTGAATCCCAGGAATAAAGTCTACTTGTTTGTGGTGTATTAACTTTTTGATGTGCTTCTAGATTCTGTTCACTAGGATTTTGTTAAGGATTTTTTGCATCTATGTTCATCAGGGATATTGGCCTGAAGTTTTCTTTTTTCATTGTGTCTCTGCCAGATATTGGTGTCAGGGTGATACTAGCTTAGTATTCAATAGAATGAGTTATGAAGGAAACCTTCCTCTTTGATATTTTGGAATAGTTTTAGTAGAACTGGTACCAGCTCTTTGTATATCTGGTAGAATTTGACTGTGAATCCATCTGGTCCAGGGCTTTTTTTTTTTGTAGTTTTTTTATATTATTTATTCAATTTCAGAACTTGTTACTGGTCTGTTCGGGGTTTCACTGTCATTCTGGTTCAGTCTTGGCAGGTTGTATATTTCCAGGAATTTATCCATTTCCTCTAGATTTTCTAATTCGTGTATATAGAATTGTTCATAATAGTCTCTGAGGATCTTTTTTATTTCTCTAGAATCTGTTGTAATTTCATCTTTGTCAATTCTTGTTGTGTTTATTCTTTTTTCTTTTTATTTGTTAATCTAGAGTCAATTGTTGGAGTGCTGGGTTTAAGTCCTCAATTTCTTTGTTAGTTTTCTGCCTCAATGATCAGTCACTGTTAGTGGGCGTGTTCAAGTATCCCACTATTGTTGTGTGACTGTCTATGTCTTTTCGTAGGTCTAGAAGTATTTTTTTAATAAATCTTTTAATAAATCTGGGTGCTCCAATGTTGGCTGTGTATATATTTAGAATAGCCAAGTCTTGTTGAATTGTACCCTTTATCATTATGTAATGTCCTTCTTTTTCCTTCTTAATTGGTGTTGGTTTATACTCTATTTTATCTGATATTAGAATAGTGACTCCTGCTCTTTTTAGTTTTCCATTTTCATGGTAGGTCCTTTTTCATCTCTTTATTTTGAGCCTATGGGTGTTGTTACATGTGAGATGGTTCTCTTGAAGACAGCAAATGGTTGAGTCTTGTCTTTTTATCCAGCTATCCTCTCTATGTCTTTTACATGGAGCATTTAGACCGCTTAACTAACCCCACATTCAGGGTTAGTTAAAATTGAGAATTTTTTAGGGAAATATTTTTACTGGAATTGTTCACATTAGAAATAGAGCTCCTACCAATATCCACAGAAGATATAGAGAAAGTTACCAAAGAAATACTCCACAAAAAGCACCAGGCCCAAATGGGGGAAATTTATCAAATCTCCAAAGACTAGATATTCACAATGCCACCTCAGTTATTCTAGAATATTGAAAATGCCTGATAGAAAATACTTCTTTCATAATAGCAGCAAAGCAGGTAATATATTTAGGAATAAATTTAATAAGAAATGCTAAAAACCCATATGATGGACACTTTTATGTTTTTAAAAAATCTTCTGGAAGACACAAAAATAGGCTTGGAAAAAATTTCTTAAATGGAATGACTCAACATAATAAAGATGATTTTTCTCTCTAAGTTAATTTATAATTTTAATACATGCCAATAAAAATTTCTTAAATGGGATGACTCAACATGATAAAGATTTTTTTTCTCTCTAGGTTAATTTATAATTTTAACACATGCCTATGAAAATACTGACAAGTTTATAATAAAGCTTATATGCATAAATAGACGTCTAAGAATAACTACCAAAAATGTTGAAAAAAGAATAGCTATGAGGAGTACTATACTGCCCAAATATTTAATGTAAACACTCTATAATTAAAAGAACGTGGTACTGGCACATGAATAGCTGTCAGACCAGTAGAGTAGAATAGACGCCAAAATACATGTAGAAATGTATAAAATATATAGTATCTCAAATCACTGAAACAAATATGAATTTTTCATAAACGTAGCTGGTACAACTGAATAGCTATTTGGATAAAGATAAAATTAGATCTATGGTTCACATTCTACACACCAATATATAAATTAGGGATCTAAAAATAAAATAAAACTGTAAGTAAAGATGGACAAATTATTTTATGATTTGTTCATAAAAAGGGTTATCTAACTATGACTTAAAAATCTGGATGCAAGAATAGAATGAATTGATAAATTTGATTATACAACAAATAAATCTTTTGCAATGAAAAATTGTAAACAAAGTAAAAATACACTTATAAACAGAGAGAATCTATTTGTATTACATATTATAGCTGAGGGCTAATATTTCCAATACTAGAGAGAGGGGAAACCAAAACTAGGTAGAAAAATGGTCAAAACACATTCTTCACAGAAATAGAAAAAAACTGCTTTAAAATTCCTATGGAACCAAAAAAGAGCCTGTATAGCCAAGACAATCCTAAGCAAAAAGAACAAAGCTGGAAGCATCACACTACTCAACTTCAAACTATACTACAAGGCTACCGTAACCAAAACAGCATGGTGCTGGTACAAAAACAGACATGTAGACCAATGGCACAAAATAGAGATCTCAGAAATTAAACCTCACAACCATCTGATCTTCAACAAACCTAACAAAAACAATCAATGGGGAAAGGATTCCCTATTTAATAAATGGTGCTGGGAGAACTGGCTAGCCATATGCAGAAAATTGAGACTGGACCCCTTCCTTACACCTTATACAAAAATTAACTCAAGATGGATTAAAGATTTAAATGTAAAACCCAAAACTATAAAAACCATAGAAGAAAATCTGGGCAATACCATTCAGGACATAGGCATGGAAAAAGATCTCATGACAAAACATCAAAAGCAATTGCAACAAAAGCAAAAATTGACAAATGGGATTTAATTAAACTAAAGAGCTTCTGCACAACAAAAGAAACTATCATCAGACTGAATAGACAACCTACAGAATAGGAAAAATTTTTGCAATCTGGGCAAAGGACATGAACACACATTTCTCAAAAGAAGACATTTATGTGGCATATGTATATTATATAATACATTATGTGGCATATATATAAACTCAACATCACTGATCATTAGAGAAATGCAAATCAAAACCACAGTGAGATACCATCTCACACAGTCAGAATGGCAATTATTAAAACGTTAAGAAACAACAGATGATGGTGAGGCTGTGGAGGAATAGGAACGCTTTTTACACTGTTGGTGAAATTAGTTCAACCATTGTGGAAGACAGTGTGGTGATTCCTCAAAGACCTAGAACCAGAAATACCATCTGACCCAGAAATCTCATTACCGGGTATATACCCAAAGGAAAATTCATTCTATTATAAAGATATATGCATACACACATTCATTGCAGGACTATTCACAATCACAAAGACATGGAATCAATCCAAATGCCCATAGTGATAGACTGGATAAAGAAAATGTGATATATATATACCGTGGAATACTGTGCAGCCATAAAAAAGAATGAGATCATGTCCTTTGCAGTGACATGATGGAGCTGGAAGCCATTATCCTCAGCAAACTAACACAGAAACAGAAAACACCATGTATTCTCACTTATAAGTAGAAGCTGAACAATGAGAACACATGGACACAGGGAGGGGAACAACACACACTGGGACCCATCAGGGTCTGTGGGGAGGGAGAACAACAGGATAAATAGCAAATACATGTGGGGCTTAATACCTAGGTGATGGGTTGATAGGTGCAGCAAACCACCATGGCATACATTTACCTATGTAACAAACCTGCACATCCTATCCTGCACATGCATCCTGGAACTTAAAATTTAATTTAATTTTAAAAAAAGAAAAATGATCAAAACTTATGATAAAACATTCACCAAACATAGCATCTAAGCATATGAAAAGATAGTCTACTCATAAGATAAATGCGAATTAAAACTGAGATATAATTTCTCAACTATCAGATTAGCAAAATTAAAAAATATACCAACACTTTCTGGTGATTACCCTATGGGTAAACAAACGCTCTCACATTAAGCTTGTGGGAATGCAAAAAATAAAAGAACATTTTGCAAAACAAAACTATACATGCATTTACCTTTTGATCCAACAATACAACCTTTAAAATGTATCCTAAAAATACGTTTTCAACAATACGTAAGTACATATGCACTAGATTACTTACTGCAGCATTGTTTATGACTGCAAAATATTGTAAACTACCAAAATAGCCATGTATAGAAAAATTATTGAATAATCTATGGTATATCTACACAAAGGAATACTATGCAGCTGAATAAATGGATGAAGAAGTTGGTTATTAATTAATATAGAGTGATTTCCAGGATATATTGTTAGATGAAAAAGGCAAAGTACAAAAGAATATCTATAGTATACTATAGATATTCAGAAGTTTATGTCAGAAGTAGGAAGGAAAGGGAGATAAACCAGAAACTAAGGAAATTAGTTACCTAGAGGAGGTAATGTGAATGGTGTAGGAAGGGTGAGGATGGTGGGTAAAAAGTGAAAAAAATGGGGAAGTGACTATTTTCTGAGTATACCTTTTAATATAGTTCTTAAAAAATCAACAAAATGGAGAGCAAAACCCTAAAACAAAATACAAACAAAAAGAAATAAACCCACATGTATTTCAAGTGAAATACATAACCACACTAAATGGATGGGGGAAAATAACTAAACCAAGTAACTTTTGAGCACAGTATTTTGGCCATGTATCCTGTGGATGAAAAACCACCATAACTGCAGCAAATACTGAACTCTAGTTAGTAGGTTTGTTTTTTGCAGTGGTATTAGTGTATTCGCAATGTTGAAACTACTTTCTGTGTATTTTATTTAGAGTTGAGCAAAATAAATAAATATATTGTGAATGATGAGATGAGGTTACTCATCCTCAGAAAGGGAGTTACAAATATGGAAGAGGGAAGGCTGGAATGAACCCTATGTTGTTGCATTGGAATAGAGTTGTGAACTCATGGATTTTAATTGATCTGTGGAAAGATAAAGAAATGTGTAGGGTTTTGTGATTGTATGTGGGGTGTATGTGCGTTTCCTAGACCTGTCTGTTGAAATAGGCTACAAGCAATGACATCCCAATACCAATGAGCACATCTAGTATCCACATGTTAGTTTCTATGTATCATTCCCAATTGAAAGGAACTCTCTTTGTTCTCTTTGCAGTACTCTCTTCTTCAAGGGGTGGGGTAGGATAGTACAATATGAGCCTAGAGAATATTATTCACCTAAAAAAATAAGAACATGCCCAAATAACAATGGAGACATGTAAAAAAGACAAAAAGCCACCTCGAAGGGTCTCCCTGGTGAGAGGTGAAGCCAGCTGGACTTCCTGGGTTGAGTGGGGACTTGGGGAACTTTTTTGTCTAGCTAGAGGATTGTAAATGCCCCAATCAGCACTCTGTAAAAATGCACCAATCATTGCTCTGTGTCTAGCTAGAGGATTGTAAATGCCCCAATCAGCACTCTGTAAAAACACACCAATCAGCACTCTGTGTCTAGCTAAAGGAATGTAAATGCACCAATCAGCACTCTGTAAAAACGCACCAATCAGCACTCTGTGTCTAGCTAACGGATTATAAAGGCACCAGTCAGCACTCTGTGAAAATGCACCAATCAGTGCTCTGTGTCTAGCTAAAGGATTATAAATGCACCAATCAGTACTCTGTGAAAACACACCAATCAGCGCTCTGTCTCTAGCTAAAGGATTGTAAATGCACCAATCAGCACTCTGTAAAATGGGCCCATTAGCACTCTGTAAGATGGACCAATCAGCAGGATATGGGCAGGGCCAAATAAGGGAATAAAAGCTGGCCACCCGAGCCAGTAGCTGCAACCCACTCGGGTCCCCTTCCACGCTGTGGAAGGTTTGTTCTTTCGCTCTTCTCAATAAATGTTGCTGCTGCTCACTCTTGGGTCCGCACTACCTTTAAGAGCTGTAACACTTACTGGGAAGGTCTGCGGCTTCACTAATGAAGTCAGCAAGACCACGAACCCGCTGGGAGGAACAAACAACTCCGGACACACCATCTTTAAGAGCTGTAACACTCACCGTGAGAGTCCGGGGCTTCATTCTTGAAGTCAGCAAGACCGAGAATCCACCGGAAGGAACCAATTCTGGACACGCTGGGACAATTTGATCACTACCAAATCCTTTGAATAAAATGAGAATATATGAGTCCATGTTGTGAAATAATGAATTAACAAACTAATTGAATGAGTGAGAAGAGAAAGTTTTTCTTTGGTAGAATGCAAGCAAATAAATGTAGAAAGAAAACACAATTAGAAAATTCACTACAGAAGCCATCAGCAATCACCAAGAATCTCTGATGTGTACTAAAATGCGTATGCAAAAGTATAATAAGAAATGGGTTATTTACATAGCCTCAAATTCTCTGTCCATAAGCTACTTATTGATTTCAAAGGGGAAAATAGTTCACAGTGATAAGCCTGCCAAACGCTGCCTTAGCCAATGTGTTAGTATTACCAGTAATGAGACAACAAATGCCTTGTGAGATGCTGCAAATAACATACATCACTTATGTAGCATTACTGCCAAAAATTTAAATCTGAGTCTAATCATGAGGAAATATAAAACACACACATGCACATATACACACAACTGAGATACCTTTAAAAAATGTGAAGGTCATGCAAGGCAAAGAAAGATTGAGATATTGTCCCACATTAAAGAAAACCATCCAGGCGCAGTGGCTCACGCCTGTAATTCCAACACTTTGGGAGGCCTAGGTGGGCGGATCACAAGGTCAGGAGTTCAAGAGCAGCCTGGCCAAGACTGTGAAACCCCATCTCTACTAAAATTACAAAAAAAAAAAAAAAAATTAGCGTGGTGGCGGGCGCCTGTAATCCCAGCTACCCAGGAGACTGAGACGGAGAATTGCTTGAGCCCGAGAGGTGGAGGTTGCAGCAAGCCGAGATGGCACCACTGCACTCCAGCCTGGGTGACAGAGAGAGACTCTGTCTCAAAAAGAAAAAAAAGAAAAAAGAAAACCAAAAAGATGAAAAGATGCAATACATGATCCTAGGTAGAAAAGTAGACCAGAACAAAAAATGTTTTTTCCTTTTACTATGAAATTCATTACTGGAACAAATGGTAGAATTTGTATGAGGTCGGTAATTAGATAGCAGTATTAATATCCATGTTAATTTCCTGATTTGGACCATTATACTGTGGTTATGTAAGAAAATGTCCTTGTGTTTAGTAAGTAACCCCTGAAATATTTAGGGGTCAATGTGCCACATGTCTGTAACTTTCTCCCAAATGGTTCAGAGTATAATAATATGTGTATATAGACAGACTTATAAAGTAAATATGATAAATTGTTGAAGTTTAGGGAATTTTGGTGACAGAGATATGCAGTTCTTTGTACTATTCCAGTAACACTCTTGTGAATCATACATTGTTTCAAAATAAAAATGTTTTGAAATCATATTTTGAACATCGGTGGGGCTTTCCATTTACAAGCCTTATATTGTTTCTAGCACCTGCATGATGACATATGAGAGATACTATTTAGTCCGTTCAAAGGAAACATAGTTTGATAAAGTTTTTTTTCAATGTTTATTATAAAGAAGAAACAGCAGAAACATTCTGGAAT
This sequence comes from Homo sapiens, assembly GCF_000001405.40. Classification (NCBI taxonomy): domain Eukaryota; kingdom Metazoa; phylum Chordata; class Mammalia; order Primates; family Hominidae; genus Homo; species Homo sapiens. The sequence goes on from NC_000002.12 coordinate 84,572,552, forward strand.
ATTCATAAAAGCCTATTAAAATAAATGAACAAATAACTAAATGTAAACATACAGGGTGTGTGCTATTCTTTGTAATTAAATTTTCTACTACCACAAGGCATAACTGAGTCACTTTCCCTAGCATTGGTGTGTTGGATTTGTGCAATTCCATTGGTCACCTCTAGTTTTCCTGGGACAAATTGCAGACTTTTACAAGTCTTAGTAGAAAACACAAGGAAAAGGTGTGGAGCACAGCCAAGTAGACATGGACCAAGACCAACAGCAAGTGAATCCTAACTGCCTTTCATAGACTTTGAACATATAATAATATATCTTGACACAGTTATTAAAGGGACTGAAGTGATTGGAAATCGTTGTCTTGGTTTAAAAAAACTTTGTGGGGAAATATGGGTTAGAACCAAGTTTAAGAGGGGTGAAGAAAAAGTTTTTATTATGGCAAAGTATGAAGGATATTTTGGAGTAAGAGACTGGCCAATGCCAAAGATTTGATAGTAAGATTAAGCAAGTGATTTTCTGGGCATGCTAAACAGGTTTGCCTTTGCTTAAAAACACAGTGACATAAAATATGCAGTTGGGAAAATAAACAAGTATTGCCTCTTTGCCATATGTTTACTAGCAATATATAAGTTCACCATGAAGCAGAAACAAATTGTGTTTCCTTTCAGTCACAGGAATAATTCTTCAAAAGTCAGGTTTAAAGATGAATTTTTTTTATTTCATAACAATTTCTTCTTGAATCCATCAATTACTCCTCGACATCAAGAATATATCTTTCTTCATTCATGTTTCCCAAATCAAAACATACTATTGGGCATAGAGTTTGTGTGCTTGCTTGTTTCTTTGTTTAGTTGTATTGAATTAAATTCTGCTTAACAAAAATATGGTCATATTTGTCTGCTTATTTATAACATTTAGGAAACCATTCAGGCCGCATTTGAATCAGCCCGCATCTATGCAGCTACCTTTGAAAAGTTCCAGATATTCTTCAAGGAAAATGAAAGTCTTGATTTACAAGCTCTTAAACTTCAGGAACCTGGTAACTTGTCCATTTGTACTTACTAATTATTTTTATAGGGATACTGAGATTTGTTGTTTTTTAGGATTCTGTTTGGTGGTGTCTGGGGACACAAATGGTAGCCCAAAAGAGTTGGCCTGACATAAGGCAAGAGTTAATTCATTTCTAGGTTATTTTCTATAGAATCACTTTTTTCCTTTCTCCTTATTCAGTATTACTTTTATTTCAGGATATTATGGAAAGCAATTCCTTCCTAATCGCTTATCATTTAGTTTAAAGTTGTATCAGTGCTAAGAGTATATAGCCTGCATATGAGAAGTTGTTGAAAGGAATGGATACCTCTACCAATTCCATTAAATAAAGTTTACATAAGCTTTTCTATCTCAGGAACTTATTCTTTTTTCTTCTGGGACTACATTAAGATCTGGTGGGTGTGAATCAACAACTCTTAGTCATGAAATAAGACCTAGGAGAAAACTGTTTTATTTCACTGTCTTTAACAATAGAAGATAATCTACAATATCCAAGTGCAATTTCAGGCAAGCAAGTTCTCAGAAAATTATAAAAAATAAGTATATTTGTTTGCTATTTTAAATCATGATGCATGTCTTTCATATTCTTTTTTATTTCATGAGCTTCCTTTATTTTCTTATATATAAATATAATTACAATTACATTGATACTTTGCTCTATGAACCAGCACTAATTTTTTCTTTATGTTTTTATGTTTTTCTTTCAATTCCTTATTGTTTACTATGCTGAAGTATTCTTAAGTTAAATAATTCAATATGCATCTCTAAAACATGTTTCTACAGAATGAAAATAGTATCATCCTCCACCGAAATAGCAATTCCTTAATATCTTAACTTATTCCATTTTCAAAATTCCTCAAGTAAAGCAGCTTCCAGATGATTTGGCCAGGGATCAAGTCCAAGATCAGTCATTGTATCTGATTGTTATGTCCCTTAAATTTTAAAAATCTGAAACTGACTCCTTTTTTTCAAGATACTAAGTCGTTAGACCAAAATGTGGCCCCAATTTAGAAAACAAAATTTAGACAAGCCTACTTCCACTGTTCTTTGACAACACTATCACATGGAGACTTAGTGTGTGCTGAACAGAAGCATACCGACAGGGACGTGAGGACATGATGCCTCCTGTGCTATGTCATGGCATCACAGTGGCAGCAGGGTATGGAGCCTGGAATTTTGGCACAAGAAGGAGGCCTGATCAAAATAGCCAGTTCTAATCCCTGAGCTCTTCTACTCATATCCTGAGCCCAAGGCTTCCTAGCCTCCTGCTACCACAGTCCTCACGTTGGATAACTGTGATCCCTCAGCAAGTTCCCATCAGCATGCAGTCCCCTGACTCCCAGGTTGCTCTTCAGCTAGTCCTATCTTGTCTTGCCAGTCCTGCCTTTGAAACCCAATCCTGGAACCAGGTCTCCCAGTCCCAACACTCTGATGGCTGCGACTTTGGAGTACCTTGGCCTGGACTCCTAACCTCTGTGCTCCTCCTCTGTTTGGAACCCCCAGTACGTCCTAAACCACTAAATCCAGTTGTTTGCCAGAGGGTTATAGAGGTGGGCTTTGCCCTTGGATATCAACCTTACCTGTTATTTGATATCCTCAAACGACTACAACATTGCTTAGCACATATTGTAGATCCTTAATAAATGTCTAACTGAACTTTTAGCCAGACTGCTCCCTGTCCTGCCTCAGAGAACGACCAGCAGATAGGTTCTGGCTTCCTGACAAGCAGCCACATCTCACCACCAAGTTCCTATAAATGTCAGCATTTACTAATAATTTCTACACTTTACTGAGCACTTACAGCATGATAGATACTGTTCTAAGTAATATTTAGACATTTCATCCAATCCTCACAATTCTGAGGAGAGTATTAGTATTACCATTTTATAAAAGGAAAACAGAGATCTATAGAGATAAGGCAACCTCAGGATTAAACAGCTAGTGAGCAGTTTAGATCTAATTTCTCTGACTTGAAAGCTTGTCTGCTTAACCGTTTTACGTACTGCCTCTCCGCGGTGGCTCACGCCTGTAATCCCAGAACTTTGGGAGGCCGAGGCGGGGGGATCACGAGGTCAGGAGATTGAGACCATCCTGGCTAACATGGTGAAACCCCGTCTCTACTAAAAGTACAAAAAATTAGCCGGGTGTGGTGGCGGGGGCCTGTGGTCCCAGCTACTCCAGGGGCTGAGGCAGGAGAATGGTGTGAACCCAGGAGGCGGAGCTTGCAGTGAGCCGAGATCGCGCCGCTGCACTCCAGCCTGGGCGACAGTGCAAGACTCCGTCTCAAAAAAAAAGGAGAAAGAAATCGTATTTCTCAACTATCGGCTTTAATCTTTTATTCCTTTTTGGCTATGTGGCCATAGCCAAGTCATATGACCTCAATTTCTCTATCTATGAAATAAGAGTTTTGGACCAAATAAATGGTTCCCAAAGTTGTGTTCATTGGCACTGTTCTGAGGGATAATTACATGATACCATGAAAAAAGATGGTGCTCAAATAAATTTGGAAAATACTAAACAGCGCAGCATTATACGGGTATCCTTACCATACGACTTATCAGATCATTTAACATCTTAATTTAGTCGGCTTTCAAAAATACACAAATCAAAACCTTCTGAAGTGAGTAAGGGAGGTAATTGCTGTTTCTGTCTTATATTATGAGGAAGCTGAAGCTCGGAAAGACTAAGTAACTTTCCCAAGGCCACACATGGGTTAAAGACCTGAGCTCAGGTCTTCCAATACTTTCTCTGGTGTGTTCTTTATACTATATCAAACTACCCCTTATAATTAGGAGAGGAGATGGCATGAATAAAGGCAGGAAACAGCACCCCTTTCTCTTTGGGGTGGTGGAGGAAGATTATGGAAGGAGGAAAAAGGGCAGACAGTAAGGAAATCAATTTGACCCAAATGTAGGAGGTAATTAGAAATAAAATTAGCTAAATTTTTAGAGGCCCAGAGGGTACAGAATTTTGAAAGACAAGCAGAGAAGTTTAGAACTGTATATGCATTAGAGAGAGAGCTATTTTTGACTGATAGTATGATGAGAGTATATTCAAGGATAATGAGGTTTCCATTGGTTCCAGATGGATTGGATGAGGGAGGAAATGGAGGCAAGAAGATTATCAAAATGCAACTGCAGCATATGCAAATTGACAAAGGCCTTGACCATGATGTAGGGTGCAGGAATGGCAGAGAGATGTGTTGGGAAGAGAAACAGAGATAATTTTAGCTATGTGTGATCTCTTATATTTCAAATTTTGTTGTTGTTTATATTCTCAAAATGCTTTACTTTGAGACACCATGTGGGAGAGAACATTTAGATTAATCCCAACTTGAAACCAACCTAACTCTGAAATCTAGTCAATTCCAGACTAGATTCTCTAATGCACTTACAAGTTATTTTCATCTGTCATCTCTTCATAGGAGCCAGAAGACATATTTACATTATAAAATATTAGTTTCTTTATCACAAGAATAAAATCCTATAAAGCAATCCAATTAGCATTTTAAAGTTACATGAGATACTCTAAGTACAGATAATAACATTATACATATATGTGTAAATTTATCAATGCAATGATTTTTAATATATTTTGTAATGATCTTTTAAAATCCAATATGGTATATTTTATGCTTTATGTGAATTTTTTTATGTAGATATTAACTTTTTTAGTGAACAACTGGAAAAATATCACAAACAGCACAAGGACGCAGTAGCGCTCAGACCCACCAGAAATGTAGGATTGCTGCTCATTGATACTAGGCTTCTAAGAGAAAAATTAATTCCATCACCTTTGCGATGCTTAGAGGTAACTATAAACTAGAAAAAAAAATAATTATTCCTCTACAATTATTTTATGATTTTTCTACTGCACAAAAACCTAGTATTTATTTTATAGTATTGCAAATATAAAAATTAACATAAGACTATTGGACATCCTTAATTTCTAAGAAAAGCTCTATAGTCTTTTTGTCACAAGCATAATCAGCTTTTTAGATGAGATAATGGAGGGGACTGCAGGCCTCACACTGGCCTCTTGCTCCTACTCCTTTTTCCATTGTCGGAGCATTTCAAGACCTGCAGAGAGGATACTACCATAACAGCTCAATATCCTAGAGGGAGTGATGGTTGATTCTAGACCACCGAGATCAAGTTTAGGAAATCATTTTCTGATCTGGAATTGTCCCTACAGGTCTGATTATGTTTTGGTAAGTTATAGAACTAGGGAAATTTCTGTAATAAGTTTCAGAACCAATACAATAATTTCCTTTGGAGCCAGAGTATACTTGTGTCTTCCCAATGCCCACAGAAAGACAATGATATAAAACAGGAATTGGAAAACTATAGCCCACAGAGCCAACCCAGCCTGCCTCTTGTTTTGTATACAGTTTTATCAGAACACAGCCATGACAATGGTTTACATATCATCTATGGCTGCTTTCTTCCTACAAGGACAAAGTTTAGTAGTTGTGACAGAGACTGTATTGACTGCAAATCTAAAATATTTACTATCTGGCCCTTATAGAAAACATTTTCTGGCCCCTGGTAGATGATAGAAGATAGAGCACTGTATAAAAAAGAGTGCAGACCTGAGTGCTAGTATTTTCTGTTATTAATTAATTGTATGGCATTGGGCTTCCTTCTAGAGTTTTGCTTCTTCATCTGGTAAAAAAAAGAAATATATATATAATTATGTATATAATTGGAGCAAATTTAATTCAATTTCAACAAGCACTTTTTAGCTACTGTATGCTCAAGAAATACTTGGATATGTATTTACTGTAAGCCCAAGAAAACTGAACTCAAGCTGGCTTAAGCAATCAGGAGAGTTATTGGCATATGTATCTAAAAAGTCCAGAGATTGGGTCGATATCAAGGAGGTATGATCTAGTGGCTCAGTGGTGTTACCAAGGAACCAATTATTTCTTTCTCTTTCCTGAGCCTCCTTATGTGCAGGCTTCATCCTAAGGCATTTGTAAAGTGATTGTCAAAAGCTCCACAAGCCAATTATTTGTTTGTATGGAGAGAGACAGAGAAAGCCTGGGGTTCTGAGTACACGTCTCTCTCAGCCATAAATAAAAGTGTGGGCCTTTATCTGATTGAATCAACTAAAGTCAGAGGTTCACACTTGATATGGTTTAGATTTGTGTGCCCACCCAAATCCCACCTTGAATTGTAATCCCCAGGTGTAAAGGGAGGAACCTGATAGAAAGTGATTGGATTATGGGGGTGGTTTCCCCTATGCTGTTCTCCTGACAGTAAGTGAATTCTCACAAGATCTGATGGTTTTATAAATCGTGGTTTTTCCTGCACTCTCACATACTTCTTCCTGCTGCCTTGTGAAGAAGGTGCCTTGCTTCCCCCTTCACCTTCTGCCATGATTGTAAGTTTCCTGAAGCCTCCCCAGCCATGCTGAACTGTGAGTCAATTAAACTTGTTTCCTTTATAAATTACCCAGTCTCGGGCAGTTCTTTATAGTAGCGTGAAAATCTTAATCTGATCAGTTTGGCCAAAAAAGCCATGTTCCTATTTGCCAAGTCATCAGTCAGACTGCATATTTGTTTCTGAAGGAGAGATCAAATTCCCCCAAACTGCATGGCTAGCGCCCAACATGAAAGGAGTGGGACTGATGCTGGACAGGGCAGCACAATGTCCACTACATAGGACAAAGAAGCAGAAAGCATACTTGCAAAATATTAGAGCATTTAGGGAAAATTTTTGGTAAGCTGTGGAAATGATCTTCAAAACCTGGCCTTCCTGTTGGCTCATTTAACTAGCAGTGATTTAAAGAGAAAAAAAGTCTCTTCGTATTCACTGCTGCTTCCAATGCCTGCTGATTTAACAAATCCAATTAGGATTTGTCTGAAATACATAATAAAATGAAAATATTCGACTATTTACAATTCACACGGTGTTTCTTTCTTAGGTGCTAAATTTTATGCTTCCTCGTCAAAGCAAGAAAAAAGTGGATGCCATTATCTTTGAGGCACAAGATGCAGAGTATAAACTTGAGTTTGTTCCAACTACTACCACAGAATATGTTCATAGCTTATTATTTCTTGATGAAATTCAGGAACGGGTGAGTTGATTATCTCATATAACTCAATATTCCAGATCTTATAGTAGGAAGGAAGACATAGGACAAGAAAAAGTGAAGGACTAAGGGGCAAAAGACAGCTGTCAAATATCAGAAACACTTTCAAAGTAAGTGGATGTTCTACATCACAGGAATAAAGCCAGCTGACAGTTATCAGACTCTTAGTACTAGTCAGGCATCGTATTACACTTTCTACATGCATTACATTTTTAATTCTCACAAAAGCTTGAAAAGTGTTGATATTTATCCTCATTCTGCAGATAAGGAAACAGAAACCAAAACAGGATGTGTGATCCGAGATCACAAACATGTATGGATGTGATAGAGTTAGAATTTAGATTTGAGTCTCTTTGACTGCAAAACCAATGTTCTCAGCCATAGGTTATTGGAATTCTAATTTTTAGTAAATGGTAATACCATTGTAATCTAGATGTTAATCATAATGGAAGTCTGGCTGCATAATAGTCAGGAAACTTACTGTTAAGAATGAAAGAAACCCAACACAAACCCGCTTAAGTGGGGAGGTGGAGGTGGGGAGAAAAAAGTGGATATGGGGACTCAAATGATGCAGATGGAATCAGGTCTCTGTTTCTCTCTCTTATACACACACATACACACGCACACACACACACACACACACACACACACACACACTCCTTTGTCTCTTTTGCTTCTTTTTCTCCGGAAACTTGGTTTCCTCCTCTCAGCCTCTTCCCTGTAGGAAGCAATCTAGCATTTGGCTCCAATAGTTTTTTCATAAACTTCCATTCATATTATGTTGGCATTTAAAATATAGATAAATTATTTTCTTAAATATCTGAAAATTGAAGAAATGCTTCAATTAAAAAAGTAAACTGAATGTTATATATTATTAACCAAATTAATAATAAATGCTATTTCACATGACTACAAAGGTAACAGTGTTTCTCATTTCAAGAAATCGTGCCTTCTCAAAAAGGCAGATGATCATGGTTCTCTTCAGATTTGCTTATAAATTGTCCTAGGAGTCTAAAGATGCGAATTGCTTATTATTGTTTGTATTCATTAAGCCACTTCAAACAAATAACCCAAACCCACTTGAGAAAGCTTAGGCCAAAATAGGGATCCTACTTAAGGATTCAGGGGTGCTTCATGGAACTTCCTATCAAGAATGTAAGTAGGCTCAGGAACTGACCAGAACCCAGAATGGGACAGCTGTAGGACGCCCCAGTAGTCCTTCCTTCCATCTCTCCTCTCTGCATCTCTCTGAGGGTCTGCTTCACTTCTCTCCCTCTGCAGACAGCTACTTCTGCTTCTTCTTACCACAGCAGCAAACATGGCCACCAGCAGCTCCCAAGCTATAGCTTGCAAGTCTAGCCAGTCAGCAAGAAAGAGATAATCTCTCTTTTTCAGTATTGATTCTAAAGGCCTAGTAAATTGATTCAGAGCTCCTATTCTGTTCTATAAACTATGTCAGGAAGGTAGGGTCACATCATAATCAATGGCTGCAGAGGGTCAGCTGCTATCACCTTGTGGTTCCAGAACAGCTAGTTGATGCAGTATGCAGAAAACATAGACTGTGTCCCATCTCCAGGAGGTTGTCTGTGTTTGCTGGGTGGTGTGTTTGGAAAGCAGCTTCCTTTAGGGAGATTCTCTGCACACACAAAAACTTTTTTTTGGAATGTCATTCATTCAGTCAGCAAGTTTAGTGAGCATCACTTAGCGTGGTGCAAAAATTACAATGAATAAACCTGCTTTAAAGAAGTTGAGTCTTGAATGCAAGCAGATAATTTTCATACAAAGAGCATAGGAATAAGATACTGTTGTAACACTGGGAAGTTTGTAGTAATTCCTGCCTATGGGTTACAGAAGACTGTGTGGAGGATGGAATATTTAAGCTGTCATAAAATACATGAAACATTCAGGTGGGCATTCCAGGGAGAGGGAAAGCCATGTGCAAAAACAGGAGGCAACGTGACAAAAACAGGATTTAGCAATTTAAAAAACAGATTTAGCTATGGAGAAAGAATGTTTAGTTGAAAGTTGATGAACTCTATGTAGCTAAAGCAGTATTTTCAAAGATAGGAGAGAATAAATTAATTATAAAGATGTTAAGTAGAATTGAAAGGACTTAATGGGCAACTGAATGAGGGGACAGTGAGAGGAGAATGAGGTGACCTATAGGTATCATTCTGCAGGGAATGGGTATTTAGCAGTTTCATACCGGTATAGGGAGGGTAGGCTACATAATTCATTGTCCGATCAGGACATTTTTCTGAGAGTGAAAGAGACACTATTAATCATTGTACTAGGACAATAAGTGTAAACCCAGGACATTCCCAGAGAAACCTGGATATATACTCGCCCAAAATAGAGGAAATAGAGGAAGATGAACAGATCTTGATGTAGAGAGACTTAATTCTATACATAACTTGTTCGAGGTGTTAGAAACTTTGGTTGAAAGTCACAAAAACTCACATAAATAGCTTAGAAAAATGGGAAGATTTATTCTAAGTTTGCAGGAATATCTTTCAGAATCCTAAAGTATGGATAGAGCCAGGTCTTTACAAAAAGGCCTCTCTCCTTCTCTCATCTCTGCTATTCTAGAACCGTGGTTCTCAAAGGGGGACTCCAGATCAGCAGCAGCAGCAGCATCTGAAAATGGGTTAAAAATGTATATTCTTCGGACCCACCCTACATGACTACAGTGTTTTTATGACTTGCTAGACCTTCTGAATCAGACACTCTCGGGAGGGGCTCAGCAATCTGTTTTTGTTTTTGTTTTTTTCCTTTGAGACGGAGTCTCGCTCTGTCGCCCGGCCTGGAGTGCAGTGGCGCCATCTCAGCTCACTGCAAGCTCCGCCTCCCGGGTTCACGCCATTCTCCTGCCTCAGCCTCCTGAGTAGCTGGGACTACAGGCATCCGCCACTGCGCCCAGCTAATTTTTTTCTATTTTTAGTAGAGACGGGGTTTCACCGTGTTAGCCAGGATGGTCTTGATCTCCTGACCTCATGATCCGCCTGCCTCAGCCTCCCAAAGTGCTGGGATTACAGGTGCAGTAAGCCACTGCACCCGGCCAGCAATCTGTTTTAACAAGCTTTCCAAGGTCATTGCAATGGAAGCTAAAGATTGAGAACTATTTCTCTAAAAGCCTGTCTGCAGTTATCTTCTCGTGTTAATGACCTGTTATGTTTCCACATAAAAGTAAATGGCCTCAGTCCTAACTCTTCCTGTGTTCAAGAGAAAGGTCAGACTGAGCCAAGTTCTTTAGATCACAGTTTGATGCTCCTTGGTTCAGCCTGTGGCCAGGAAATTGGGCCAAGTAGTACGAACATGGCTGCTCCCTCTATAACCATGTGGCAGAGTTGCGGGTAAGGAGCATTCCCAAAACTGGGGTATCCCTTGCCAGAAAATTAGGAAAGACAAGCAATACTGTCCACTGGAAGTGAGAAACCAAAGTGAAGATGTTTAGTAGTCACTGGGCTGTAGTAAAATAATTTATTAAAGGATAGTGGGAATCTCACCATAGATCTGGGTTCTTAACCTATGCAGCCAAGTCCACAGCCTATCGATCCCTCGGGCTGCTCTGGGATGATCACTGCCCATCACACATGCCTGGAAGCTCAGATACTACAGCTGAACAACCCCACAGCACATGTTTTCTTAGAAAACTTTAAATATTGGCACTGTTTAATACAACAAAAGAACAAAACAGAAAAAAAGAGGAAACATTTATAAGAGCTCAGCTCTGAATAATTTACCTCCTAACCTGATTACCTGTATTATAGCAATGACTATCATCCAGCAGGCTTTAGCCAATTTGACCGTAACATTATAATACACTCCTTCTGTGCTGACTATTCAGTTTGATGTTTGATATGGTTTGGCTGTATCTCCACCCAAATCTCACCTTGAATTGAATTCCTACATGTCAAAGATGGGGCCAGGTGGAGATAATTGAATCATGGGGGTGGTTTCCCCCATACTGTTCTCATGCTAGTGAATAAGTCTCATGATATCTGATGGTCTTATAAATGGGAGTTTCCCTGCACAAGTTCTCTTGCCTGCTGTCACGTAAGACATGCCTTTGCTTCTCCCTTGCCTTTAGCCGTGACTGTGAGTCCTCCCCAGCCATGTGGAACTGTGAGTCCATTAAACCTTTCTTTTATAAATTACCCAGTCTTAGATATGTCTTTATTAGCAGCAGCAGAACAGACTAATACAATGTTCATATTGTACAGTGTCTGTCTCCTGTTAGAACAAACTTCAAGACTAAACTAGGATTCTGCTACATTTAATGAGCAAACTATGTTTCCATTTAGATTGAAAGCCTTGAAGATGAGGGGAATATAGTGACTCAAATGTACAAGCTTATGGAACAATATCAGGTGCCCACACCTCCTGAAGACTTTGCTGTTTTTGCAACTATGAAGCCATCCATTGTTGCTGTTCGGAATGCCATTGATAAATCAGTGGGTGATAGAGAATCAAGCATTAAGCAATTTTGTGTGCATTTGGGTAGTGATCTTGAAGAATTAAACAACGAAGTGAATGAAGTAAAACTGCAAGCACAGGTAAGCTAAATCATTATTTTGTAAAAATAATCTATGCAAAGTTTTACTATTACATTTGTTTATTAAAGTATAATCAACAGATAAAAATTGTATATATTTACAATATATAATGTGATGTTTTGATATACGTATACATTGTGAAATTGTTAATCAAGCTAATTAATGTGTCCATCACGTCACATACATCATTTTTTGTGGTGAGAATAATTAAGACTACTCTTCAAACCATTTAGAGAACACATTTAACTGATGTAGCTTTAGTTTTTTATAGTATCATTCTAACCAATCAACAATGTCTTTGAGCTGCTACTTAAAAATTAATGTTTCAAAATCTCTGTTTAAGTAGTGAATACATTTCAGACTATCACAAAGCATATATGTAATATTAAAATTGAATTTAGCCAATTAAATTCTAGTCCTAACTTGTATTTATTATTTTGAAGAGTGTTTTAATGACTTGCTAGCACATTTTACAGCTATTGTCACAATTTTAAAGTTTGCTTAATACCTGGGTGATGAAATAATTCATACAACAAACCCCCATGACACAAGTTTACCTGTATAACAAACCTGCACATGTATCCCTGAACTTAAAATAAAAGCTAAATAAAAAATAAAAATAAACTTTGCTGGTATATTAGAAAATTCCCATTTAGAAAGAGACAGAGTGTACATTGATAATTGGTAGTGAAGAATATTTGGTTACCTTGTACCACTTTTACAATAGAAAAAATATAGGGTACATTGACTCAAAAGAATATAATACAGACATTAAAGATTACAGTATACCTTTACATGTATTAACGTGGAAATGTAAAAACAGCTCACATTGTGTGCTGCCTATTTCTCAAGCAGTGTTCGAAGGACTTGGCACTGTTGTTACTTTTGTATTGAAGCACTTTTGTATTTTCTTACAGACAAAAGTGTACATAACTAATTACTGTACAACTCAATGAATTATCTGAAAGTAAACACATCTATGTATCCACTACTCATATCAATAAAGCATTATGATACCCTTAGTGTCCCCTCCTAATTACTCATCCTTTTGTTATGGGATATTTGGGGTGTCATTTTTCTGGCTGGAAACCTCTGTGGCCAGTAGTACCTTTGCCTAAGTTCTTGCCCTGCATCTAGGAAGAATGAGGTATGCAGACAAGTGGAGGGTGAGCAAGATGAAGAGGAGCTTTATTCAGTGTTAGAACAGCTCGGAGGAAATCCGCAGTGGGTAGCTGCTCTCTAGGCAGGTCATCCCATTGAGTGTTCAGCTCTCAGCAGAGAGGAGGCCCTGGAATGGGTGACTCCTCTCTGCAGGCAGGTTGTCCCATCATCTCTGCAGCTCTCAGCAGAGAGGAGGCCTGGAGAGGGTAGCTCCCCTCTGCAGCTGGTTTTCCCGATGTATGCCCAGCTCCTAGCAGAGAGGAGACCCTGAAGTGGGTTGCTACTCTCTGCAGCTGGTAGCCCCGACATCTCTGCAGGTCTCTGAACCTCTCAGCAGAGAGGGTAGCTGCCCTCTGCAGCTGGTTGTCCCATTATCTGCTCAGCTCTGGCTGAGCCCAGGGCTTTTATGGACCTCAGAGGGGAGGAAGTGTGTACTGATTGGCCCATGGGGGATAATGGGCAGGCTGGAAAAGGCATCACAAGTTCCTACACTGGTCTGTGGGACTGGCAGCCCAGCCCCCAGCCTTCAGGCCAATGTGGGGCCTCACCGGGGACCCACCCCCTTCCATTCAGGAATCTATCTGCCTCCTGCTGCTGTTCATGGCACCAGGGTTGGGCCTTGACTTTGCTCCAAGATCAGAGAAGATCAAAGAAGTGCCTGCTCCCACTGCCTGGCTTCTCTCCCTTCCAAGATCAGAGCAGGGAGAGACCAGGCTGCAGAAGCAGGCACTTCCAAGCCTGAGAGGGCAAAGGGGTCTTCCCATGCCCCCAAGAGCACAGGACTGCCTGAGTCTGCAGCAACAGTTTGGGTGGCTACAGCTGCGCCCAAGGAACTCCCACCCCAACTTGGAAGGGGCAAAGCTCCCACTTGTCCCTAACTGGCTCCATGGAGTGTGCCACTGGCTCCATGGAGTGTGCAGCCCTGGCCATGCCTCCCTGCTGCAGCAGGCGTGTTGGCAGTGGCAGGCCATCTGGAGCGGGAATGTTATAAATTTCCTATTTTTGAACTTCTATTAATTAGAACCACACAGTGTGCCCTTTATTTTATTTTGGTATGTTCCTAAGATTTATGCATATTGCTATTTGTGGATGTAGTTTATTCATGTTTATTGCTATGTAGTGTTTTATTGTATTTTACAGTGATTCATTTCATGGGTGATGGAAATTGGGATTATCTACCATGTGGGGCAATCATGAGTAATAGTCCTAGAAATATTCTTATGTATGTCTTCATGTTTTAACTCATTTAAATCTCAAAACACTTTAGGGTTTTATTATTCACATTTTACAGAAAAGGAAATTAGGGGACAGGGTTAAGTAACTTGCCAAGGGTCACGCAGTTACTAAATGGAGGAATCTGGATTCAAGCGTAAGCAGTCTACTGTCAATGGTTAATAGTCTGCTATTAATTGCTCTACCATATACTGTATTCTATACACAGCATATGGTTAAAAAGTATGAATATCTATGTATACATAGATCATTAGAGAAAGCAAAAGTGCCAGCACATGCTTGATGTATAATCATGCATTTTTTATTTTTTAAGAAACTTTTATTTTGGGTTCAGGGATACATGTGCAGGTTTGTTATATAGGTAAACTCATGTCTCAGAGGTTTGCTGCATAGGTTATTTTGTCACCCAGATACAAGGCCTAGTACCCAATAGATATTTTTTCTGATCCTCTCCCTCCTCCCATCCTCCACCCTCAGGTAGGCCCCAGTGTCTGTTGTTCCTCTCTTTGTGTCCATGTGTTCTCAACATTTAGCTTTCACTTATAAGTAAGAACATGCAATACTTGGTTTTCTGTTCCTGCATTAGTTTGCTATGAATAATGGCCTCCAGCTCCACCTATATTCCTGCAAAGGACATTATCTTGTTATTTTTTATGGCTTCATAGTGTTCCGTGTGTCCACATACCAGATTTTCTTTATCCAATCTGATACTGATTGGCATTTAGATTGATTGCATGTCTTTGCTATTGTGGATAGTGCTGCAATGAATATCTGCATGCAAATCATGCATTTTAAATAGCATGATGCACTTACACAAAATGAAAGCATGGCCCATTCTAACTAGTGCTTCTTCTATAGAAGGTTTGAAATTAGTTCTCTTTGGCAAAGGACTGTAACTTCATCATTTACATAAATGATACTATCTTGCTATCAAGACCCTCATTCCTGCTGTTGCAGAGAATTAGGGAGAAAACCTAAATGTGACCATTAATGATAATTTATTTCAGTTTGAAATGTCTGTTCCATTCTACCTGGGTCTCTTTTGGATAGATTTTAATTCAGCTGAAAATCTAAACTTCCTATTGGGCGTTTTTTCACCTATGCCACCATCCCCTCCTACCTATTGCCCCATAAAGGGAAGCTTGAATTCCCTCATGGCGAATAGATGGGAGGGGCAGGTCATCTGTTCTTCATGCTACCTTTTGGGCCATAGCAGCGTCCAGTGCAGTTTGGCTGGGCTGCACCTGGTTGTCCCAGGTTGCTGTTAACTAAGGGTCTTTCCTGGTTCTTTAGGCACCATGCTAGCCCCTATGCTGCAATCCATAATTTCTTCCATAGCCTACAATCCCAAGTAATCTGTGGCTTTCTTATCCTGGCCTCAGACATCTTCTGGTCCACCAGTTCTCTCAACAGTTCCCACTACCAGAATCAAGACACATGAGAACTTCAGGATTCCCTGCATATCATGCCAAGTCACAAGACACCAGAATGTCAATATAAGCCCCTTCTTCCTGGACACATCCCTTGGCTTTTTCTAATCTAGAGCATGTTGCAAGTTTGAATGCATGGCCATGCTGACTAAGACTTGGACTAACTAGCCTCCCTGAGCTATGGCTATAAAGGTTCTCAGATTCCTTCAATTTTCTCAGATTATCCCAAACCTAGTTAAGTGCTTCTGCTTTGCTCCTGAACTATTCCATTCCCATTCACTGGGGTTTCAACCCTAACAGGTCAGCCATAAAACATGTCTTGCCATTTATATTTTTCATTTTCTCTCTTCTGTCATTTTAGAATACAAAGGACTTTCCATTCCTTTATTGTAAAGTGGAAATTTACCGTATATCATATCCCCTTCCTTCTCTTCCCTGTTTCATTCACCTCTCCTTATCTAAGGTCATGTTGGTTGAAGAAGTGTAGGAAATGAAAGCAGATGAGGGAAAATATATTAGATAATGTTTTAAAACAATTTTATCTCCATGGCACTTTATATAAATGTGTACTTTTTATAATGTCTATGCATTGCTTTAAAATTCAGGAAAACAATAATTTTAAACATCATTTCTAAAAATCAAAAAGAAAAGAGAAAGGAATCTTTTTAAAAATGTTTATTAATTCATTTAATTTAATTGGTCTTTATCAAAAAGCAGGAATGGCTAACCAAAAACTGTCTTAAATTTATAGGATCCACAGATTTTAGATATCTCTGCTGACCAAGACAAAATAAGGCTCATATTGAATAATCTGCAATCTGTTCTGGCTGATCTTCAGAAACGTGCATTTCAGTATAAGTCCTATCAGAAGAATTTTAAGGTAATGACAGTTTTACACCATCTGTCTTAGAAATGTGTGTATAGAAATGGCGTATATGCACAAGGACTTCAATAATGTAACTGTAAACATTCAATATTTGGACAACTATGTGCTAGTCAGCATGCTACAAATAGTCTCAAATACAAAATATGATATGTTCCTTGCCTTCGAAGTGTTTAAAGACTAACACACATGAGATACCGAATATCTTTCTTATTAAAATAATTGTGAATTATGCAAAACTTTCAGACAAGGAACTGTACTTTCTATGTTAAAATGTAAGTGGATTTTTTAATGTGGTCAATTAAAACCACACTATCCTTTCTTAAGTAATATTCAGGCTTCCTTTACATTCATATGTACGTTATGATTCCATTAATATTGCCTGATTTACCCTGGTTTTATGTGCCAATTTGATAAAAATGACATCCCCAGCTAAGCCAGGGACAAATGGGTGTAAAAGGGTAGATTTGAGGACCAGGAGCAGTGGCTTATGCCTGTAATCCCAGCACTTTGGGAGGCCAAGGCACTTGGATCACTTAAGCTCAGGAGTTCGAGACCAGCCTGACCAACATAGTGAAACCACATCTCCACTAAAAATACAAAAATTACCCAGGCATGGTGGCACATGCCTGTAGTCCCAGGTACTTGGGAGGCTAAACGGGGAGGATCATTTGAGCCCAGGAGGCGGAGGTTGCGGTGAGCCAAGATCGTGACACCGCACTGCAGCCTAGGTGACAGAGTGAGACCCTGTCTCAAAAAAAAAAAAAAAAAAAAGAAAGGTATATTTGAAAGGCTAATAGAAGTCTCTCAAAAAACATGAAGAGAAAGGGGTAAGAGATGCAGGTGCTTTCAACGGCTTTTAGAGAGACCAACAACAAGAAAAGAGAATAGAAAAGAAAATATTCCTATGGTCAAAACCAGGGAGCCCCTAGCAATAAGGAAGATGCCATTGGTCTCCCCAAAAATCTCGGAGGAACATGCTTGAACCTCACAGGGGAATGCACCTGTCTCTTCAGAGCCCCAGATGGATGACCAGAAAGTGATCTGATATGCTGTCTACTCCAGGGTCCAGGGATTGGTAGAGAAATCTGAAAATAATGAATTTGATACCAGCCAATAAGGCTGGTGATACTTGAGGCAGATTTGTGTGAGTTCAAAGTTGTTCCCAGGTTGGGTTAACTGACCTACAAGACAGGAAGGTATGTAGTAAGGAGCAAGGTATGGAGGAAATACTACTTGATAAAAAGCTACAACTTGGCTGGGCGCAGTGGCTCACACCTGTACTCCCAGCACTTTGGGAGGCCAAGGCTGGCAAATCACGAGGTCAGGAGTTCGAGACCAGCCAGGCCAATATGATAAAACCCCATCTCTACTAAAAATACAAAAAATTAGCTGGGCGTAGTGGCAGGCGCCTGTAATCCCAGCTACTTGGGAGGCTGAGGCAGGAGAATCACTTGATCCCAGGAGGTGGAGGTTGCAGTGAGCCGAGATCGTGCCACCGCACTCCAGCCTGGGTGACAGTGTGAGCGAGGCTCCATTTCAAAAAAAAAAAAAAAAAAAAGCTACAACTCACATGTGAGCACTCCTTGAGCAAGAAAGAATATCTTTGGTCCTGTCAGCAAGACGGCAGAGCATGAAGCCCCAGCCCCTCCTTTTTCCCTTGGACACACTGACTCAACAACCCCTGAACCAATTTATTTTGTCAGAAATACAAAGGCAAGTTGACAGTCTCTTGCACCCTGGGCAAGTATAAAATCAGCTGATGGAAGCCAGTAGAATAATTCCTAACACCCTTTCACTATAATTCCTGCCCCCAGCACAGTGTTACACAATTAGGAGGAAGTTCTCAGCTTCTCCCTGGCGAAGGAGGGAAAGACAGACTGGATGGAATACATGGCATTCTGACACTTTAGGGGTCTGGCTGAGAGATTGGTTTCTCTCTTGCCTGAATTTGATTATGGACAGGAAAGGTCCCCAGGTTGGAACCGCTGAGAACAAAAGCAACAGTTTCGACCAGTTTGCACTCACTAGCCATTAACACCCCTCCCCAAACCCCTGACTCAGTGCAGAGTAAGCAAGCAAGAATTCCCAAATCTCAGCTTCTACCTGGACAGGGGAAGATTTGAAGTGGCTGTCCAATGTGATACATTATCAGGGGACTGCTCAAGGGACAAACTTCTATATCATCTGTCTTGGAGTAGTGACAGGATCCAGCATATTCTAGACATCTCATATGTAGAAAACCCTAAAACTCCAGGGGGAAAAATTTAAAAATAATAAATAAACTCAGTAAAGTTGTAGAATACAAAATCAACTTACGTGAATTAGTTGCATTTCTATATACTAACAACAAACAATTCAAAAGATAAAGAAAACAATTTACAATAGCATAAAAAATATCATGCCATTTACAACAGAATCAAAAATAATAATAATAAAGTAGAAATAAACTTAACCTAGGAGGTAAAAGACTCACACACTATGATGAAAGAAATGAAATAATACACAAATAAATAGAAAGATATCCCATGTTCATTGATTAAAAGACTTAATATTGTTAAAATACCTGTACTACCCAAAGTGACTTATACATTCAATGCAATCCTTACCAATTTCCCAATGACATTTTCTAAAGAAATATTAAAAACAAATTCTAAAATTTATAGGGAACCACAGAGGACCTCGAGTACCCAACACAATCTTGAGAAATAGGAAAAAAGCTAAAGGTCTCACACTTCCTAATCTAAAAACATATTACAAAGCTATAGTAATTAAAATAGTATGGTACTAGCATGCATTCAGACATATAGACCAATGAAACAGAATGGAAAACCGCAAAACAACAAATATGGTCAACGCATCTATGGCAAAGGTGCCAAAAATACACAACAGGGAGAGGATAGTCTCTTCAACAAACGGTGTTAAGGAACTGGATATTCATATGCAAAAGAATGAAGCTGAACCCTTACACAAAAATCAGTTCAAAATGAATGGGTTAAAGACTCAAAAGAACTAAAACTATAAAATTCCTAGAGGAAAAGGTAGGAGAAATCTTCATGACATTGGCCTTGGCTATGATTTCTTGGATGTGACACCAAAAACCAATGTAACAAAAACAGAAATAGACAAGTGGAACTACATCAAACTAAACAGCTTCTGCAAAGCAAAGGAAACAATCAACAGAGTAAAAAGGCAACATACAGAATGAGGGAAAAAATTTGCAAATTATATACTTGATAAGAGGTTATTATCTAAACTCCTTATAGATAAGGAACTCCTACAACACAATAGCCAAAAAAAAAACCCAAATTTTTAAAATGGACAAAGGACTTGAATGAACATTTCTCTAAAGAAGACATACAAATGGTCAACAGGCATGTGAAAAGACACCCAACATCAATAATCATCAGGAAAATTAAAATCAAACCACAAGAAGGTATCACCTCACATCTGTTAGAATGGCCATTACAAAAATAAAATGAATTACCAATATTGGCAAGGATGTGAAGACACTGGAATCCTTTACACTGTAGATGAGAATTAGAATGGTGCAAACACTATGGAAAACAGCATGGTGGTTCCTCAAAACTTAAAAAACAAATGACCCAATGATCCCATTTATGGGCATATATCCCAAATAATTGAATCAGGCTCTTAAAGATATATTTGCACTCCCGTGTTCATTGCAGCATTGTTCTCAGTAGCCAAGATATGGAAACAACTTAAAATGTCCATCAGCAGATGAATGGATAAAGAAAATATGGTATCTACATAAAATAGAATTTTACTCAGCCTCGCAAAATAAGAAAATCCTGCTGTGCCACAGCATGGATGACCTGGAGGACATTATGCTTAGTGAAATAAGCCTGCTACAAAAGGACAAATACTGCATGATCTCATTTATATGAGATATCTAAAGTAGTCAAACTCATATAAGCAGAAAGTGGAATGGTGGTTTCCAGAGGCTGGGAGGAAGGGGAAATGAGGAGTTGTTCTAGGTGTATAAAGTTTCAGTTATGCCAGGTGAAAAAGTACTAGAAAAAGTACATTAAATAACCCTGTTAACATTGTTATAGTTAGCATTACTGTACTTTACACTTAAAAATTTATTAAAAGAATAGATCTCATGTAATGTGTTTTTTACCACAATAAAAAGAAAAGTTAAAAAATAAATTTTTAAAAAACACAGAACCTGAAATGAAACTGTGTCTTCCTCCTTCCATCTTCCATGTCTATGACTTCAAGACTGATTCCTTCCTGATTGTCTCTGATCTAGCCTTCCTTCTGTGGCTCTCAATTATTTGGAGAATAGGAGTGAAAGCCTAACTAATCTAGGTTGCAGGAAATCATTTGCAACTCTTAATAGAAGACAAGACTAAATTCCTAATGTCAAAGCACAAGAATTTCTGTGCAACCAACTCCCTGAAGGTTTCCCCAGCGTTGAACCAAGGCAATCTTAAACACTTCTCATGAAAACACCTTCTTCAGATTTTCTTGCACCCTTCCTCTCCATGGGGTTCATATAAAGTCGTGGTTAGAAAAGAGTCAGAAACCACGCTGTCCTCTCCATCTTAAACTTCACCATCTTCCCCACCAGCTACCGCACAGTCATCTCCCTCTTCTGCCCTTTAAGTACAGAAGCCCAATGGAAATCAGTGCCTCTAAAGACTCATCTGCTTTCCCTAGAAGACCTAACATATATGTGCATGTACAATCCAACTCAAAAAAGTGTTACTCTTATAATATTTATGTCTTTGGAGAATATTTAAGTTCTAAGTTCTAAGGAAATACCAGGAGTTGTATTTTGTTTCTCTAATGGAAAGTCTAATATATGTGGGGTTTTGTGGAGTTTTTTTTTTTTTCTTCATCTGTTTCTAGTGCTCCTTTTCTTAATCCATTTAGGATGCACATTCTTCCAAGCAATCACTGTACCAAGAATTACTAATAGGAGAATAGCATATGCTCATTATATCTGAAAACTAAATTACGCATTTTGTTTACTACATTTTTAAAGGTAGAAGTGTCCAAGTTTGAAGCTTTGGAAGAAGTCAGTGCTGAACTGAAGCTCAAACAATTGCTCTGGGATTCTTTCTCTGAATGGGATAAACTCCAACAAGAATGGTTAAAGGTAGGGGAAAAAAGCCTTCAGTTCTCAAATTATTTTTGTATGAATTAATCTTAAAATTCTAATAATTTGAATTATAACTTTTAACAATCTGGTGCTTTTCTTAATGTCAGTAAAATATGCAATGGTATCATTTTCTGATAATTTTTATAAGCTTTCCAGTGAAAGGCACAAAGGTCCTTATGTCACTGTATGCTACAGGCTCCATATTAGAAGGCTACATAGTGGAAGCATCAATGGACAATGCTGTATGACGTTTAATCACTTTGTGGTTTCTAAACACAATGTTGTCATCATACACTTCAGTGTTCTTGAGGATTGTAGGATTTTATTTGTGATCTACACACTTTAGATTTCTATTTTTGTTGTCCTTTAAAAAAGGAAGCCATTTTGTTCACTGTAATAGGATAGAGTGATAAAATCTAGGATCTTCCTTTGAGAGCTCAATAGTAAACTTTTTAAATTAGAGAGCCAAATATCAACAGCCATCAGAGAGTTTTGTTTCTAGGATCTACCCTATATTCAATCCTTAACAAAGGTCAACTCTCTACAAGGCAAAATAGATGGCCACCTATACTTTCAAGTGTGGTATGGACATGTTAGAAATACTATCAACCTCACAAATATTGTTTTACACTTCTTATTCATCCTTCCTGTGCTGATGCCTATAATTAGAAGGCACATGTCTTGGTTAAAAAACAGTAACATGGGAAATATGTTCCAGGTAATGTTCTAGGTGCTGGGAGTACCAGTGGAGAATAAGAAGAACAAAGTTCAAACGTAGAACTCTTTGGTGGAGAAAATAGAAAATAAAAAACAAATATATGCTATAACACCAGACAGTTTTAAGTGCTCTCCTTTAACTCATTTATCAATTATCTCAGAAGTAAGAAAATATTCTTGAGAAGAAGCAGCTTAAAGGATTTTCTGATTACCACCATGGATTAGAGCAGTGGCTTCCACCGTAGGATGCATTCACCCTAGGAAATGCACAAGAAAACACACTAGGGAGCAGAAGAAAAATGATGGACTTAGAAAAAAAGAAAAATGAAGGTTTACAAATTTTCTACTGCCATCAATATATATGTGTGGCTATCTGACATGTCAATATATGTGTATATTTATATGTTTACATAATTGAGAAAAACAATTATAGATCTGTAAGTATATAGATCTATAATTTTATGAATAATTTATGAATTTAAAATATGTATGTTAAACAGGTATATAATCAAATAATAGAAGACTACTAGGTGAGAAATTTCTGGTTAGCAAGAGTAAAAAAATAGCTATTTGTCTCCTTAGAGGACTTTATGAATATTGACCCTCAGAAATAAATTACGGAGATTCCAGTACTACATTTGATGATGTGGGAGGCAAGAACATGAAAGGAATAAACAGGTGATGCTGGATATATAATGTTATTAGCAATTTAATAAGTAAAGCCATTTCCAAAAGCATAGTGTAGATTTGGATTAACTTTTAAAAGTTTTTTTAGTATTTCAAACCTGACTTTTACTTTATGTTTTAACTTGTTTTGCTTTGTTTTTAAATTTTTCATAGTCCAAATTTGATTGCCTGGATCCAGAAGTCCTAAACGGTCAAGTTTCTAAATATGCTAAATTTGTGACTCAACTGGAAAAAGGCTTGCCACCCAACAGTGTAGTGCCCCAGCTCAAATACAAGGTGGAAAAAATGAAAGAAAAGGTAAGGTTGGTAGAAGTTATTTCAAAAACTGTAGGCCAGTTGGTTATTAATTGATGCTAATGAGACCAAAATCAGGAATTTTTCCCTGATTAAGTTAGTCAGCTTTGCAGACAGAAAAAACAATAGTCAAATTCATTTTTTTGCAGTGGCACAGACTGCATTCCTGTCTTCATTTGGCCAAATCATGCAGTTGAATACTGTGGTTAGGAGGGGCATTCAGAGTGTTTCCCAAGTGGTAAGGGAAATAGTGCAGGAATAGGTTGTAGTTATGCTAAGATACTGATGTGCTCAAACCCTTAGGGAGCCAGATGAGGCTGGGGTAGACTTGTCCAATCGGCCTTGTCCATTTGCATCAGTGCACCACACAACTATGCCATTTTCCAGATGTGCTATGATGTGAAGGAAGTTGGGAAGCCAGGCTGCAGGTGTACAGGTCTGAATTTTTGAAACTATCTCAGCTAAGCCAGTGCTTGAAATGGTTAAGAAACGGGATATGATTTTAGTTTTTTAAACAGTTTTAGGGTGTTTTTTGTTGTTGTTGTTTTGTTTGTTTGTTTTTTGTTCACTTTTGTTGCCCAGGTTGGAATGCAGTGGCACGATCTCGGCTCACTGCAACCTCGGCCTCCTGGGTTCAAGCGATTCTCCTGCCCCAGCCTCCTGAGTAGCTGGGATTATAGGCACCCGCCACCCACCACGCTGGGCTAATTTTTTGTGTTTTTTCAGTAGAGACAGGGTTTCACTATGTTGGTCAGGCTGGCCTCAAAATCCTGACCTCACGTGATCCACCTGCCTCGGCCTCCCAAAGTGCTGGGATTACAGGCGTGAGCCACTGCGCCTGGACAATTTTAGGGTATTTTTTTAAAGATGAAATAAAGAACTAAAAAAAAAACAAATGTGGAGAAGAAAAGTAAGCAAAGCTTCAGACACAATGAGAAGAAAATTTTCCAGCTTGAAAAGAGTGTTATTTGCATAATATTTTTCCCTTTAGCTTACAATATCTAGTCAAAACACTTTCCCAAGTTGTTTAGGTCAGCTTCTTTCTTTATTGCCTTTAGTGTGATTACATCATATAATTGTAAACAAATTTATTTGTTAAAGTCTGCATTCCATCTTGGGTTCCCTCGAAATCCTAGTTTATATTTTTTTAAACTTGAATACAGTAGAGGTCACTTTTTGTGGCATACAGTTCTATGGGTTTTTACAAATGGGTAGAGTAATGTATCCAATACAATAGTACCATACAGAACAATTTCATTATCCTAAAAATTTGCTTGTATTGTCCCTTTGTAGTCAGCCTTTCCCTTTATCACAATTCCACACAACCACTGATCTGTTTTCTGTCTCTATAGTTTTGCCTTTTACAGAATATTATATAAATGAAATAATACAACATGCAGCCTTTTGGGTCTGGATTCATTCACTCAGCAAAATGCATTTAAGATCCCTCTATGTAGTTGTACCTAAAATATGTAACATACTCTTACAAATAAAAAGACAAATAACCCTTTAAAATGGGCAAAAGATTTGAATACACACTTCCCCAAAGAAGACACATGAAAAGATGCTGAACACCATTAGTTATTAAGGAAATGCAAATCAAAGCTGCAATGAGATAGCACTTCACACTCACTAGGATGGCTATGATCAAAGAGACAGATTATATAGGAATAAGTGTTGTAGGGAATATGCAGAAATTAGAACTTCCACATGTTGCTGGTAGGATCGTAAGGTTGTGCAGCCACTTTGGAAAATAATCTGGCAGTTTGTTCAAGATGTTAAATATAGACCTACCATATTACCAAGTGACTCTGCTCCCAGATATATGGCCAAGATAATTGAAAACGTGTGTTCACGCAGAAACTTCAATACAAATGTTCACAGCAGCATTGTTCATAATAGCCAAAAGTAGGGGAAAAAACAAATTTCCATCAATTAATAAATTGGAGAAATAAAATGTGGCATATCTATATGATGGAGTTTTATTCAGTAGTAAAATGAAATTAAGTTGTATGTGCAACAGAATAGATGAACCTTAAAAACATGATGCTGGACTAGGTGAGGTGACTTATGCCTGTAATCCCAATACTTTGGGAGGCCAAGGTGGGAGGATCACTTGAGCCCAGGAGTTCAAGACCAGCCTGTACAACATAGTGGGACCTGATGTCTGCAAACAAATAAGATAAAAAATTTAAAAACATGATGCAAGTAAGAGAAGCCAGTCAAAAAAAAAGGCCAGATAGCATATGTCATTTATATGAAATGTCCAGAATAAAGAAATCTATAGTGAGAAAGTGAACTCGTGGTTACTCGTGGAACTCGTGGTTCTTTCTATCTTTCTTTTCTTTCTTTCTTTCTTTCTTTCTTTCTTTCTTTCTTTCTTTCTTTCTTTCTCTCTTTCTTTTCTTTCTTTCTTTCTTTCTATGAGACAGGATCTCACTGTGTTGCTCAGGCTGGTCTTGAATTCCTGGGCTCAAGCAGTCCTCCTGCTTTGGCCTCCCAAAGTGCTGGAATCACAGGCCTGAGCCACCATGCCCAGCCAGTTCATTTATTTTTATTTTCTAGTATTCTGTTATATAGATGTACCATAGTTTGTTTATCCATTCACCTGGTGAAAGATATCTGAGTTCTGTCTCATTTTGTAGTGATTTTTAATAAAGCTGCTATAAACTTTCATGTACAGCTTTTTGTTTTGTGTGAACATGAGTTTTCTATTAACTTGGGTAAATAACTAGAAGTAGGATTATTAGGTTGTATAGTAAGCATACGTTTAACTTTATAAGAAGTTGCCAAAATGTTTTCCAAAGAACTGCAACATTTTGGCTTTTCACTAGCAATTTATGAGAATTCCAGTTTCTCCTCATCATCACTAGCCCTTGTTATTTTGAGGGACCTTTTTGTTTTGTTTTTTAATTTCAGTCATTCTAACCAATGGATAGTAGTGTCTTAAAATTGTCATAATTGGCCGGGCACGGTGGCTCATGCCTATAATCCCAGCACTTTGGGAGGCCGAGGCAGGTGGATCACGAGGTCAAGAGATCAAGACCATCCTGGCCAACATGGTGAAACCCCGTCTCTACTAAAAATACAAAAATTAGCTGGGCGTGGTGGCTTGTGCCTGTAGTCCTGGCTACCTGGGAGGCTGAGGCAGGAGAATCGCTTGAACCTGGGAGGTGGAGGTTTCAGTGAGCCGAAATTGCGCCACTGTACTCAGGCATGGGCCATAGAGTGAGACTCAGTTTCAAAAAAAAAAAAAAAAAAAAAGTCATAATTTGCATTTTTCTAAATACTGATAATGTTGAACATCTTCTTATATGCTATTTGCCATCCATCTATATTCTTTGATTAAATGTCTGTTCAGATCTTTTGCCCATTTTTAATTGGGTTGTTTGCTTGGTTATAATTGAGTTTTAAGAGTTATTCATATATTCTGCATAAAAGTTTTTTTTCAGATATGTAACTTGAAAATATTTTCTTCCAGTCAGTTGCTTGTCTTTTCAGTTCCTGTACAGTGATTTTCACAGAGCAAAAAGTTTTAATTTCAATAAACTCTAATTTATAATTTTTTTCTTTTATGAATCAAGCTTTTAGTATAGTATCCAAACACTTTTTTTTCAAACTTAAGGTCACACATATTTTCTCTATGTTTCTTCTGTTAGAAGTTTAAAGGTTTTGTTTTCTATGTTTAGGTATATGATCTATTTTGAGTTAATTTTTTCATAAATATGAGGTATCAAGGTGTACTTTTGTACATATTATATCCAATTAAAGGAACAGCATTATTTGAAATGATTATTTTTTCTTCAGTCATTATTTGGAAATGACTATCCTCCCCAGGCACTCTTCTCCATTGACTCACCTTTGCACATTTGCCAAAAGTCAATTGACTATATTTTTTAGTCTATTTCTGGACTCTGTTCTGTTTCATTGTTCTATAAGCCTATTCTTTCATCAATACTACACTTTCTTAATTACGATAGCTAGTAAGTGTTGAAATCAAGTAGTCTTAATCCTCCAATTTTGTTCTTCCTTTTTACAATTATTTTGTCTATTCTAATTCCTTTGCCTTTCCATATCTATTTTATATTTAGCTTCTCAATATCTATAAAACTGTCTTATGGTCCAAAAACATACTTTTATGATTTCTGTCCTTTTAAATTTTTTAAGGTTTGTTTTATAGCCCAGAATATGGTCAATTTTGTTGAATTTTCCATATGCACTTTAGAAGAATGTGCATTCTGCTGTTGCTCAGTGATCATTCTACAAGTGTTAATTAGGTGGACTTGGTTGGTGGTGGTGTTCAGGTCATCTATACCCTTGCTGATTTTCTGCCAGCTTGTTCTGTTAGGGACTCAGAGAGGAGTGTTGAACTCTCTAACTATAATTGTGGGTTTACCTAATTCTCCTTTCCATTCTATCAGTTTATGCATTTTTTAATATACTTTTATTTCAGAATAGTTTTAGATTCATAGAAAAGTTATAACAATAATACCAAGGGTTCCCATATACTCCACATTCCATTTCTTTTATTAACATATTACATTAGTATAATACATTTGTCACCACTAATGTACCAATGTCAATACGTTATTAGTAACTAAAGTCCATGCTTTATCTGAGTTTTTTTAGTTTTTACCTAACATCCTTTTCTTTTTCCATCCCAAGATTTCATCCATGATAAAACATTACATTTAATTGTCATGTCTTCTTAGGCTCTACTAGGCTGTGACAGTTTCTCAGACTTTCCTTGTTTTTTATGACCTTGATCATTTTGAAAAGTACTGGTCAAGTAATTTGTATAATATCCTTCAATTTGGATTTGTCTGAGATTTTTCTCATAATTACACTGGAATTATAGATTCTTACAAAGAAGACAAGACAGGTAAAGTACCATTTTCATCACATCATATCCAAAATACATGCTATCAACATGACTTTTCACTGATGGTGTTCAGCTTGACCACATGGCTGAAGTAGCATTTGTCTTAACTGTACAGTTACTACTGCCCTTTCCATACTGTATTCTTTGAAAGGAAGTTACTACGCACAGCCATACTTAAGGGGTGGAAATTTCTGTTCCACCTCCTAAAAGCATTGACACCCCAGTAGCAATGAGCATAATTTGTATCCAGATTTTCATTTTTAATACTATAAGGTATAATACTATAAGGAATAATAACACTATATTATTATTATAGTATAATAATAATAATATACTATAATAATATTATAATAATAATGTTATTATTATACTATAATAATAATGTTATTATTATACTATAAGGAATCCTTGTAGAAATGGCTGATTATATGGATGAGTCAGGAAATATACAAGATGAACCTGGAGCATCTTGAGGTGCTGGGAAGTAAGAAAGAGCTCAGAAAACAAAATGATGGGAGAATATCAAAAGGGCAAGGAAGACTTAATGGCCAAAGCCATAAGAATTTTAGGCAAAAAAAAATGTAGTATTGTATTATAACCCAAGTTATAAAGTAAATATCCATGAATTCATACTGATATAAATGAGTGATTGAATGAATGAGTGAATAACTTTATGATGATACTGCCACCTCAAGATAGTGGTGCTTGATTTATTTTGATGTTCTGTTGTTGGACATGTGCACATTTAGTATTGTTACTTCTTTTTGAGGAATTGACCCCTTCATCATTATTAATTTTCTCTCTTATCTCTGATAAGATTCCTTGTTCTAACATTTACATTTTCTGAAATTAACATAGCTAGTTCAGCTGTCTTTTAGTGTTTGTGTGATATGGCTTTCTGCATTTTTTACTTTTAACTTATCTGTGTTTTTATATTTAGAATAGGTTTTTTTAGATAGCATAGAATTGATTCCTATTTTTTTAATCCAGTCTGACATTCTTAGTCCCTTAACAGGTGTGTGTAGACCATTCACATTTAAAGTCATTATTTATACAGTTGGATTGAATCTACCATCTTGCTAGCTGTTTTATTTATTCTATTGATTCTTTGTTTCTTTTTTCTCTTTTTGTGCCTTTTAATTTAATTGCATATTTTATGATTCCATTTTATCTTCTCAATGAGATTATCATTCATACCACTTTTTCAATAATTTTTAGAAGCAATTTTTTAGAAAATTGTTTAAAATTGTTATCCTAAGCTTAAAATATAGATTTATAATTAATCCAAATCAATTATTTTACTATTTCACATGTACTGTAAAGACCTTATAATAGTACACACCCAATTAATTCCTCCATACATTCTTTGTGCTGATGTTATGTCTATATTTACATATACTATAAATATAACTTATTTTTACTGTTTTTGCTCCAGACAGTTATCTTTTAGAGCAATAAAAATAAGAAAGAAAATGAATTTTACTTTACCAGTATTACATTTCCAGTGTTCCTCATTGCTTTGTGTGGATCTAAGTTTCTGACTCATAACATGTTCATTCAGCCTAAAGAATATCCTTTAATATTTCTTATAGAGTATGTATGCTAACGATTAATTTCCTCGGTTTTTATTTTGAGGAAGTCTTTATCCTTTAGTTTTGAATGATATTTTCACTGGGTATATAATTCTGAGACAACAGTTTTTGTTTCTGTTTTTCCTTCAGTAATTTGGAGGTATTCTTTTCTTGTTTGCATGATTTTGGACAAGCAGTCTGCTGTAGTTTTAAATTCTCATTGTTCTATAGATGTTGTGTCCCTTTTTTTTTTTTTTTTTTTTTTTTTTGGTCTGGCTACTTTCAAGATTTTCTCTTCATCTTGATTCTCATCAGTTAGGAGTAGAGTATGCCTAGGTGTGCATGTGCTATTGTTACTGTTCAAATTTATTTTGCTTGATGTTCTCTGAGTTTCTTGGATCTGTGATTTGGTGTTTGTTTTTAATTTTGAAAATTTTTGCAGCTGTTATTTTTCAAGCATTTCTTCTGCTCTGTTTTCTGTCTCTCTTCTCCTTCTATGATTTCTGTGATATGTACTTTAGGCTGTTTGACATTGTCCCACAGGTCTTGGATGCTCTGTTTTTTTTTTTTTTTCTTTTCCCTCTTTTTTCTCTGTGTGTCAGTTTCTGGAATTTATACTCACTTATCTTCAAGTTCATTCATTCCGTGGCTGTGTTAAACCCTTTAAAGGCATTCTTTATCTCTTATACTGTTTTTTTTATTTCTAGCATTTTTGTTCGATTTGTAATTGTATTTTCCACCTCTCTGTTGACATTTCCCAACTGATTTTGCTTTTCTATCTTTTCCATTAGAACCTTTAACATGTTAATCATAGTTATTTTTAATTATCTACTTCCAACATGTGTGTCATTTCTGGGTCTGATTATTGCCTTGCCTCTTAGATGTGTGGTTTTTCTTGCCTTTTCACATGCATCTTAATTTTTTGTTCAAAGCCAGGTATCTTATATAGTACAGTAAATACCAAAGCAAATAATATTTGTGCTTGGAAATGAGCATGCCTCTTCTTCTACTTGGATTTTTGTGCAACATGTTGCATTAAATCTAATTAGGAATTGGGCTAGGTTTAAGGGTTGATGTTGCTATGGTTACCCTCAGTGCACCACAGGCTTCAGATTTTTCTAGTGATACCTCGAATTTCGGGTGGGGCTGGTTTACCAAAGGTTATTTTCTCAATTTCTATTTTCCTCTGACCTTGGGTCTTCCCTTTGTGTTGTGCTCACTGAGAATCTGTCACCCGCAGCTTTCCACTCTGTATCCCACTGCTATTTTTACTCAGTATTTGATAACATGGTGGCAGAGGTGAGAAGGAACATTCCCTCATGTTCTCATTAAACCTTCATCTTACGAGGCACTGTAACTCTTTTTCTCAGAATTCCTATCACAGGTGCTCCTCCCCCTTTTCCAGCTATAGTGCTGAGCCTAGCACTTATTTTTGTCCCTCCCTCAAGGGTAAATTGTTTTTTTCCATGTTCTATTCCTCCAGTTATAGGAAGAGATATCTTCAATGAGTTATCACTAGTGCCTTAAGGTGGCACAGTTTGTTACTCTTTTCCCTGTACATCAAGGGATTTGTTCCACAAGGGAGCTAAGGCAGATAAATTTGTTGGAGCTACTATAATGGACGCTGTTTCCCTCCCCAAGCCAGCATCATAAGGGAAGCTTTCTTGGGAGTCCTTTCAGTCTTCACTGTCAATTTCCACTGTATTTGTAGGCTCAGAGGTTTTCCATTCTCATTCTACCCCGCACTTAATATTTAGCGCTCTATTTTTAAAATTTAGCTGAATCTTCTTAATAGTTTGTATGTCATCCCAAGGAATCTGCCCCAGGTAGGAAAATTTTCAGTTGCTGTTTCTCCTTGTGGAGAAACCTGTCGGTATCAATCTCTCTCCAAATTTGGAGTTTGTTCTGCCCCCGCAAACTTGGTTTTCTAATAGGCTCAATTAGAGTCATTAATTTGCAGTCATCCAGATTTTGCTCTGTGGAAAGAGGGTAAGTGGTGCTCTTTTCCAGCTCTCTACATGCACAAATTGAAACCAGAACCTGTGGGTTATATTTTTAAGATAAAAAGCTTCATGTCTCTGAGAGTGTTTGTTTTTCAGCTTCCAGTTATCATTGACTTGAGGAACCCGACTTTGAAGGCAAGACATTGGGCAGCTATTGAACAAACAGTTGATGCCACTCTAGTGGATGCTGAAATTCCATTAACCTTGGAGAGGCTCTCCCAGTTGCATGTTTTTGACTTTGGTCAAGAAATCCAGGACATATCTGGACAGGCTTCTGGAGAAGCTGCCTTAGAAGCAATTCTTAAAAAGGTAAATCTGGAATATATATTTATCTATATACCATTAGGGAATGTGAAAGTTTTCAGATTCAACATTTGGTGATCTGGATGTTTTTTTCAACGTTGCAGCTTTCACTCTCTCATTATCAGTCATCCCTCTGTTGTTTCCTTACAACAGATATTACTGTTATCACCTCTAAAAATCTCCTCCTTCTGCTTATCCTATAACACATAGGAACTTGATGGCCACAAGGTTTGAAATGTGCATGCTTATATAAGAAATCATATACCAAGAATGATCTTTTAAACCCAAATACGTTATCTTCCAAGCTACCAGAGAAATCTGTTAAATGCTTCAAAAGACATTAAGATTTTCCTAGTTATGATACTATCTCCTTACCCCAAAAATATATACACACCTACTAACCCTCTGCATAAAAGGAATTCTTTTTCTGTCAAAGTATATGTGTTAATGTCAATCAAATAAAATTAAGCAAATTAGTGTCATCTATCCAAGAAGAAGATTTTAAGAATTTTAAAGGGCAGGCCAGGCGTGGTGGCTCATGCCTGTAATCCCAGCACTTTGGGAGGCCAAGGCAGACAGATCACGAGGTCAGGAGATCAAGACTATCCTGGCTAGCATGGTGAAACCCTATCTCTATTAAAAATACAAAAAAAAAAAATTAGCCAGGCGTGGTGGCAAGTGCCTGTAGTCCCAGCTACTCGGGAGGCTGAGGCAGGAGAATGGCGTGAACCCAGGAGGTGGAGCTTGCAGTGAGCCGAGGTTACACCACCGCACTCCAGCCTGGGTGACAGAGTGAGACTCTATCTCAAAAAAAAAAAAAAAAAAGAATTTTAGAGAGCAATAAGGAGGAAAATGGGATAATTATGGAGTTTTTATTTATTTCATTTCACGTGCATTTATTGAGTATCTAAACACACTGAATTTAGATATCCTAAGGCTTGAATTATTTCTAAGGTGGAGGACTCTTGGAAAACAACTGAATTTGTCATTCTGCCTCACCGTGACTCCAAAGATGTGTTTATACTGGGCGGCACAGATGACATACAGGTGGGTAACTGGGTTATTGAAAACTTATGGTAAAGATCCCAGCCACACCTAGTCTTAAATCTTCTGTGAGAGATTATGATGAGGGAATAAAACATGAGAGTCACTTAATAAGAAAAATCTAATTGGGAAAGCAAAATGAATGCAAATAATTGACGTGAATGCTTGTACGTGAAATATTTAACAAAGCATTAAAAATTTCATATATATGTAAGAGTTGCAACCTGTAGTTGGTAACTATTGAGGAATTTAGAAAAACAAAGAGAACAGTTACAGCTGAAGTGATCAGAGCATTTTCCCTAGACCAGTCATAACAAGCTGGATCTTAAATATTAGATGGGATTTGAAAGACTTAGAAAAAAAAATAAAGGGCACTTCAAACCCTGTAAACAAGGCAAAGAAACCTGAATGAGCATTTCCTGTTTATAGCACACGAAAAGGCTAAATTCACTTGAGTTTATTGGAATTAGGAAACAATGGCCACGCTCTGTCAACCACAAAAGAAAATAAATCTAATTCATGTGTTTGGAATAGTCTTTCTCATTTAAAATCTGAAGGCACATTTGTTTAGCAAAGGGAGCTGGGTCACATAGCCCAACTTAAAAGGCAAAGCCCTGGCCTAATAGGGTGTATCCAGGCCAGAATTAGAGATAAAATAGCTTTTCCAGGTGTAGGTTGGAAGAGAAAGACCAGACATCACTCTGCGCAGGGGATGGGAGAGCAGACTCAAAGAGGTCAGTAAGTTTAGGCCAATTGATGTCATGTGGTGAGGGTTCTACTCTCAAAAAGCTTATAATTGAAATGGACCATTAAATCTTTCAGATTAACAAGCACATTTTTAAAAATTCACATGCTCCGTGAGAGATGCTGTTGTATAAAGGGGAGTAGTAGGGGAGGGAGGTGGAGGAGAAACTGTATAACCATTCAGAGCTTGATATGAATGAGTTCAATTCTCTCTTCCTTGAGATAATTGAGAGAAAGTGATAATTCATTGGACAGAAGACAGCTAATTTTGCCAGTATATGATATTTTGAGAAATAAAGGCAAGCCCAGGTGACCAAATTGTGTTAAGAAGGTAAAAGTTACCTAATAGTGAAGGGAGAGAGGAAAAGAGTGTCAAACCAAACAAAAACTTGTGCCATTATTAATTACAGGATCAGCAGAAATTTGGCAATCAGAAGTCCTAGGTGACCTTTGAAAGAACATCATGGTGCCACAAGGATGTGAATAATGAAGGGAAATTGATGAGTAGGAAACAGTAAGAGGGGCTAAGCTATTAATTCAAAGAGTTGACTTTTAAGTAGACACTTGGGATTATGTATCTGAAATATTACTGAAAGCACAAATACTGGGTGCTGCATGTATTTTCTTCCCCTTCCTTTAAAGGTCCTTCTTGATGATAGCACCATCAATGTTGCAACTCTTGCCTCATCACGTTACCTTGGTCCACTGAAAACTCGAGTGGATGAATGGCAAAAACAACTTGCTTTATTTAATCAAACACTGGTGAGTAAGAATAATTTTGATTCATACACTCAGAGAATTGGAGAGTCACAAGGACCTTAGAAATTATTTGTTTCATTATTTAAATATTATATGGTTTTAAAATGTAAGTTTTAATTGTGGACATGTTATTGTGTTTAGAATGTAAGGGAAATGCACAGGTATTAAGCTCTTCTTTATATAATTATACAGCTTAATGCTATTACCATCACCCTTGCATAGGTATACTTCAATGATATTGTAGATTTGGTTCCAAACCACCATGATAACCCAAATGTTGCAATAAAGAAAGCCACATGAATTTTTTGGTTTCCAAGAACATATAAAAGTTATGTTGAATTAGGAACACATGGACATAAAGATAGACATAATAGACACTGGAGACTACTAAAGAGGGGAGAGAGGAAGGGTGCAAGGGTGGAAAAACTACCTATTGGATACTATGCTCACTCTCTGAATGACAAGATCATTCATACCTCAAACCTCAGCATTACACAGCATACCCATTTAAAAAACCTGCACATGTAACCCCTGAATCTAAAATATAAGTTGAAATTATTTTTTAAAAGTTATGTTTATAGTGTACTGTAGTCCATTAAGTGTGCAATACTATATTGCTAAAAATTGCTAACTATTATCTGAGCCTTCAGTGACTCATCATCTTTTGGCTGGTGGAAGATCTTGCCTCAGTGTTGATGGGTGGCTGCTGAAGGTTGGGGGTGCTGTGGCAATTTCCTAAAACAAGACAACAATGAAGTTTGCCACATTCATCGACTCTTCCTTTTATTTAAAAAAAATCTTTGTAGCATGCAATATTTTATAGCATTTTCCCCATGACAGAACTTCTTTCAAAATTGGAGTCAATGTTCTCAAGCCCTACTTCTGCTTTATCAACTATGTTTATGTAATATCCTAAATCCTTTGTTGTCATTTCAACAATGTTTATAGCATTTTCACCAGGAATAGATTCCATCTCAAGAAACCACTTTCTTTGCTCATCCATAAGAAGCAAGTCCTTATCTATTCAAGTTTTATCATGAGATTGCAGCAATTCAGTCGCCTCTTCAGGCTCCACTTCTAATTCTAGTTCTCTTGCTATTTCCACCATATCTGCAGTTATTTCCTCCACTGAAGTCTTGAATCTCTCAAAGTCATCTATAAGGGTTGGAGTCAACTTCTTCCAAACTCCAAATATTTTCAATGGCATCTAGAATAATGAGTCCTTTCTAGAGGGTTTTTAAATTCACTTTTCCCGGATCCATCAGAGGAATTACTATCTATGGCAGATATAGCCTTACAAAATGTATTTCTTAAATAATAAGACTTTCAAGTTGAAAGTACTCCTTAATCCATGGGCTGCAGAACGGATGTTGTGTTAGCAGGCATGAAAGCAACATTAAACTCCTTGTACATCTCCATAAGAGCTCTTGGGTTACCAGGTCCATTGTCAATGAGCAGTAATATTTTGAAAGAAGCCTTTTCTTCTAAGCAGTAGGTCTCAACAGTAGGCTTAAAATAATCAGTAAATCATGCTGTAAACAGATGTGCTGTCACACAGGCTTTGTTGTTTCATTTTTAGAGCACAGTCAGAGTAGATTTGGCATAATTCTTAAGGGCCTTGAGATTTTTTGAATGGTAAATGAGCATTGGTTCTAACTCAAAGTCACCAGCTGCATTTATCCCTAACATGAGTCAGCCTGTCCTTTGAATCTTTGAAGCCAGGCATTGGCTAATCTTCATTAGCTATAAAAGTCCTACATGGCATCTTCTTCTAATAGAAGGCTATTTTGTCTTCATTGAAAATCTGTTGTTGAGAGTAGCCACCTTCATCAATGATCTTAGCTAAATCATCTGGATAACTTGCTGCAGCTTCATCAGCACTTGCTACTTCACCTTGCCCTTTTATGTTACAGTGATAGCTTCTTTCAGTCTCACGAATCAACCTCTGCTACCTTCAAACTTTACTTCCACAGCTTCCTCACCTCTCTTAGCCTTTTTAAAATTGAAAAGAGTTAGGGTCTTGCCTCAGACTAGGCTTTGGCTTAAGGGAATGTTATGGTTGGTTTGATCTTCTATTCAAACCATTCAAACTTTCTCTATATCAGAAATAGGGTTTTGGCTTTTATCATTTGTGTCTACACTGAAGTTGCATTTTTAATTTCCTTCAAGAACTTTTCCTTTGCATTCACAGCTGTCTTAATTGTTTGGTGCAAGAGGCTAAGCTTTTGACCTATATTGGCTTTTGACATGCCTTCTTAACTAAGTTTAATCATTTCTAACTTTTAATTTAAATTGAGAGACATGTGACTCTTCCTTTCACTTGAACACTTAAAGGCCATTGTAGTGTTATTAATTGGCCTAATTTCAATATTGTTGTGTCTCAGGGAATAACAGGGGGCACGGAGGAGAAGAAATGAGATGGGGAACAGGGGAACAGCCAGTCAGTGGAGCAGAAAGAACGAATAGACATAATACTTATCAATTAAGTTTGCCATCTTATATAAGCATGGTTCATGGCACCCCAAACAATTATAATCACAACATCAAAGATCACTGATCACAGATCACCATAACAGATATAATAATAATAATAATAATGTTTAATAATAATATTTTTAATATTGCAAGAATTACCAAAGACAATTGGTAATTGTAATAATTTTGACCCAGAGACAAAGTGAGCACATGCTGTTGGAAAAATGGCATGAATTAACTTTCTTGATGCAGGGTTGCCACAAAACTTCAATTTGTGAAAAATGCAATATCTGCAAAATGGAATAAATGAAGCACAATAAAACAAAGCATGCCCATATTATTATTTTGCTGTGAAACAAATACTACAAACTTAAACAATATACCTTTATTATCTCACAGTTTCTGTGGCTCAGGAGTTCAGGCATGGTTTAACTGAGGCCTCTTGCTCAGGGTCTCACAAGGTTGCAATCAAGATGTCAGCCAGACTGGGTTCTCATCAGAAGTTTAGCTGGGGAATGATCCACTTCCAAGCTCACTCCAGTTGTTGGCAGAAATTATTTTCTTGGAATTCTTGGGCTAAGGGCTTCAATCTCTTGCTGGCACTCAGCTAGAGGCCATCCTCAGCTCCTAGATGTTGCCAACAGCTTTTTCTTTATGTGTGGGCTTCCCCAACATGACCATTGGCTGCATCAATCTAGCAAGGAAGAAAAAGGATCCTAGCAAGATGACTATTACAGTCTTATATAACATAAACATAATTATGTACATTCTGTTACCTTTGCCACATCCCATAGCACCTGGGAGCAAGTCACAGATGGCACCCACACTCAAGGGGAGAGGATTACACAGGGATGTGAATGCCACATCTTGGGGGCCACCTTATGAGTCTTGCTACAACGACTATATTTACTGGAAGAATGCTCATTGTTGCTTGAAGTCTCCTTGGAATCTTTCCTTGTGGTGCACATGTTCTTTTGATTTTATTCCACCTTTGATTGTCCCATAGCAAAACAAAGAACCCACTTACACTAATCTCATTTTGTTCCCATCCAATCTCTTTCTTAGACTTCAGATATTTAGCTTGACTTAATTATGTTTACATTTCTAGACATGCTAATATGATAAGTTATCTATGAAATAATACAGGCAGTAAGAGGGAAAAGATAACCTGTGCCAACTTTGTTTCAAAGAGAACTTTCTCAGAAATTCATCTTCTTCAACAAACCACATTGTCTGAGTCCTGTCCAGCCTTCTGGACTGATGATTGAGCCCTGTGAAGGGAGGGACTACAGATCAAAGTCAAGGGGGACGTTTTCATACAGGGTACCTGAAAGAAGCCTGAGCTGATTAGTGAGGAACCCCCAGAGAATGAATTGCTTGGAAAGTGTGAGACCTGAGACAAACCAGGAAGTGGTTGTAACATTTGGGCTTACTCCCAAACCTAGAGTGGGAAGTGAGGAACTCTTTCATGGATTTTGGGCACACACATGCAGTAATAGCAGGAGGCATGGAGGAAAGGTGAGGTCTATAGACATTTAATTTCTGACCGTGTATTTCTGATTTATTTTATTAACAGTGATTGTCTAAAAGCAGAGGGAATGCATGATTTTCTTCTTCCAGTCTTCTATATTTACTACATATGCTGACATGAGCAGGGTTTTTTAAAAAAATTTTCTTTTTTAAAGAAAGGTGAATGAAAAATGAACACATGGTTGAGATAAAAGAAACAAACTTTTTTTTCGTGGAAATCTTGTGTATGTTTGAAAATGGTCACTGAACTTTCCTCTTCCCTTCAGATTTCCTTGAGTAGGCATCGTGCTGCCCCCTGAATCTCTCCTGTGGGTATTTTAATCATGTTTCTCTGGATCCATTCTGGTAACCATATGGAAGACCCATTAGAACTCTGCTCAGTAGACAGTGGGATGAAATCAGACTAAGGTGAATCTTGGACCTTGTAAGGAATTTAATTTCAAAGGACCTGTGAGGAGTCATAACACCACCCTCAAGGAAAAAGATACAGTGATTCCCTGTGTCATGATTTTTACTGTAACCATATGTTTTTAATTGGGGAATTAAAATTTGACAGTGTCCATATTTTTCTCCTAGGAAGAGTGGCTGACCTGCCAGAGAAACTGGCTCTACCTAGAAAGTATTTTCAATGCTCCAGACATTCAGAGGCAATTGCCTGCAGAGGCCAAGATGTTCCTTCAGGTGGATAAGTCATGGAAAGAAATCATGAGAAAGGTGAATCGGCTGCCTAATGCTCTTCGAGCCGCTACTCAGCCAGGTATGAAACAAAATTCCAAACAAGCAAAAAGACTACAATCTTTTAGTAGTCTGGGACTTTAGTCCCAGACTAAAATGTTTCTCTGGGAATCTAATAACATATGGTCCATTCAACCCTTGATTCTAGTCAGCATGGATGACTAGGAATCCTTGCATTTGACACACTTGCTAAGCAATGTCAACGGAACACTGGACTTTTTTTTATTATTATTATCTCTCAGCTTAGTTTGTAGTTTCGGAAAAGGAGAATCTGCCTATTTTTGCTGTTTTTATGATTGGGGGATGTTGCTTCCGTGTATCAGCAATGTTTTCATCTCAGAATTTTGACAACGAGACAAATATTTGCCTTCGGTTGATGTATTCAGTTAAAGCTCCTCCACAGATTTATAGCCACAAAAATGTCCACACCTTATTTTTAATGAATTCATTAAAACTAGTAAAAATATTACCACTTATTACATTTCTAGTCTCTAGGTTGAAATGTGTTTGAATAAGTTCCATTTCTGTGGATGTGGAATCAAAGTCTTTCAGGGTGCATATATGTGGCTGTTGAACTTCATGCTTAAAGTAAAAGCCTTGGCAAGCTTGCCTGTTGTTCAGGAAACAGCAGCACATGGCCCATCCTGGTAAATATCCTCAGACAGCTTCCCTGAAGTTTGCTGGGCTGCACTCTTTGCCCAAAAACTCTGACATAAGACAGAAATGGAAAAGAAATGTTACATGGAATAATAGAATTGAAAATTCTTTGGGTCTTTTCGAGGCAGCCCACATTCCTTGGCTCATGGCCTTCTTCCAGCCTGTAACCTCAGGACACCGACCTCTGTTTCTGTCATCACATCTCCTTATCAGCCTCTGACCTTCCCGCCTCCTGCTTATAATGGCCCATGTATGATCGATCAGTCCACCAGACAATCCAGGACAGTCTCTCCATCCATGATCCTTAACTTAATCACACCTGCAAAGTTCCTTTCCATGTATACTAACATATCCACAGGTTTGGGGGATTAGGACATGAACATCTCTAGGGGGCCATTATTCTGTCTACTGCACTCACTTGTCATGTTGAAACATTGTGCTGGGAAAACTAGTATGTTAGATTACAGAGTGCTGTCCCAGTCCCTACTAGACTTGTTATAAAATATAACTTCTGAAATGAAAAAAAAATCTGATTCAAAAATACATCTGCTCCTAAGGATGTAAGATAAGAATAGAGACTTATATAGATCATTTCAGGGGATAATAAAGCTATGAAGAAAAATAAAGTAGGGTAAATTGGTGAGAGAGAGAGAGAGTGTGTGTGTGTGTGTGTGTCTGTGACAGAAGGCTTTTTTGATAAAGTGGCTTTTGAGCAGAAACCTGCAGGAATGAGGGAATGAGTCATGTATGTGATCAAAGGGAGCATTGTTAAAGGAGGAGGGAAGATCAAAGGCAAGGCTCCCAAGGTGAGTGCATGCTTCACATGCCCAATTGTTTGCAAGGAAGCCAATGCGAGCTGAAGTGGAATGCAGAAGAAGGGCTTAGGAGGTGAAGCAAGAGAGGCAAGAGTGCTTAGGTGGGGACTGGGCATCAGACTGGGTCCTTGATTACATAGAGCCTTGGAAACCATGATCAAGACTGCGGATTTGATTCTTGGGCAGGTGGGGACACCAGCTGCTATGATAAGCACCAAAACTACAAAGATAATCAAGACATGGATCTTATCCCTTAAGGAGCTGTAGTTTAGTGATAAAGAAATAGTATCCCATCACCACAATTTTGGCATTTAAAGATGGCAGAGGATACAGAAAAGATACCAGTAAGAAAGTGACAATGAGTAGGTATAGAGACTGGCTTGGTTTGGAGAGTCAAGGAGAAGGCAACTGCTTGGCTTTGGTTTTGTACTCCTAGCCCCTCAAAAGTGGGATACACCAGCTAAATATGTTTCATATCAAATATACTTGTTCATACTTGGTAAATACTTAATATTATTATTAAAGGTAATAGTTAAAATTCTTAGTCAATTCCCCCCATTTTAATGTAATAGAGCATTCCTTTATCAAATAATGCCAAAGCTTTTAAAATCTTAACAGTATATTTTACTTTTACTTTAAATTATCTCGTTATTTTTCAGTTAACTTAGTACTTTTTATTGAAAAGACCATACCACTGCCATTCCATTTTATTTATTTATTTATTTATTTATTTTTATTTCAATAGGTTTGGGGGAAACAGGTGGTGTATGGTTCTATGAATAAGTTCTTTAGTGGTGATTTCTGAGATTTTGGTGCACCCACCACCCGCACAGTGTACTGTACCCAATGCGTAGTCTTTTATCTTTTTATCCCTCAGCTCCCTCCCATCCTTTCCCCCACTTGCCTAAGTCCATTGTATCATTCTTACACTTTTGTGTCCTCATACCTTAGCTCCCACTTATGAGTGAGAACATATGATGCTTGGTTTTCCATTCCTGAGTTACTTCACTTGGAATAATGGTCTCCAAATCAATTCAGGTTGCTGCAAATGCCATTATTTCATTCCGTTTTATGGCTGAGGTAGTATACCATGGTATATCTACACACATTTTCTTTATCCACTCATTGATTGATGTGCATTGGGGCTGGTTCCATATTTTTGCAATTGCAAATTGTGCTGTTATAAACTACGTGTGCAAGAATCTTTTTTATATAATGACTTCTTTTCTTCTGGGTAGATACCCAGTAATGGGATTGCTGGATCAAATGGTAGATCAATTTTTTAGTTCTTTAAGGATTCTCCACACTGTTTTCCATAGTGGCTGTCTTAGTTTACATTCCCACCAGCAGTGGAAAAGTGTTCCCTTTCCACCACATCCACACCAACATCTATTATTTTTTTTATTATAGCCATTCTTGCAGGGGTAGGGTGGTATCGCATTGTGGTTTTGATTTGCATTTCCCTGATCATTAGTGATGTTGAGCATTTTTCATGTTTATAGCCCATTTGTATACCTTCTTTTGAGAATTGTCTATTCATGTCCTTAGCTCACTTTTTGAAGGGATTGTTTGTTTTTTTCTTGCTGATTTGAGTTCCTTGCAGATTCTGGCTATTAGTCCTTTGCCAGATGTACAGATTCTGAAGATTTTTTCCCACTCTGTGAGTTGTCTGTTTACTCTGCTTGCTGTTTCTTTTGCTGTGCAGAAGCTTTTAAGTTTAAGTCCCATCTATTTATCTTTCTTTTGTTGCATTTGCTTTTGAGTTTTGGTCGCATTTGCCTTTGGGTTTTGGTCATGAAGTTCTTGCGTAAGCCAATGTCAAGAGGTGTTTTTCCAATATTATCTTCCAGAATTGTTATGGTTTCAGGTCTTAGATTTAAGTCTTTGATCTATCTTGATTTGATTTTTAGGTGAGAGATGAGGATCCAGTTTCATTCTTCTACATGTGGCTTGCCAGTTATCCCAGCACCATTTGTTGAATAGGGTATCCTTTTCCCACTTTATGTTTTTGTTTGCTTTGTCAAAGATCAGTTGGCTATAAGTATTTTGCTTTATTTCCAGGTTCTCTATTCTGTTCCATTGGTCTATATGCCTATTTTTATACCAGTACCATGCTGTTTTGGTGACTATGGCCTTGTAGTATAGTTTAAAGTCAGGTAATGTGATGCCTCCAGATTTGTTCTTTTTGCTTAGTCATGCTTTGGCTATGTGGGCTCTTTTTTTGGTTCCATATGAAATTTAGAATTATATTTTTCTAACTCTGTGAAGAATTATGGTGTTATTTTTATGACAATTGCATTGAGTTTATAGATTGCTTATGGCAGTATGGTCATTTTCACAATATTGATTCTACCCATTCATGAACATAGGATGTGTTTCCATTTGTTTGTGTTGTATGATTTCTTTCAGCAGTGTTTTGTAGTTTTCTTTGTAGAGGTCTTTTACCTCCTTGGTTAAGTATATTTCTAAGTATTTTTTTTTTGCAGCTATTGTATTTTCTTGCAGCTATTGTAAAAGGGGTTGAGTTCTTGATTTGACTTTCAGCTTGGTCACTGTTAGTGTATAGCAGAGCTACTGATTTGAGTACATTAATTTTGTATCCTGAAACTTTGCTGAATTCATTGATCAGGTCTAGGAGCTTTTTGGATAAGTCTTTAGGGTTATTTAATTTCTATGTATTTGTATGGTTTTGAGGATTCCTTTTGGAGTTGATTTCCAATTTTATTCCACTGTGGTCTGAGAGAGTACTTGATATAATTTTGATTTTCTTAAATTTATTGGGACTTGTTTTGTGTCTTATCATGTGGTCTATTTTGGAGAATATTCTGTGCTGATGAATAGAATGTATATTCTTCATTTGTTGGATAGAATGTTCTGTAAATATCTGTTGAGTCCATTTGTTCTAGGGTATAGTTTAAGTTGTTTCTTTGTTGACTTTCGGCCTTGATGACCTGTCTAGTGCTGTCAGTGGAGTATTGAAGTCCCCCACTATTATTGTGTTGTTGTCTATCTCATTTCTAAGGTCTGGTAGTAATTGTTTTATAAATTTATAAATTTGGGAGCTCCAGTGTTAGGTGCATACATATTTAGAACTGTGATATTTTCTTGTTGGAAAAGTCCTTTTATCCTTATATAATATCCTTCTTTGTCTTTTTTAACTGTTGTTGCTATAAAATTTGTTTTGTCTTAAATAAGAATAGCTACTCCTGCCCACTTTTGGTGTCCATTTGCATGGAATATCTTTTTCCACCCCTTTACCTTAAGTTTATGTGATTCCTTATGTGTTAGGTGAGTCTCTTGAAGACAGCAGTTACTGTCTGGACATCCAGATTGGTAAAGAGGGAGTCAAACTGTCAGCTTTTGCTGATAATGTGATTGTAATTTTTCTATTGCCATTACAATTCCATGACTCATTTTAACTTTAGGTTTGGATAATTCAAAGCATATTTTTATAAGAGTTTTATTAAATAGTTTTCTAGGGAGAAGATTCATAAATTGATTACATTTTAAAGTGATATTTTTTCAGAAAAAAATTTGATTTTAACACAGTTTTACCAATACTATTTTTTTTTAATGAACAGGACTTCTGGAAACTTTTCAAAACAATAATGCATTACTTGACCAAATTCAGAAGTGCCTAGAGGCATACTTAGAATCAAAAAGAGTTATCTTTCCAAGGTAAGTTTATAAAGCAACCTAAGATATTTTTTAGTAGTTATGACTGTCAATCAAGTTGAGGTTATAATTATAACCTCAAAGCATGAAGGAACTAGAGAGAGAAACAAAAAAGATCTACGATAATGAAAATCCAACTAGTTATCGTAATTGAGGAGTATAAGTCTCAAGGATAAAATACAATATTCAATAAATAGTTAA
The DNA here is from genome assembly GCF_000001405.40 of Homo sapiens. NCBI lineage: Eukaryota > Metazoa > Chordata > Mammalia > Primates > Hominidae > Homo > Homo sapiens. The sequence goes on from NC_000002.12 coordinate 84,617,181, forward strand.
GTGGGTAAGTAAGATGCTGAAACAATTTTTTTTATTTTAATTTTTGTCAGTATATTGTAGGTGTGTTATGGGGTACATAACATGTTTTGACATAGGCGTGTAATGCATAATAATCACATCATGTAAAATGGGGTATCCATCCCCTCAAGCATTTATCCTTTGTGTTACAAACAATCCAGTTATACTCTTTTAGTTATTTTTAAATGCACAATTAAATTATTACTATTAAATTATCATTATTATTGATTATTAAATTAAATTATTATTGACTATAGTCACCCTGTTGTACTATCAAATACTAAGTCTTATTCATTCTTCCTATTTTTTGTACCCATTAAATATCCCCACCTCCCCAGCCCCAACCCTTCCACTACCCTTCCCAGCCTCTGGTAACCATCCTTCTCCTCTCTATCTCCATGAGTTCAATTGTTTTGATTTTTAGATCCCACAAATTGAAATGATTCTTGATCACCCCATTGTTTTACTGTTTTATTGTTGAATGAATATGTGTGCCTGTGTGTGTGTGTATATGTGCACAAACATGTGTGTAAAAAGTTAAGAGAGACCGGTGTTGCCTGAGCAATTTTCTTTAGATTAATTGGTGGGGATGCATGTTAAGCTCTCCAAGATGCCTAGTCTTGAGGAGAGTGAACCCCACCCTTTCTCGTGGGCATAGCGAGCACCTTTAGTACATCTCTCTACCAAAAAATCTTCCTATCTCTAGCTGTCCAGCCTCTCCAGCTTTAACACTTTCATACCCTCAAGTGAGTGAGGACTCTAGAGTCTTCACCTATCTCCCCATGAGTCAGCCCCAGGTGACCTGACATCTCATTTTGAAATGTGACAACTCTAGTCCTAGAACTTCAGCCAGAACTGAAACTGAAATTTTAACATCTAGTTATATTACTTGGGAAAGATTTGGTCAAAAACACAGAAGCCACTCTAAGTGTTTAGAGCAAGTTTCATGCAGGGAATTAGAAGTTTTCACTGGTGCTAGAGGCAGAAGAAGGGAAGAACTGAGGACCACTTTGAGGAAATCTGGAAATACAGGCAGAGGTCTCAGGGAAGTGCCACCAAAGTCTCGGCTTCCTGCAACAAGAAAGGGAGGGATTGTCAGGAGGACACCTGAAAACCAAGGATAAAATCCCACCAGCTTCAGTCATCCATGCTCAAGTTGGGGAATAATGGCTTTGCTTCCTCCCACCTTCTCAGTCACATAGAAGAGCATCTCATAGGCAGCATTTAATCTGAAACCTTACTGGAAAGAGATTCTAGAAATGTCATTCCAGCTTTTCCCTGATGCAGGGATATTGCTAAGTTGACAATCAACAATCTAGAGCATTCACTAAATGCTGGTTTATACATTTAGTCCTCCAGAACATGAGAGAGTTGGGGATAGGAACAGCAGTAAAAAGGACCCGTGATTGGAAAAAAAAAAAAAAGTTTGAAAATCACTGTCTTAAATGTTAATAGTTAATTGCTGTAACCTATTCTAGTATGAACTAGGATAGTCAGTTGGGATAATAAATCAAATTCCTTTTGAGTGATTTGGAGAGATTAAACATAATACAAGAACTATATTACATGAAGTCTGGCATTTAGAATATTTTTGGTTATCTAGAGCAGGGACAAACAATTTTTTTTCATAAAAGGTCACATAGTAGATACTCAAGGCTTTGTAGGCTTTACATTCTCTGTAGTCAGGTCCGCTATTGGAACACAAAGGGAGCCACAGACAGTACGTCTGCATGGCTGTGTGACAATGAAACGTTATTTACAAAAACAGGTGGTGGGCCAGATTTGGCCTGGGGCTGTAACTTGCCAACCCCAATCTATAGCAAAATAATCTTCTTTAAGTTTACAATTTCCTTTACCTATCTTGCTGGTAATAATATGGAATATATATAAATGTTTTATTTCTACATAGGTATAGCCTCACATGGTTGGAAATGGTGTGCTGGCAAAATTACATTATGCCAATTTTCACAGTAGCACATGCTGCAGGGAATAGCAAATGCCTTTGGGTTAAGAGAATGGCCCAGTACACATTCACACAACCCAATAAGGTTCTCCTGCAACCACCCATCCATCTGTTAACTCTTCAGCAAATAATGTATTGAATACCAGGTATGTGTGACATACTAGGCTACATTTTAGGGAAAACAAATAATACATCTTCACTCTGGAGGCTTAAAGCCAGGTAAGACAGATATGTGAACACATCAGTTTCTAGCATTTTTACAATTTTATGAACAATATCTATCTTTTATGTACTAGACACTAATTCTAGGTGTGCATCATCACACCTAAATGCGTCATCACTAATTTTCACAGAAATCATGTTTAGAGATATGTGGCTTCCCCAGAAACCCATGACCAGTATAATTGGAGGTCCAGGAAATTGGTGGACAGGGAAGAGATGTGGCTAAGGAATTTATCTTTTATGTCTGTCTAAGACTTTACTTCCATTTCAAGTTATATTTTAAGGATGTTCTTTAATCCAGGTTTTACTTCTTGTCAAATGATGAACTTCTGGAGATTTTGGCCCAGACACGAAATCCACAGGCCGTGCAGCCACACTTAAGGAAATGCTTCGACTCCATTTCAAAGCTCGAATTTGCTCTCATGCCTCCTGCCGAAGGAAAGATTCCTGGTATTGATGGAGAACCAGAAAAGGTTTATACTAATGATATTTTAGCAATGCTGTCACCAGAGGGAGAAAGGGTGAGGTGCTTTTATTTATATTTCTTTATTGATGAACTTTGCTACTCCTCTAGGGTTATTCTCACTCTAAGCATACAGGTACTCTGTTGGCTCAGCAGTTTCAAGGATAACCAAGATAAAATTCTTGCCCTCAAAGAGCTCAAAGTCTAACAGAGAAGTAGTGGAACAAACAACTGAAAATCACCACAGAAAATGCAACAACAAAAACATGTGTTCTGTTGCCGGAAATAGAGTGTATAAAACTAGAACCATGTCTTATTTAACTCTCCACAAGAGGCACGCTAGTGGACTGGTTAAGAGTACTGGTTCTACTATCAGGCCACTTGGACTAAGTCCCATCCCTTAATCTCAGCCAAAAGATGGGGATTAGTAATTGTATCTGATTAATGGAATGATGAGCTCGTTCAGGGGATAGTGTATGTAAATTACTTAAAGCAGTACCCTGTGAGCACTATTTAAGTGTTAGTTGCTGGCAGCAGCATCTCCAGGGCACTGCACAGCCCCTGGCATATGGGGAACACCAAGAGAGTGAATATATTAGCATACTGTGAGGAACCAAGTGACTTCACAGAGGAGAGCCACACATATGCACACACACACAAAGTCAAGTATGATGGAAGGGAGAGTATCTTCTATGTGGGCATGGGAGACGTTTCACACACAGGAACTGTGTAGGGAAATGCTAAGGAATTGGGTCCAGTAAGAACACAGTGGTGTATCTATGGGAACATATAAACATTTTATTTGTTCTGAATTGATCCTCTTGCAAAAGAATTTGCTCATCACTGGTGCAGAAGAGAAGGGGGAAGACCAAGGATAGAATCTTGGGAAAACATGAAATTTAAAGAGAAGTTAGAAGAAGAGCAGATGAAGGAAGCCAAAACAGCCATGACAGTCAAGCCATTGGAAGTCCAAAAAAATAGATACAAGAACTGAAGTGTCATTTGGACTTTTCAGTTGGGAGGACATGGGAAAACTTGAGAATAGAAGTGATCAGGGACAAAAATCAGATAGCAGCAAGTAGGAAAGTGAAAATAAGTGGAGAAATCCATGCAGTGCATATAGACTCCTCTTTCAGGGAGTTGACTCCAAGTGGAAGCAGTAAAATAAAGCAATAGGTGGGGTGAAAGGAGATAGATGCATAGTGGAATGTCAATAGAAGTTTCAGTATTTGTGGTCAGGCTTCAGCGTTTATGTAGCTTAGGATTCTGTAATGGAAATACAGAAGGCATACAGCTTACAAGTCCCACACAAGCCACTTTATCAATGCTCTGATTACCTTTTAGGTTAGCTTGGGGAAAGGCCTCAAGGCCCGAGGCAATGTAGAGGAATGGCTTGGTAAAGTGGAAGAAGCCATGTTCACATCTCTGCGTCGCCTGTGCAAAGCTGCCATCGCTGACTATCAGGGGAAACTGAGGACAGACTGGGTGGTTGCTGGCCACCCTTCTCAAGTAACTCACACTCACATTTCATATCCCTGAATTCTTATTTGGTGATATGCATCACATATTTAAGAAACATGTTTTCTTGCAGGTTATCCTGACTGTTTCTCAAATTATGTGGTGCCGTGATTTGACTGAATGTCTGGAAACAGAACACAGTAATCATATACAGGCCCTGAAGAATTTTGAAAAAGTAAATTTTGAGGTGAGATCTGTAACAAAGTGACATTGTTGTCCTGCAAGATGGTCTTGGTGGGTTTTTTTTTAAAGCACAGTTAATGCAAATTCACTTTATTTCAGAAATTCTAATGCTCTGACATTTGTAATAGCTCTTACAAAGCTTTACAATTCTAAAATTATTTGTTTTACATTTTTTAGAGACACTATCTTACTTTTTGTGTAGTATTTATGTGAATACTTGTGAAAATAGGAGGAAAAACAATTCCAGAACAAAACACCAGGGTTATAATTGTTTGCAACTTTTAAGGACAAACTGTATTCACTAGTTCCTGGATACCTCTCAGGGAAGTTTATTCAGTCCAGGAAAACCTCCAGATTCATGCCATTACTATTTCTAGGCTCTAATTCTATTTCTGCTGTTTTGTAAAACTGTCAGGCAATTAACAATAAAACAATAAATAATTCAATGAATTTAAATACCATCAGGAACTTTTAGCTATAGCTGGGAAATGCTATTTTGCTAAATAGCATTTAAATAGCACTAAAACTTTATACTTGTTGAACAGCAACTCCACATTTCCTCCTCTCCCTAGCTCCCTGTAATCACCACTCTTTTTCTATGAATTTAACTATTTTAGATACGTCATATAAATAGATCATGCAGGATTATCCTTCTATGACTGACTCATTTCATTTAGCTTAATATCCTCCAGGTTTATTCATGCTACCACATGTTATGGGATTTCCTTTTTTTAAGTCTGAATAATAAATATTTCATTGTATGTGTATACCACATTTTCTTTTATTTTTTTCTTTTTTAAGAGACAGGATCTCACTCTGTTGCCCAGGCTGGAGTGCAGGGATGCGATCATAGCACACAGCTAATTATTTTTATTATTATTATTTTTTGTAGAGACAGGGTCTCACTGTATTGCTCAGGCTGGTCTCAAAAGCTTCCCTCAAGCAATCCTCCTGCCTTGGCCTCCCAAAGTGCTGGATTACAGGCGTGATAATCATGCCCAACTCACATTCTCTTTATCCGTTCATCCATTGATGGACACTTGTGTTATTTCCACATTTTGGCTATTGTGAATAATGCTGCAATGAACATAGGAGTGCAGATAGTCTCCTCCGGATCCTGACTTCACTTCTTTTGGATGTGTACCAGAGTGGGATTACTGGGTCATATGGTAGTTCCATTTTTAATTTTTTGAGGAGCCGGCATATTGTTTTCCATAATGCCTGTACCATGTTTATATTCCCACTGGCAGAATACCAGGGTTCTCTTTTCTCCACGCCCTTGCCAACATGGGTTATCTTTTGTTTTTTTGATAACAGTCACCCTAACAGTTATGAGGTGACATCTCATTATGTTTTTGATTTGCATTTCCCTTATGATTAGTGATGTTGATCATTTTTTCATATATCCGGTTAGCCCTTTATATGTCTTTTTCTGATAAATGTCTATTCTCTTCCCTTACTCAAGTTTTAATTGGGTTATTTGGTTTTTGCTCATAAGTTGTAGGAGCAATTAGACCCTTGTCTTACACCATACACAAAAATCAACTCAAAATGGATTAAGGATTTAAATGTAAGACCTGAAACTGTAAAATCCCTAGAAGAAGGCATAGGGGAAAAGCTTTGACAATGGCGTTGGCATTGATTTCTTGGATATAACACCAAAAGCACAAGCAACAAAAGGAAAAATAGATCAATGGGATTGCATCAAACTTAAAAGCTTTTGCACAGCAAGGAAACAATCAACAGAGTGAAAAGGCAATCTGGGGAATAAAGGAAAATATTTACAAACGGTATATCTTGTAAGGACCTAGGCCGACTCTTTTGACTCCAAATTCAATTCTACTTCCAAGCAATACTACATTTTTAAAGAGTCACCCTTAAAACAGAAAAATAAAACAACCTTATTGAATAAAACAACTTTATTGAAATACAACAACTTTATATATATTTATATGTAAATTTTCAATATTTATTTATCAAATAAAACAACTTTATTGAAGTAAGAGAAAACACTCTCATGAAATTCCTCAAAGAAACTTCATCTCCATAGCTTCAGAAAAGAGGAATGACTCCCTAAAAAAAGTTCCTTTGCCTCTGTGTAGAGGTGGTCCCTCATCAGGGTTGGCCCAAGTGACATTTCAGCACAATGGTGCAAGGTCCTCAGAGGCGCTGCTCTTCCTTGAAAAAGATTTAATTATTAAGGTAAAACTCAAGTAAAAATTTAGCTAACTCTTTCTGAAAATGTTTTCATTTAACCAGTCATTGGCTAGCTTAAAATGCTCAGATTTTCTGAATATTAATGGGAAAACCACCCCTAAAACTGAAGAGTATCACCTTTAACCACATTTAATTTTTAGGGAGGACACTCTCCTCTAGAGAATCATCACATAGTGGTTAAGAACGTGGGCTTTCCTCGAGGCAAATGTCTACTCAGGTCTCATTTTTGCTGCTTCATAACTCTGTGACTGCCATCAAGTTACTTATGCTCTCTGACCTTCAGTTTCCTCAAATGTACAATAGGGGTAAAGACAGTATATATTTCACAGAAGTCTTATGAGAATTAAATAAAAGTATTGTCCTGTTTGGTCACAAAATTATAGATTCTTAAAATTAGCTGGTTTTTAGCAATGTCTCTCCAAATTGAATGGTGAAAGAGATAATGTATATATGTAAGCTGATATTGGAAAATTCACCATGACAATTTTTTTTATTTGTAGAGATTAAATGCCCTAGCTGCAATAGTTCAAGGCAGTCTTCCTAAATTACACAGAAACATCCTAACTGCATTGATTACTATTGATGTGCATGCAAGAGATATAGTCACTGAACTTGTTCAATCCAAGGTAACTGTTTCATTTAAGTAAAATTATATACTTCTTTCTGAAATTAGTGTATCTAATATGTATATCACATATAGGTGGAGACAGTTGAATCTTTTGACTGGCAGAGACAACTGCGCTATTACTGGGATATAGACCTGGATAATTGTGTGGCTAGAATGGCGCTCTCTCAGTACACTTATGGCTATGAATATTTGGGTGCATGCCCAAGATTGGTTATTACTCCACTCACAGTAAGTTATTGATCACTTGGGTTAATATTGACACAAGAGTGCTTTTCAATCAAAAGTCTTGAAAAGTTTCATATGACATTAACTCTTGAAAGAATTTATTATGAATACATCTTTGTAAAGCAAATATTTGCATTATTTAATTATGTGCATGGATCTTTTGGTGTATTTCAATTGCTATATTTTTCATAGAAAATAATAATCCTTCCCCCATAGAGAGGAAATGCCTTAATTTGTGGCCAGAGTTGGTTCCCTTCATATTGATAATGCATTGCTTTCTTCAGGATCGCTGCTATCTTTGCCTCATGGGAGCTTTGCAGCTTGACCTTGGGGGTGCACCAGCTGGTCCTGCTGGCACTGGGAAAACAGAGACTACCAAAGATCTGGCAAAAGCTCTTGCCATCCAGTGTGTGGTCTTTAACTGTTCAGATGGTTTGGACTACAAGGTACAGTTCTTGCATCTGAATATTAACATTAAGTGTTTTATGTGTCTTTCTCTATTTGCAACATGACATAACAAAATAAGGCAAGAATGGAGTGATGACAAGCAAGAGAAAAGAAATGGGGTAAATAATGGTTAAAGTGGAATAAATAGAGCAAGGGAGAAGAGTCAACACGTGGTGGTCTGGGTAGTCTGGATAAGAATCAAGGCCAGGGGATGATTTGTCAAATGGTGAAAAAAATAAAAATCTGTACATGTCAGTAAGAAGAAAGAAACGAGATGAGGTACAAGATAGAATAGCAGGGAAACCGAAGAACAAGGACTAAGCTTAGAGTAGGAAATTGGCAATTTAGAGAATGGTGTATTGAACATGAAATATGTGGGAGGTGAGAATTCATGGTAAGGTTTTTCAATACAGTGGTTCTCAAACTTTTTGGTCATGGGACCCCTTTACACTCTTAAAAATTATTGAGACTTCCAAAGAGCTTTTGTTCATATGGGTTACGTATGTTGATATTTACCATGTTAGAAAAAATTAAGTAAAATATGTTTTATATATTTATTTGTTAAAAAAATAACAGTAAGCCCATTATATGTTAACTTAAACATGTTTTTGTAAAACAAAACTTCCAAACAAAAAACATTGTCCCACTATTTTATATTTTTGAAAATCTCTAATATTTTCAAGATATTGCTATTATGCTAATATTTGGCATAATAGAAGACAGCCAGATTCTCTGATTTGCTTCTACATTCAGTCTGTTGGGATATGTTTTTTTGGTTGAACATTTGAAGAAAATCTAACCTCACACAGATATGGACTCTGAAAAGAGGAATTTTTTTAAATAACTTTTTCAGTTAATTGTTTATACTCTTCTTTGAACTACACCAAAACTTGACAAATGTTAGTTTCTTAAAGGTTATTTGCTATGTTAAAACTTAAACCATATACACATCTTTTCGTACTCTATACTCTCATGAGAGAGTGAGAATGAAAAAGGCATATAACACCTTAGTATTATTATGAAAACACTTTGGCCTCACAGATCCCCTAAAAAAAAAACTCATGGATTTGCAGGGATCCTTGTTTGGCTTTATTTTTTCTGGTGGTTGCTATTTAAACTGTAAAAACATACATTTGTTTCTATATTTTTATGTACCCACTTTGGACACTATCTGCCAACATATTAAATAGATGAGGATTTTATTAGACACAACTTTGTGTGTCTAATGAAGTTGGACTTTCTATTTCAACCTCACTTTTACCATGTCAAGTTTTATAAAATTTGTATTTTATTCTATAACTAAATTATGTCTTCACTGCTTTGTCTGGGGGCTGAACATAAAAATGTAAATCCCTTATACAGTGCTTATAATATCAAAGATTGTTCATAGTGGAATTTAATAGAATAATTGGCCCCACAGAGAAAGATCAATACATATATCACAAACCCCTGCCATTCAAAGTAAACATCCTAAGCTTCAGGGTTAGTGGACTGTGTTTTCTTTCCACTTTCTTTACTTCTTCTAGAACCATTATTTTTCTCTTTTTTTATTTTTTATTTTGAGACGGAGTCTCGCTCTATTGCCCAGGATGCAGTGGCTCAATCTCGGCTCACTGCAACCTCTGCCTCCCGGGTTCAAGCAGTTCTCTGCCTCAGCCTCCTGAATAGCTGGGATTACAGGTGCCCACCACCACACCCGGCTAATTTTTGTATTTTTAGCGGAGATGGGGGTTTCACCATCTTGGCCAGGCTGGTCTGGTCTTGAACTCCTGACCTCGTGATCCACCCGCTTTGGCCTCCCAAAGTGCTGGGATTACAGGCGTGAGCCACCGCGCCCGGCCAGAACCATTATTTTTCTAACTACTGTGTGCTGTGAATCACCCGGAGATATTTATTAAACTACATATTATGATCTGCAGGTCTGGGGTGGGGCCTGAAATTATGCATTTCTGACATCCGCCAAGGTGGTGCAAATCGATACTGGTCCACTTTGAGACCGTGGTTCTGAGAGCGTGAACCCTGAACCAACAGCATTAGCATCACCTGACAACTTGTTGGAAATGCAAATTATAAAGCCCCACCTCAGACCTACTTAATCAGAACTTTGGAGCTAGAGCACAGCAACAAGAGGCTTTTTTGAAACAAACTTCCAGGTGATTCTGATGCACACTCAGATTTCAGGACCACTGTTCTAGAGTAGATTCAGCTGCCACTGTTTTTTGTATTTCAGTTTTGCGTCTTTCTTATGTTTCATTTTAATTTTGTTGGAATACTTCCTTGAGCAATTTTTTTCCCATTCAAGTTTATAAATATTCTGTCTTTACTGAGTCATCATACTTGATTGATAATTTGTAGAGGGTGGAATTATAGGTTTAAAATGATTTTCTCACCTGACTTTGAAGGCCTCACTTCATTGTATTCTAGTGTGCATTTTGCTAATGATAAAACTGATCATGGCTTAATACATTTTGGAGGTTTAATAATATTTTGCTTCCTCTCTGTCTGTGGCAGCTTATAGGATTTTCTCTTGATCCTCGGTATTATGAAAATCTACCAGGATGTGTCTAGATGAAATAATTTTCTTTATTCATTTGGTTTGTCATTTTGGGGAACTCTTTAATGAGAAAAATATGTCTTTTGTCAGCCTAGTGAGACCTCATTTTATTGCTTCTTTGCTTATCATTATGTCTCTGTTCTCTGCTCTGGGCCTCCTACTTCTGTTCTCCACTTCTCTTACCCTCATATTTTCTCTTGCTTGTTGCTAATTTTCTTGTATTTGTTTAGATTGCTAAACACATAAACACACTTATTTTATATTTTAAGCAACAATAAAAATAAATAAACTTATTGAAAGGTTACTGAGATAGTGGGATATCTCATGGAATCCAGAGAAGAGGTGAGCATGACTCAGGCTGAGTAGGAACTAGGGCAGCCAACTCCTTGGCATTGAGAACTTTAGAGCCTTCTCTCTAGAACCTCGCCAAGAAAACAGCAAGGTCACATTTCAACTTTTGAAAGTAGGATTCTAATTGGCAAAGTGGGTTCAAGTGATCACCCCTAGATTCGTGAGCAATAGCCAGAAGAAGGGGGTATAGTCTGATTCATACAGGCATGGATGGCTGTTGAGAGCTAGATGTGGTAAGCAGTTTCCAGAGAAAGAGGAATGGTATCCTCTAACGGTTTCTGCAACATAAGATTTCTAAGCAAAACAAGATTGTCTCCAAGGGCTGTTATTTTCTGCCTTAAATGTCCCTTCATGTGTGGATGTTCCCCAGGGCTCTGACCAGTCCCCTTTTCCTGTTTTCTCTACCTGCTTTTTCCGGTTCCTGACAACTTCATAAGAGAGAGGAGAGATTTGGGCAGGAGGAGGTTACACTACAGATCCTTGGTCAGATGCACTACCTTTCCCAAGACCTAGTTCCTGCTTCTCCAGGAACTCTTTTGCCCTAAAGTTTTCCTCAGGATTTGGTCTACTTTGAAGCTCTTCCTTTCTACAAAAAGCAAATGAAATATTCAAGCACTGGGTTGAGACTTTGTGTTTAGACTCAGCAGAAGGCATATTATCTGATTTACCTTCCCAGCATTCCTCTGTGATAGGTGTTGTCATCACTGCACAGATGGGAGTGAGATTTGGAGCAGTGAAGTAACTCGCCAGCAGTCACCACTAGAAAATGTCAGAGAAAGAATTTGAACACGTCCTTTGATTCAAGTCAAATGTTCTCTCCCATTTTAAAAAAAAATACATATTATATGCAAATTTAGAAACATAAAAAGATATGAAGAATAAAATAATGAATATCTACTTAGCCACCTCCCAGCTAAGAGATAAAATGTTACCAGCGCACTTGAAATCCTCTGTCTCTCTTCACCAGGGGTAACTTCTATTCTGAATTTGGGGGTTATTATTCACATGTGTGCATATGTGTGTGTGTGGTCCTAAATTTAAAACGTAGTATCATTCTGTGTGCTACATTCTACATTTTGGTTTTTCCACTGAGCACTTTGTCTATGAGATTCATCCAGGCTAATACTATAGCTCTATTTTTTTAATTCGTTTTCACTGCTCTGTTTTTATGATTTTTTTCATCCATTCTCTTTCTGATAGGTATTTGGGTTGTTTCTAATATAGTATTTGCTACTGTAAGCAATGCTGCAATAAGCATTATTACACAGATCTCCAGGTGAATGGGTGCCTGGTTTATTTGGCTTGGAATATAGGAGTTGGTCTCAAGGTACATATACGTATCATATTGACTCAATAAGGACAAATGCTTCTTCCGTGATTGTGGTAATTTATACTCCCCCTGCAAATGTATAAGAGCTGCCTATGCTCCACATCCTTGCCCATGCTGTCAGGTTCCATAACTGTTGTCAGTCTGAGGAGTATGAAATGGTATCCCATTGTATTCTCCTGGTTACTAATGAGGTTGAATGTCTTTTCAAATGTTTATACTGTAGGATTTCTCATCTGTGAAATACCTATTTACATCTTTTCTCCATGTTCTCTTGGCTTGCTTATGCTTTTTTAAATTGATTAATAGTGTTTTTAATATGTTATTGATACTGATTTCTTCTCTCAGTTAGGTATTATCTCTTAGTTCTGTCCTCTAAAAAGGGACATTGACAGCCTAAAAATAGTGATCACCTCTAGTACCCAGACTGTGGTCTTAAGTACCTTTTCCTACTGAAAGTAACCAGAGCTGGTTCTAGGTCTGGGGCAGGAAATGCATAAAATGAGCCTGCAACATCCTGTCCTATCTGAAATAGCCACAACAAAATACCAAAAATTGATGTGACCATATCAATAATCAGAATGTTACTAAAGAGGATCTCATTGACCAAAGATGGGACAATGCAAGAATGATAATAATAACTGGAATGGATCAAAACACATAAAACATTTTTAAATTCATGAATATACAATGATTAACCAAAAAATGTAAAACAAAAAACTCATTGATTACCTTAGAGGTTTCCAGGGAAACAACTTATTTGAAAAATTGATAAAGAAAAAGAATTAAGTATTTATCCTGCCTTTTCTGTGGACTGTTTTTTGGGGTAATAAAAAAGTTGATGAGGAAAAATTTTTATAGAATAATCACAACTAATAAATGCAGAAGGGATGATAACATTAGAAATTACTATTTTGCAACCTTCAAAAAACAATATATCTAGCAATGGCCATCATTGCTAAAACCACTAAAGACTAATTGGAAAATTTATAATGGACGAATCAGACTAGTAATCCATCGATCACAACTTTGACAATCAAAAAATACATATCTCCTGTTATGATATACAAGCTATGAATTATTCCTGTTCAAAAAAAAATTAAACTTCAACCTAATGAATCTAATGGAGTCTCTAGATTTAAATACCAGTTTTCAAGAAGTACAGGTGTATGAGATAAAGGACCATGTTAACACCACAAGAATACAATCAGCTAAATATGGAATCAGGGGAATTCTATAGGGAAAATAACTTACAGACCTTCAAAAATAAATTGCATAAAAGAGAGAGGATTCAGGGAACTGCTATAAATTTAAAGAGATTTAAGAGACACAGTAACCAAATGCAATGTTTGTACCTTGCTTGTATCTTTGTCGGAACAAACCAATTGTAAAAGGATAATATCAGTACCATTGAGGACAATTGAACAAGATATTAAGTAATGGGTTTTTCTTTGGGTAGGTTAGCAGTATTGATTTGGGTAATTTGGGGTTCTTATGTGTTACAGAGTTTATTGTGAAACAATATGATGTCTAGGGTTTGCTTTAAAATAACAACAAAAAATGTTGGAGAGTATTTTGAAAATAGAATGTTGGTAATTTTAAGCTGGGTGGCATATACCTTCTTTCACCTCTTGTGTATGTTTGAAATTTTTCAAAATAAAAAGTTTTTTTAAAGTAGAAATCATCACAAAATAAAATGATAGAAATAACACCAAAACTTATTTCTAATGGTCAATTAATTGCTACACAATTCGTCTCTGAAAAACAAAACAAAACAAAACAAAATAGCCCCTGACTGCTCTCCGCTGAGAGCCGACCTGACTCAGACTATTTGCTTCTCCGGTTGAACACAAACAATTTCACAGACCACCAACTACAGACCAGGTCACGATGCATCCATTATGGAATGAGATGCCATAATCGTGTCTGAAAACACACAAGAATGCTGTCCAAACCACAAAAAATAATCTAATATCCCCCTCTCCAGGCTAAGCTGTGTAACTGCTTCACCTTTACCAATGACAGCCTCAGCCTCCTGTATAATGTTATTATTATATCCATCATAAACTTGCCCCTGCTTCCTACCAGCACCTAATCCACAGTGTTGTGGATTGAATTGTGTCCCCTCAAAATATGTTCAAGTCCTCATGCCTAATATCTGTGAATGTTACCTAATTTGGGCCTTTACATTTATAAAGACTCAGATGTTTAAAATGAGGCCATACTGGAATTCTACAGGCCCTAATCCAATAACTAACTAGTGCCTTTGTAAGAAGAGAAAAATGTAGATATAGATACACAGAGAGAAGGCAGCCAAGTGAAGATACACAGGAGGTGGAGATCAGAGTGATGCAGTACAAGAAGCCAAGGAATCCCAAGGGTTGCCGGCAACCACTAGAAGCTACCAAGAGGCAAGAAAGAATCCTACCCCCAAGAGCCTTCAGAATGAGCATGGCTTTGTTGATACCTTTATTTCAGACTTCTAGCCTCTAGAACTGTGAGAGAATAATTTTCTGCTGCTTTAAGCCCTTCAGTTTATGGCAATTTGTTATAGTAGCTCTTAAAAACTAATAGAGCAAAACCCTTCTTCACTGACCCTTCCCCAGAATTTTCTAACATAAGCCCAAATCCTATGACAAGTCCTCCTAATATCCTTTTACCAAGAGAAACCTTGGTTCCCCACAGAGTGTGGTCTCCCTTGTTGGAACAAGTGGTAAACCCAATTGCGTCTGACTACAGGTATGTCCTGGTTATCTTTGGCCTGTAGGCATTGACCCTGTCCTTCACTTTTGTTGAAAACAAAGAATTGGAGATCACCTGACTTGAAAAAGTATTTGTTAACCAGTCAGTCATTGCAAGCATTCCTGCGTTCATGATCAATATTTGGAACTGCTCCTTTGTTTGGCACCCTGGAGGTTTTTGCATCCTGGGGCAATGCACCACAGTAAGATCTGGTTTGGATAAGAGCAAGGCTGCCAGTATCATCTGCTGAGCCTCTACACCTGTGGCACGCGTTCACCAAGTCACCAGCCGTGTCAGGGCTGGATTTCAAACCCCCCACTCTCCTCCTCAGCCAGGCACAAACTGCAGAGCCAGGAGTGGCAGAGAAAGAGGGTCATTTTTGAAGAGCAAACGGAAATGAAGAACCACCATGACCACAGACATGTTCTCAAAGAGAAAAATATTAGCAAAGAGTCTGTGTCACAGATCAAGATCTGGAATTTTCTTTGTTACTTCCTTTAAAACTGTTCAAAAGTATCCCTTGGGAAGTCTCCACGTATGCCAGGACTTACATGTATGCTAAGTATGAAGACCATTCCTCTACAATATGGAAGCATTCTGCAGCTTTGTTGTACAGAACACCAACTTAGTCTTTAGTCCTGTCCATGCTATCATTCCATGCATTCATTCAACTTCTCTTACCTTGTCTATATTATTACTAATTTCCAGGGACTGTTTCTTATCTCTGACTAATCCCTTTTTTTAGAGTATCTTGTTTTATTTTAGGAATGTGTTTCCCTCCCAGATCTCTCTGAGGATTCCATTTCAATTTTGTAAAATTACTTTCTGTTCCCTAAATTATCTCCACTTTCTCCAAAGTTGCCCGTTAGTTTATTCTTCTCATTCTTTCTCTTTCTTGAATCTTCACCTATTGGTTCATAAGTATAGATGAAGGACTAATTTAATTAGTGTAAACAGCTTGTTTCCCCCAAATGCCCCTTCCTTGAATGAAAGAACTACCAAGAGCTCTGTGGAAGTATAGAATGTGTGGCCAGCAGGCTTCTTCATAGAATGTATGCACACGGAGCAGCCAGTAAGTGAGAAAGCCCACATCGAATGCCAAATAATAAGGATTTTCCTTCTAAAGTAGTACATTTCAGTGGGTTTCACTTTCTTTTATTATTTTTGAATCTCGGCGACTGAAGTGGAAGTCTGGAACCATCTTTCTCTCCTTGTCTCTGCTTTCCTTATCTCCCAAGCCTAATATCGTCTCCCAGTATCTCCTAATATTAATATCTCCCCAAGGCAGATCTCCCCCTTTGCTTATGAGGCAGTCCTTCATTTTAGCCTGGTGGGGATCTCAGCACTAAAATCTCAAGAGCCCTGTTTAGTCTGCTTGGGGTGAGAGGAAGGGAGAACAGAGAGAGGAAGGACCCATAAACCCAATCATTCCAAGTGTGGATCTTTGCCTCATTTCCAAATATTTCTCTAGGGCCTGTGTCTGCTTTGCTGCATGTATGTATTCATGTTGCATGAATTGCAACTTGTGTATATTGATATTGGGTTTGGAGTTTCTTAGAGACCTCATGATGGGCATTACTCCTCTCCCTCTGTTTTGGGGCTGCAATTCTCCCTTCTCAGTTGAACAGTCTGTTTCCCTATGCTTTCCATATTCCAGCTTTTTTTTTTTCAAAACCTTCTTCCTGCTGGCTTCCCTTTCCATTATGTTTTTATCAAGCAGGTACAGGTATAAGTGTGGTCACAGAAAAGGAGAGAGATATGCACACAGATCTATCAGCCTTTCTGTGATTTGTGGGAATCGGAGGAAGGGGGGAAGTAGTATGTGTTCAGTTGACCACCTTGAAATTTAAAACCACTAGTTCTATTACTAAAGAGATAGATATATGGTATAATGCAAGATTTATATACATGCTTAACCAATATCTCAAGTGCCCAAAAGAAATGCCACACTTTAGATGGTACATTCTTATTTTCCTCCACCATTAGGATTCTGCTGTAGAAGAAATTAAGAATCACTACTATAATCTGCACAGCTATGCCTTCTGCTCAGTAGTCCTTGTGTGTGTCTGCCATGTAGAATACCTTCTAAAGACAATGAAAGCTTCCATTAGTAAAATTTTTCAAGTTTTTTTAAAGTTCTTAAGTTTGTATGTTCCATGTGTTAAACTATTTGAGAATCTGTCAAGTATTTGCAGAGGTGAGTGGAGGTTATAAACAAGAAGGAAAATTGGTCAGATTGTCATTTTGTTTAAAAATAAAACAGATTCAAATCACTTAGAGAGACTCAAAAACATATTTCCTCTTGTAGAAAAGTGTTTACTTCTGACATAGACCAGTATTCACATAAAACTATTGCTTATTTGCAGATACCACCTCTTTTTTCTTTAATATTTCAGCTCAGAATTTAATTTTTGAAGGAGCTGAACTACACAATACAAAGTTGAACTGCTTTATTTTGATTTCAGATGATGGGGCGCTTCTTCAGTGGCTTGGCACAGTCAGGGGCCTGGTGCTGCTTTGATGAATTTAATCGAATTGACATAGAAGTTCTGTCCGTCATCGCGCAGCAACTCATTACCATTAGGAACGCCAAAGCGGCAAAGGTAAGGCACTGGGCAATCGACTTTCAAGGTAGCAATCCTTAAATTTGTCATTAACTCACAGAATGTTACATTTTAGGAAGGAGATGCTAAAAATGTTAGGGAGGAATCCTGGGGAGCCCAAGGGGACCTTGGCTCTCCAGAGCTCACTGGACTAGAAAATCCAAGGAATATGGTGCCAGATGAAGACACTGAGTGGTCCTGTTATTTAAAATTTGTTTTAGCCCCTTATTAGCATGTCTCTAGAGAAGGGATTTCATATTCAGAAGCTGATGGCAGTGAAGGTTGGGACCAAGTCTCTACCACTCTGTGTTGACCTTTGGAGATCTGGTCACAATGGGCAGCACTGGTGTTCAGCCTCTACAAACCAAAACAGCACTGCTCCAAGCCCTGTGAGGGCCCCCACTACTCCCTTGGCCCTTTCGGAAGAGCCCCAGACGTCCTCTCGATTCAACAATAAGGGTTCATCCTGGCACAGCACGGGGGACTCTGGACTCAGCTCTAGCTCCAGAGGCAGAGGCTATCTCATTGGAAGGTGTCCTGATAAGAGTTGTTAAATATTTTGATTATCGCCCTCTGCAAAAAAGCGAATTACAGAACAAATAAAAAGAAATCATGACTTGGACTATAGTGAGCTACTAAATTGTGTAAGTCATTATGGTATGTGCTCACACTTATTTCATCTTACACCAAATCTACGTGAAGTATATGTCATTTCCCCCAAGGTAATAGGTGAAAAGAATTCAAAGTTAAAAAAATATTTTCATAGACACCAAAAATTATTAGACTCTAAAGTCTAAGCTCCCTTATCTGTACTCCCTCTTGTTCCCGCATACTCTGGGGAGGCCTATATTAAACACAAGATCTTTAAATACAGAGATAGCATAGTCTATATTGTGCAAGTTATTATCATCTGGCTGAGCAATTCACTGAAAGCAAAGTATATGGAGTAAGGGGACAGGGACCAGAGAGAGTAGAGGCAGGATTGAAGCTTTGCCCACTGGAGAGCAGCTACATGAGGACAGAGGAGACAGGAGAGCATCTGCAAATAACCAGCCTCGTCCTGAAGCTGCCAGTGCCCTATGAGACAGTTGGGGTGGGGTATACTGTTTAGAATAGGTAAACTAAACCACAGAAATTGAGAGGTTTGCTAGCACAAGCAACCATTCAGCAGCAGCAGAAATGGTCTCCAGTTGTACCATGCATTCTCTCCTCCAGGCTGTGGCACATCACCTTACTCCATCCTGGTCTTCCCTGTATTCCTCATGTCTGTTGATAGCATCTTCATCTAGTGCCCAACTAGAAACCTGGAACTCACCTTGGATTTGACCCATCACTATTAATCCCAGAATCTAAGCCATCACCAAGTCTTGTTAATTTTATCTGCTAGATGCCTCTCCTCCCAACTTACACCTCTTGAATTCTGGCTCTCATTATGTCCCTAATGATCATTCCTTACTGGTCTCCCTGTCTGTAGCCTGTCCAACCTCTCTGCTGCCAATTTTGATCCTATCACTCTGCTTCCCCCCAAACATGGGACAAAATCTAAATTCCTTAGTTTAGTGTGCAGGACTCCTGATGCTCAGGCCCAGCCTAGCTATGCTTTCTGGAACTTTGCCCTTTAGCAAAGTAAATTGCTCATCATTTCCGGAACATGCAGTGTTGTTTCTTGCTCCTGCTCCCTTTTCCTGGAATGGCTGCCCCTGTTCCTCCACCTGAAACATCCTTCTTCCTTCTTCAGGTCCCAAGCAGGTTGTCTACTACCCCCATGGGCTTTGCACACACCTGCACTGTAGTATGTGTTGCACTGTGTGGTCATGGTTTCCAGGTTGATTGCAGACAGCAAGCCTGGGAGTTTCTGGAGATCTCAAGAGTGAGGCTCCTTCAGCTGTGTGCCTCCATGCCTCACCTATTGCCTCACCTGCAACAGGTGCTCAACAAGTGTTTGCTGTTAAGTAAAAGTGAAGGGGTGGTGACAAAAACAGTGACAGTGGGGCCTCAACAACTCAGACTAAGATTAAGTTGGAATTTCTTGGGGAATACCAGAAAGTGGGAGTGGAGAAGGTTTAATGGTCAGTAAGTTTAAGATGAATTTACAATTAGTGGGGCGTGGTGGGGTGTGCCTGTGGTCCCAGCTACTTGGCAGGCTGAGGTGTGAGGTGGAAGGATTGCTTGAGCCTGAGATGTCAAGGCTGCAGTGAGCTCTGATCATGCCACTTGCACCCCAACCTGGGAGATAAAGCAAGACCCTGTCTCAAAAAAAAAAATAGAAAGTTGAATTGAAGAGGCTCAGTATATGTTCAGACCTAGAAGATTTCAGGACTTGGCTAGGAAGGAAGAGACAGTTTGGGCAAGTCAGGTGCAGGGAGACAGAAATCAGGAAACACAGAGCCCAGAAGAGATTGGAAGTAGACAGGACAGAATCAGAAATGTTCCCTGTTGTCCAACAATGGTATTCAGTAGTCTTTGCTTTAGTGCTTCATTACATGAGTCTTGTATTCGAGTAATAATTAGGTGAAAAATTTTACAAGTGTCTGGAAGAGTGTTAACTTATATTTTATCTTCGAACAGCTCTCTAGATTCATGTTTGAGGGGCGGGAAATAAAGTTGGTGATGACTTGTGCAGCCTTCATCACAATGAATCCTGGCTATGCAGGGAGAACTGAATTGCCAGATAATTTGAAAGCCCTGTTTAGACCATTTGCGATGATGGTTCCAAATTATGCCTTGATTGCAGAGGTGAGCATCACATTATAAAGCAGCAGAAATGTAAACTTCTTTCTTTTATTTACCATTCGATTCTATCAAGGTAGAAAGTTTCCTTTATGAATGCCCCTATTAATGGTTACACATTATTAAGTGTAGATATGATTGTTATCACATGGAATGTTAAGTTCTGCATGTTTGTTTGTTTACTGCTATAGCCATAATACCCAAAATGGTATCTGGAATATAATAGGCCCCTAAAACTGGAAAGAATCAATGAGTTAATTAACCAGTTCATTGGGGTTTTTCAGTTCCTCTCTAGGAATTAAAATGTCTGGATTCATTACAAAAACACAGATTATTTTTATTTCTCTTTGCACATTATTTTTTACTGGAGTCAAGGGATGCTAAGTAGAAGCCTCCTCACTATGAAGTGGTTGGAGATTGGTTTATAAGTATGTATCAACTTAGTCAAAAAATAGTAATCATTAACAAATTATTTATAATCATGTTTGTTTTTTCTGTATCTACTTAGGCATCTTTCTATTTAAACTGGCTTTAAATAGCCAAGAATTTAAATGCTAGCCAAAAATTGATGTATTTGGCCAAGCACAGTGGCTCAGGCCTGTAATCCCAGCACTTTGGGAGACCAAAGTGGGAGGATCGCTTGAGTCCAGGAGTTAGAGACCAGCCTGGGCAATGTGGTGAAATCCCGTCCCTACCAAAAATATAAAAATTAGCCAGTCTCATAACCCAGTCTCAAAATAAATAAATAAATATTTAATTAGTTAAAAATAAAATAGTTTTTTAAAAAGAATTGATATATTCACATTTTGTACTTTTTTACAAAAGAGAAACAGGGTCTCACTATGCTACCCAGGCTGGAACTAAATGGAGGTCAAGCAATCCTCCCACCTCAGCCTCTGAGTAGTTGGGACTACAGGTACATGACACTATATCCAGCTAAATTTTATACGTATTTTTCATGGCACTTTTTATTGAGGTATAATTTATACACAATAAAGAGCACAGCTCACAGGGTGCAGCTCAGTGAATTCTTACACATGCATTCATCTGTGTGACCACCAAGACCAAAATATAAGGCATTTTTAGGACTCCAGAAGACCCCTTGTGTGCTCCATGCTACATTTCATAACAAGGGACACTACCCCTTTAGGATGGAATTTCTCAGAAAGCACAGATCACTCCTTTGGCTAATAAATTCCTGTGATAACAGCTAATTTTAAATATTCTTCTATGTGAAATAAAAGTAATTGCTTAAGAATAGAGTAGACTGTGCCAAATCCTATCATTAGAAAAATTACAACCTATATTAGGGTATTAGGTCTTTCTTGCATTGCCATAAAGAAATACCTGAGACTGGGTAATTTATGAAGAAAAGAGGTTTAATTGGCTCATGGTTCTGCAGGCTGTACAGGAAGTGTGGTGCTAGCATCTACTCGGTTTCTAGGGTGGCCTTAAGGAGCTTTTACTCATGGTGGAAGGTGAAGTGGGAGCAGGCACTGTGCATGGTGAAAACAGAAACAAGAGAGAAAGAGTGGGTGAGGGGGTGCCTCACACTTTTAAATGACCAGATCTCAGAACTCAGTTACTATTGCAAAGCAGCACCAAGCCATGAGGGATCAAGGATCCACCCCCATGACCCAGACACCTCCCATCAGCCCCCACCTTCAGCACTGGGAATTATAATCCAATGTGAGATTTGGGCTGGGATAAACATCCAAACTATGTCAATTAGTATAATGCTTACAGCAGCTCAGGGGTCCCCCATACCCACTGTGGGCATGGTGGGGTGGGGGGCAGTTAGGACAGGTAGTATCTTTACTCTTGACCCTCTCTACAAACAGGGACAATAAATGACTTGCTCATTGTCCCAACTTGGTAGGAAGAAAACCAGGTTTAGAGTCCAGTCCAACATGTTTTCCATATCTCATGCTTTGTCCTGTTGTTATAGTACTCAGTAATGGATTGGACGAATTTGAAAGTCTAGTCTTCTGAGTGCTATTCCTATTATTTTTAGAGTTTAAATGAATTAGATTCTGTTGTCAGTAATTTTTTTTTTTTTTTTTTTGAGAAAGAGTCTGGCTCTGTCACCCAGGCTGGAGTGCAATGGCACGATCTCGGCTCACTGCAACCTCCATCTCCCAGGTTTAAGCAAGTCTCCTACCTCAGCCTCCCAAGTAGCTGAGATTACAGGCTCCTGCCACCATGCCTGACTAATTTTTTGTATTTTTAGTAGAGATGGGGTTTCACCGTGTTGGTCAGGCTGATCTTAAATTCCTGACCTCAAGTGACTCACCCATCTCGATCTCCCAAAGTGCTGGGATTACAGGTGTGAGCCACTGCACCTGGCCTGTTAGTAAATATTTTTAATCACCTACTGTGTGCAGAGCACTGTGCTAATCAGCAGGGATAGGGCAGTAAACAAAACAGACACCAGTAAGAACTCTGCGTCATTCTAAATTCTGCATCTGAGGCCAACTGCAGTGTTTCAGGCAGATTATAAATAGAAAAAAGGGTCCGCTTCCAGCTCCACTGTCAGAGACACTAAGCATCATCTGATTAATTTAACCAAGGATGCAGAAACTTGTCAGAAGAAAGGCAGAGGAGAGGCTGACAATCTTTGCATGGCTTCCCTTGACTCCTCGGGAAACTAAGGGAGCTGGTGGTAATCACTCTCCACTAGGGTGGTGTTCCTGTCAGATCAGAGAAGCTCAGTTCTTGCTTTTGTACTCGGGCCTAATGACACCATCCAACTTTCACGATGGGAACATTTTCAAAAGCTGGGCTCTTCTGTTCCTTGAACCAAATGTCCCCAAAGCTACATCTTCATCTACACATGGAAAACAGAATCAGTGCCTAGGTATCCCCATACAATATTCTGCCTTCCCGTTTCCTGTGGCACAGAAAGCCTTTTTCCCTTCAATCTTTATGTTTCTTGATTAAAAGACATAACAACTTGGAAAGTATAATGTTTAGAGTCAATTTTGACTATGTTGGTATCATGCTAATACATTGTTATCAATACAATATAATAAGCATTGCATTATTTTTTCTATTCTAGGTAATTCTATATTCTGAAGGATTTGAATCCAGTAAAATATTAGCAAGAAAAATGACTCAGATGTATAAGCTTTGCAGTGAGCAGCTGTCTCAGCAGGATCACTACGACTTTGGCATGAGAGCTGTGAAGTCTGTCCTGGTCATGGCTGGGTAAGAAACCAAAGTAGTCAAGAGTGAAATCCCAAACCATGTGATCAAATGCATTAAATGGGTAACTCAGGAAAGGCTCTCAGAGAGTAACTGATTAATAAATGTTGGCTGCTGCTGTTGTCATCATTCTTACCTTGACACTCCATGACAGATTGACACAGGCTCTCTCTCTTTATCCTGTGACAGTTCTTCACTGTGAGTCCTAACATGGTTGTCCTCGACAGAAAATGATCCCCAGCTAGGCTTAGGATAATATTCACTTCTCCTGAACTCAAATTCAAACATCGGTCTTTTGTGTACAAAAACCTTTACCACCATAAGATGGTATGACTAGACTTAAAAGACACACAGTCTGTTATGCATATGCAACAAAGCCAGTCATACTTGTTGCCTGAGAAAGCCTCAGGAGTTTAAAGAAACTTCATAATTCCAATTCAGTTCAGCTTATGTCTTAGATTTCACCTCTGTCTTTATAACGTGGCCCAAGCCTAAGCTTCTTTCTAGTATCTAGTAAAGAAAGAGTCTTTCCTCTTCTCAGACCCCACTTTTCTCTTTATAACTTCTTGAAACTACTGCATCTGGAATCCCCAACTTGTCCAGAGCCTCTAAGGAGACCTATTTTATCTCTAGTCCTTCCTCTCAGGCCATGACTCATTGGCTCAGGTTCTGCACATCCAGGAACCCTCTGCCTGGCTCCTGCATCACTGGGCTCTGCATGAATCTCCCTGCACTTTCCTACCCTCTGTTCTATCTTTTAACCTCTCAGATATAGTATGTCCCCTCTTTACAGGATGGCCATTTAAGGACTAGGAATACTAAGAACTTGAGATACACTTGCACTGGAGGAGCACAACTACAGTCCAGTGGGTCGTAGAGACAGACCAATGTGTAGTCATGTAGCTGCAATGCAGGGAGGGCAGCAACAGGGCTGCACCCACCAGAGGTTCACTGAGAAGGAGGATAGAGGACAGGAGCTTTCTAGAAAAGGGAGTCACTGGGCTGGGTTTCGCAGGGGAAATAAGAGCAGGCAAAGAACAAGGCAAGATATTCTGGGCAGGGAGAAAAGAAAATCACAGCGATAGGAATCATCATGGTGTATTCAGGGAACTATAAATTCAGGTTGAATAACATCGGGATTGGGGAGGGTGATGAGAAGATGTCCTTGTCATTCTCTCCAAGGCTGCATAGCCATTGCAGGACTTGTCAGTATGCTCTGATGGAGATGAACGCTGAACACACGAGGGAAAATGATCTTCTCCTTCTAACAGGAATCCTCAGGGGAAGGGCTCTGCCCTCCCCACAGGTTTAGAAAATCATGTTCAACCTTATGTTCTTGTGATATTATCCGAAATATTCCTTTAAATTTAGATCTTTAAAAAGAGAAAACCCAGACCTAAATGAAGATGTGGTGTTGATAAGAGCTTTACAAGACTCCAATTTGCCAAAATTTCTAACAGATGATGCTCTTCTGTTCAGGTAAGTTTGTAGACATTACCAAGTAAAGCATGGCTATCACGTAGAGGCAAATGGTAGTCTTTTCTTCAATTATTTCTTTCTCTAACAAGCTGAAAACTTTCCTATCTTTTCTGGAGAAACTTATTTTGCAGTTTAAGAAATACTCATTTAAAATGAAGATACTAAAGTTTGGGCATAATTACAATCATTTGTGTTTTTTTATCAAAATATTTATCACCAGACTATGTGCTGTACAACTTAGCATTTGGCCATAAGTTCCTGACCTAAGAGAAGTTTCTGACTCAAAAAAAGTCAGACTTGGGGTTTAACATAAATACAATTGCTTTTATCCATTTTGTTGTTTGTTGTTTAGTTTTACATTTCTCCACGTTATACATGTATATAGTTTTAAAAAGAAAATAGTTTCATAAATTAGTCTCATGGAAAGCAACAGTCCCCAGCCTTTCACCAACTCCCACTTCCCAAAGACAATCATTTTCTAACTCTTTTATTTATTTATTCTGCTATCCCCCTCCAAACTTCTTAATACCACATTTATACCATTTCTTTTTCTTTTTTTTCCTTTTTTGACTTTTTTCAGTGGTTGCCCTAGATTTTGCAATATACATTTACAACTAATCTAAGCCCACTTTCAATTAACACTATACCATTTCATGGGAAGTGTGAGTACCTTATAATAACAATCGTATTTCTCCCTTCTATCCTAATTCCTCCCTCCATCCCTTGTGTCATTGCTGTCATTCATTTTACTTATATATGAGCACACATAAGCACATATATAATATATACACAGGCATATATAATCAAATACATTGTTGCTATAACAATTTTGAACAAACTGTTGTCTGTTAGATCAATTAAGAATAAGAAAAATAAAAATTTTCATTTTACCTTCAATTATGCCATGCTCTTCCATGCTCTTCCTTTAGGTAGATCAGAGTTTCTGACCTATGTTATTTTTCGTCTCTCTAAAGAACTGCTTTTAACATTTCTTGCAAGGCAAGGCTACTGGCAACAAATTTTCTCAATGTTTATTTGTCTGAGAAAGTCTTTATTTCTCCTTCACTTTTGAAGGATAATTTCACAGGGTACAGAATTCTAGGTTGGTGGGGTTTTCCTCATATGTTTCACTCCACTCTCTTCTTGCTTGCATAGTTTCTGAGGAAAAGTCAAATGTAATTCTTATCTTTGCTCATCTATAGGTAAAGTGGGGTTTTTTTTTTCCTTCTGGCTTATTTCTATATTTTTTCTTTATCTTTAATTTTCTATGGTTTTAAAGTGACCTGCTTCGGTATAATTTTTAGGTATTTATCCTGCTTAGTGTTTTCTGAGTTTCCTGGATCTAAGGTTTGGTGTGTGACATTAATTTGGGGAAATTCTGCCATTATTCTTTCAAATATTTCTTCTGTTTTTTTCTCCCTCTCTTACCCTCTGGTATTCCCACTGCACACGTGGTACTCCTTTTGTAGTTGTACCATGGTTCTTGGGTATTATGTTGCTTTTACAGTCTTTATTCTCTTTACTTTTCAGTTTCAGAGGTTTCTATTGAGGTATCCTCAAGCTCAGAGATACTTTCCTCAGCTGTGTCCAATCTACTAATAAGCCTATCAAAGGCATTCTTCATCTCTGTTATAGTGTGCTGGTTTTTATAATTCATTTCTTTCTGCTTCTTTCTTTGGCTTTCCATATCTCTGCTTATATTGCCCAGCTGTTTCTGCATGCTGTCCATTTTATCCATTAAAGCCTTTCACATATTAATCATCATTGTTCTAAATCCCTGTCTGATAATTTCAGCATCCCTCCCATGTCTGGTTCTACTGCTTGCTCTGTCTCTTCAAATTGTGTTTTTTTTTGTTTTATTTTGTTTGTTTGTTTTTGTTTTTTTGCCTTTTAGTATGCCTCATAATATTTTCTTGATAGCTGGACATGATGTACTGGTTAAAAGGAACTGGGCCAAAAGTAAATTGGCTGTAAGTAATGTAGTGGTAAGGTGCAGCAGGAGAGAAAGTGTTCTATTGTCCTAGGATTAGGACTCAGTCTTTTAATGAGCCTATGCCTTTGAATGGTAGGCTTCATAAGTGTTTCTCAGTTTCTTCTCCCCGTTAGGTGGTACAGGGTGGCTACAGTGGCCTAGAGTTGGGTAATTCCCTTCTCCCAGTGAAAGGCTAGCGCCAGCTGGAGTTGATGTTTCCCCTCCCCCGGATCTGTTAAGCTCTGACAAAACTCTAGCAGGTTAGGCTCTGATTAACTCTCCTGGCTTCTCCTTATTAGGAAGAGCAGAGTGCTCCAGCCTATTTCAGAATGGTTTCTTTTCCCCTCCCCTGACAGAAGCATGAAGAGATTTCTTTTCTTTTTCAAATGTGATTTTTTTTTTCATTTCCAACTTTTATTTTGAGGTCCAGGATACATGTGCAGGATGTACAGTTTTGTTATGTAGGTAAACATGTGCCATGGTGGTTTGCTGCACAGATCATCCCATCACCCAGGCATTCAGCCCAGCATCCACTAGCTATTTTTCCTGACCCTCTCCCTCCTCCCACTCCCCACCCTCCAACAGCTCTGGTGTGTGTTGTTCCCCACCATGTGTCCATGTGCTCTCATCATTTAGCTCCTACTTATAAGTAAGAGCATACAGTATTTGATGTTCTGTTCCTGCATTAGTTTGCTAAGGATAATGGCCTCCAGCTCCATCCACGTTCCTGCAAAGGATATAATCTCATTCCTTTTTATGGCTGTGTATTATTCCAAGGTGCATATGTACCACATTTTCTTTATCCAGTCTATCATTGATGGGCTTTTAGGTTGGTTACACGTCTTTGCTATTTTGAATAATACTGCAATGAACATACACATGCATATGTCTTTATAACAGAATGACTTGTATTTCTTTAAGTATATACCCAGTAATGGGATTGCTGGGTCAAATGGTAGTTCTGTTTTTAGCTCTTTGGGGAATCACTAAACTGCTTTCCACAGTGGTTGAACTAATTTACACTCCCACCAACAGTGTAAAAGCATTCTTTTTTCCTCCACAACCTCATCAACATCTGTTTTTTTTCGACTTTTTAGTAATAGCCATTCTAGGCCGGGGGTGGTGGCTCATGCCTGTAATCCCAACACTTTGGGAGGATGAGGCAGGTGGATCATCTGAGGTCAGGAGTTTGAGACCAGCCTGACCAATATGGTGAAACCCTGTCTGTACTAAAAATACAAAATTAGCTGGGCATGGTGGCACATGCCTGTAATCCCAGCTACTTGGGAGGCTGAGGCAGGAGAATCACTTGAAACCGTGAGGTGGAGGTTGCAGTAAGCCGAGATTGTGCCATTGCACTCCAGCCTGGACAACAAAAGTGAAACTCTGTCTCAAAAAATAATAATAATAATAATAGCCATTCTAACTGACATGAGATGGTATCACATTGTGGTTTTGATTTGCATTTCTCTATTGATCAGTAATGTTGAGCTTTTTTTCATATGTTTGTTGGCCGCATGTGGTGTCTTCTTTAGAGAAGTGCCTGTTCATGCACTTTGCCCACTTTTTAATGGGGCTGTTTGTTTTTTCTTGTAAATTTGTTTAAGTTCCTTATAGATGCTGGATATTAGACCTTTGCCAAATGCATAGATTGCAAAAATATTCACATGATGGGATTTCTCTCAGATATTTACTCCAAGACTTGGTTGAGCTCCTAGAGGTAAAACTCACAAAAGATGTGCCCCTCCACCCCATGACTGGATGCCCCTGGAGTTTTTAACTCTCAGACATCTCCACATCTAGCCTCAAGCAATTTATCAATTACAGCTCACATTTTCCTACCCTGGCACTGGCTCCCATACTAGTTTGTTGTAATCCTGTGTATGTGACTGTCTGTGTCTCCAAAGTTGAGGGCAGAGGTATCTACAGGCATACCTCATTTTATTTCACTTCATTTTACTGCACTTCGCAGATATCATATATTTTACAAATTGAAGGTTTGTAGCAACCCTTCATGAAGCAAGTTTATCAGCACAGTTTTTCCAGTAGCTTGTGTTCACCATGTGTATATGTGGCAATTTTAATAATTCTCACAATATTTCAAACTTTTTTATTATTGTATCTGTTATGGTGATCTGTGATCATTGATCTTTGATGTTACTATTGCAGTTGTTCTGGGAGCACCACAAACTGCACCCATACATAACAGCAAACTTAATTGATAAATGTGTGTGCTCTGACTGCTCCACAGACAGCCATTCTCCCATCTCTCTCCTTCTCCTTGGGCCTCCCTCTTCTCTGAGACATAATAATATTGAAATTAGGCCAACTAATGACCCTACAGTGGTCTCTAGTGTTCAAGTGAAAGGAAGAGTCACACACCTCTCACCTTAAATCAGAAGCTGGAAACGATTAAGCTTAGTGAGGAAGGCATGTCTAAAGCCAAGATAGGCTGAAAGCTAGGCCTCTTGTGCCAAATAGCCTAATTGTGAATGCAAAGGAAAAGATATTGAAAGAAATTAAAAGTGCTACTCCAGTGAATACATGAATGGTAAGAAAGAGAAAGTAACCTTATTGCTGCTATGGAGAAAGTTTTAGTGGTCTGGATAAAAGATTAAACCAGCCACAACATTCCATTAAGCCAAAGCCTAATCCAGATCAAGGCTCTGACTCTCTTCAATTCTATAAAGGAGGAGAGAGTGGTGAGGAAGCTGCAGAAGAAAAGTTCAAAGCTAGCAGACATGTGACTGAATTGCTGCAATCTCATAATAAAACCTGCATGGATGAGGAGTTGCTTCTTATAGATTAGCAAAGAAAGTCATTTTTTTGTTTGTTTGCTTTGAGATAGTCTCACTCTGCCCCCCAGGCTGGAGTGCAGTAACACAGTCTTGGCTCACTGCAACCTCTGCCTCCCGGGTTCAAGCAATTCTCCTGCCTCAGCCTCCCGAGTAGCTGGGACTACAGGCACATGCCACCACCCATGGCTAATTTTGTATTTTTGGTAGAGACAGAGTTTCACCATGTTGGCCAGGCTGATCTTGAACTCCTGGCCTCAAGTGATCAGCCCGCCTCAGCCTCCCAAAGTGCTGGCATTACAGGTGTGAGCCACCGTACCCGGCCAAAAGTAGTTTCTTGTGATGGGATCTACTCCTGGTGAAGTAGCTAGCTTCAAACTTCTTTCCCTCGCTAGCTTCATGAAGGTTTCTTCATGAAGTTGAAGCAAAGAAGCTATTTCCATAACATAAGGTACAAGGTAAAGTAGCAAATGCTGATGTAGAGGCTGCAGTAAGTTATCCAGATCTAGCTAAGAACACTGATGAAGGTGGCTACACTAAGCAACAGATTTTTAATGTAGATAAAACAGCCTTCTGTTAGAAGATGATGCCATATAGGACTTTCATAGTGAAAAAGGAGAAACCAACACCTGGCTTCAAAGCTTTAAAGGCCAGGCTGACTCTAGTTAGGGGCTAAAGCAACTGGTGGTTTTAAGTTAAAGCCAGTGCTCATTTACCACTCCAAAAACCCTAGGGCCCTTAAGAATTACACTAAATCTACTCTACCTGTGCTCTAAAAATGAAACAACAAGGCATGGATGACAGTATGTCTGTTTAGAGAATGGTTTACTGAATATTTTAACCCTTTTCCCATTTGCCCCAAGAGTACTCGCTGGCAGCACTTGTGGCTGCAGAATTTAACCCGAGATAACTTTGCCATGAATTATCTTTTATTATTATTTTCACATTGCTGTAGTATACTGACTTTGGAAACAAAAGGCATCATTCTATAGCATTCTGTTTTTAGTAGTGGTATTTCTGCTTACAAAACATAGTAGTTCTTGATCACTGAAAATGTCAAATCCTAGAAAGCATAACATTCCTATGCATGATGTTAACATTGTTTTTTTAATAGTTGTTGGCCCAAGATTCATTTGATGAATCTGATTTTTCCTAAATAGATGACTCTGATGATTTGGATGATTCTAATGTTAGTTCTGTTTAGAAATAACTCCAAGAACAGTTTTTATATTTTATTTTCACACTGAAAAGCAGTCAGATTTGCTTCAGCCTCAAAGAGCATGTTTATGTAAAATTAAATGAGCACTGGCAGCAAGCTGCCCTTTTTTGTTCTAAATGAGAAAAGGGCTAAATCACCATTGAGAACTACTACTCAGAAAAAAAGACTCCTTTTAAAATATTACTGCTCATTGGCAATGAACCTGGTCACTCAAGACCTCTGAGGGAGATGTACAAGATGAATGTTGTTTTCATGTCTGCTAACACAACATCCATTCTGTAGCCCATGGATCAAGGAGTACTTTCAACTTTCAAGTCTTATTATTTAAGAAACATATTTTGTGATGCTCTATCTGCCATTGATAGTGATTTCTCTAATGGATCCAGGCAAAGTTAATTTAAAAACCTTCTGAAAAGGATTCATCATTCTAGATGTCATTAAGAACATTCATGATTCATGGTAAGACAGAATGTCAACATTAATAAGAGTTTGGAAACAGTTGATTCCAACCCTCATGGATGATTTTGAGGGGTTTTAGACCTCAGTGGAGGAAGTAACTACAGATGTGGTAGAAATAGCAAAAGAACTAGAATTAGAAGTGGAGCCTGAAGATGTGACTGAATTGCTGCGATCTCATGATCAAACGTGAATAGATGAGGAGTTGCTTCTTATGGATTAGCAAAGAAAGTAGTTTCCTGAGATGGGATCTATTCCTGGTGAAGATGCTGTGAACGTTGTTAAAATGACAACAAAAGACTCTGTTGCATAAATATAGTTGATAAAGCAATGGAAGAGTTTGAGAGAACTGACTTCAATTTTGAAAGAAGTTCTGCTGTGAGTAAAATGCTATCAAACAGCATCACATGCTACATAGATATCTTTCACAAAAGAGTCGATGAACGTGGCAAACATTATTGTCTTATTTTAAGAAATTGCCACAGTCACTCCAGCCTTCAGCAACTACCACCCTGCTCAGTCAGCAGCTATCAACATTGAGGTAAGACCCTCTGCCAGCAAAAGCCGATGGCTCAGATGGTCATTAGCCTTTTTTAGCAATAAAGCGTTTTTAAATAAAGGTATGTACATTTTTTAGACATAATGCTATTGCATGCTTAAATGACTACAGTATAGCATGAAGATTAATTTTATATGCACTGAGAAACCAAAAAATTCATATGAGTTGCTTTATTGCTATATTCACTTTATTGTAGTGGTCTGAAACTGAACCCACAGCATCTCTGAAGGATGCTTATATATAAATATACGATTAAGTTTCACAATGAATGGTAATACGATGTTCATAATAGGAGCTCATATTTTCATTTTATCATGTTCTTTCTTCCTTTCTGATGCTCCAAGTTTGCTTCTTTCATCATTTTCTTTTTGCTTAGAGAACTTCCCTTTAGCCATTCTTCATGGTAGATCTGCTGGCTACAAATTCATTTCCTTTTCCTTTATCTGAGAATGTCTTGATTTCCCTTCATTCCAGAGGGATATTTCCCCTGGATATAGGATTCTGGAGTGACAGTTCTTTCAGGACTTGAAAGCTGTTGTACCATATACTTCCCAGGTACACCATGAAATTCTGTGCAGCCATAAAAAGGAATGAGATCATGTTCCTTTTCAGGAACATGGATGAAGCTGGACACCATTATCCTCAGCAAACTATAAAAAGGAATGAGATCATGTTCCTTTTCAGGGACATGGATGAAGCTGGACACCATTATCCTCAGCAAACTAACGCAGGAACAGAAAACCAAACACCACATGTTCCCACTTATAAGTGGGAGCTGAAAAATGATGGGTTGATAGGTGCAGCAAACCACCATGGCACACACTTACCTATGTAACAAACCTGCACATCCTGCACATGTACCCCAGAACTGAAAATAAAACATTTTTTTAAAAAGATGTTTTCCACTTCCTGTCAGCCTGCATGGTCTCTGATGAGAATTCTGTTGTCATTTTATGTGTTTTTTTCCCTGTTCATAAGGTGTCATTTTTTTTTTCTTCTGGCTGCTGCTAAAATTGTTTTCTTTGTCTTCCATTTTTAGAAGTTGGACTATGTTGTATCTTCATATGGATTTCTTCGGGTTTATCCTGTTTTAGATTTGATCAACTTCTTAAATCTGTAGGTTCATGCTTTTTGGCAAATGTGTGACATTTTCAGTCATTATTTCTCTGAATACTTCTTCAGCTCTTTCATCCTTCCCCATCATTTGAGACTCCAGTGACACAAATATTAGATCTTTTGTTATATTTCCACAGGTCCCCAAGAGCTTCTCATTTCTTTTTTCAGACAATATTCTCCGTCTTGTTCAGATTGGGTAACTTCTATTATTCTATCTTGCAGTTTACCAAATCTTTCCTCTGTCCCTTCCATTTTGCTCTTGAACCCATCTATTGATTTTTTTGTTATTGTATTTTTTCAGTTCTAAAATTTCTAATAGGCTCTCTGTATTTTTTTTTTTTGGCTGAGATGTCCTTATATTCTTTTGTTTCTATTGTGTTCATAATGGGTCCTTAAAACATTTTTATGATGACTGTTTTAAGATAATGATCTCACCTGTGTGTAGTCACATGTACCTATAGTCTTGGCTAGTCAGAAGGCTGAGGCGGGAAGACTGTTTGAACCCAGGAGTTCAAGGCCAGCCTGGGCAGTATAGTGAGACCCTATCCCTTAAGAAATAAAATAAATTTGTCAGACAGTTTTAACGTTTCTCTCATCTCAGTGTTAGCATCTATTGATTGTCTCTCTTAGTTCAGTTTGAGATCTTTCTGGCTTTTGATGTGATGAATGATTTTCATTGAAACCTACTTATCTGAGGTATTATGTTATGAGACTCTAGATCTTATTTAAACTTATTTTAGCTGGCTTTTCCTGATGCCACACCAGCAAGAGAAATTAGAAATGCAACTTTGTTACTGCCAGGTGGGGATAGAATTCAAGCTTTATTGATATCTGGTGGGAGCAGTCATTTCTGCTGTGTAGGGGTGGGAGTTCCAGCTCCCTGGCAGTCCTCCAGTGATATTGTCCTGGATAGAAGAGTAGAAGCGCCTCATTACTGTTCCCCACGTGACCTCCACTGATGCCACAAGGGAAGACAGCTTTATTACCCCTGGACAGTGGTAAAAGTCCTGACTCTCCACTGATCCTCCTCTGATTCCACCTGTCAGAGAGCAGAAGGGGTGCTTCATTATTCTTGGGTAGGGCTGGAAGTCCAGGCTTCCCATATGGTCTACACTAATACCAAAGGGGGCATCATTACTTCCCAGTGAGGATGAAAGTACATCCCTATTTGGCCTTCTCTGACACCGTGGGAGAATGAGAAGAGGAATTTCAGGAGACTTGTTACACCCTAGCTAGAGTGGAAGTCTGGGCTCCGCACTCAGTGTCTGCTGGTGAGGGTAGGAATAAATACCTCAGGATTTTTCTGTGGTGTTTGGTTAGAGTAGAGCAGTTATTGCCTAAAAGTTTTCTGTCTTGCTGGGCTGCCCCTTTCCTGGGCTGCCCCTTTCCTGGTCCTTTGGATAAAGACAGTAAGCTTTTCCTGGGGCTTTTTTTTTTAAATCTGTGCCCATTGGCATTTCTAGATTGCCAGGATGTAAAAGACAAAAAGACACAAGGGACTAGTCACTGTGTTATTGCTTGCATCTTAAGGTACCTAGCCAGTCTGACTTCTCTCTACCTTTCAGAGTCTTCTTTTATTTATTTTATTTAATGTACAGGGATTTTAGTTGTACTTAATGGAAGGAATAGGGAAAAGTAAATCTGTTCCATCTTTCTGGAGAAATAAGTTGGTTGACACTTTCATGTATTACCTTTAATACATTTCTATTTTTACAGCTGTTGCTTTTTCAATTCGTTATATATCTTGAGCATCTTTTTCATGTTAGTATATATGCATGAGTCTTTTTTTTTTTACTGCTGCTAGATTGCTATTATATAAGATGGTACTTTGAGACATAATAAACCTATAGAACTACTTTAACATGAAAGGTCTTCTATATGGACATTTAGATTTTTTCCTAATTGTTTTCTATTCTAATAATGAATATTCCTATACATATATCTTTGCACACGTATGATATTTCTACAGGGGAGATTCCTGGAAGTAAGTTTCCTAGGTCATAGGGTTTGCACATTTTTTATTTAAATAGATTAAATCAAATTGTCTTCCAAAGATGACTTACCCTTTTATATTAACATAAGTGGTTTTACGAAGGCGCCTATTTCCCCATAAGTGTTTTAAAGAGAGGCCAAATGTAGTAGCCTATTTTAATAGTCATTTCTTTAACTATTAGAGTCATTGGGAATCATTTCCTATGTTCATTATTTATTTATAATTATTATTCTTGGAGCATGTTCCTATTGTACTCTTACTTATTGATTTATAGAAAGTCATAATCTTTATCTGATATAAACATTGGAAATGTTTTTCTAAGTCTCTCATTCATGCTTTAAGTTTGTATATAAAGCCTTTTATCTCACAGAAGTTTGATTTTTGTCTGTTTTTCTTTGTTCACTGTCAACTTTTTTTACAGTTGTAGATTTCCTGCCTTTCTTAGAAAGACCGCCTTACCACAATGTTGCAAAATTTAGCTCTTCTACTTTCTTCTAGTACTTTCATCACTTTATGTAAGGTTTTAACTGTATCACAAATGTATTTGTGTATATAATGTGAGGTAAAGATTTAGCTTCTTTTTTCCCATTGAAACATCTCATACTAACTGTTTCCTATAGAAATAGTCACATTTTTCCTTCCTTCTTGCATGATGCTAATTTTAATTATACATTCATCTTATTTTTCTGAATAGCCACATACAGTTAATGAGTATATGTAAGTGATTTTAGGAAAAGTTGAGCTATAAATATAATTTTTAAACAAAATTTTAAAATAATTTTAAATTTTTAAGTGAGATATTTTATAATTTTTTTAATAATTAAAAATAAGTTCATCACCTTCTATATGTTTGGTACTATGCCATGTACTGTGGGAAATACAGAAAGAAACATAAGAGATATCACTTACTCCCAAGAAGCTCCTAATATACTTAGGAACATTGGTCTACTGTACAGGAAACAAACAAAATCATACATGATATCAGAGAAATGATAGATTCTGGTACAGCACATAGGACAAACTAATACTGTACATGTCAGAAGAGAAAGATCAATGAGAAACAATAAGACTCATAATATTTCATTGATTGTAACAAATACGGGAAAATATCAATGACCAGTTGTTCCTAATTGATTTTATTTTTGTTTTGACAGTGGAATCATATCTGACCTTTTTCCTGGAGTCCAAATTCCAGAACATGATTATGGTATTTTACAATCAACAATTGTGGATGTCATGAATAGACAAAATCTTCAGCCTGAGATGTGTATGGTTAGAAAGGTGATACAGTTTTATGAAACTATGCTAGTAAGGCATGGTGTTATGTTAGTCGGGCCAACAGGAGGCGGCAAGACCACAGTTTACCGAATACTAGCAGAAACTTTAGGGAATTTACAAAAACTTGGGATAGAAAATTCCTTTTACCAAGCAGTTAAAACATATGTTCTCAACCCTAAATCAATTACCATGGGTGAATTATATGGAGAGGTTAATAACTTAACCTTGGAATGGAAAGATGGTTTGATGGCACTAAGTGTCCGAGCAGCTGTGAATGATACTTCAGAAGACCATAAATGGATCATCAGTGATGGGCCAGTAGATGCTCTTTGGATTGAAAACATGAATACAGTGCTGGATGATAACAAGATGCTTTGCCTGGCTAACAGTGAGAGGATTAAACTCACACCTCAAATTCACATGCTTTTTGAGGTAAGTGTACACATTACTGTGGAGTGAAATCATTCATTAAATTGGCATACTATCGTTACATTTTTTTCTCACACTGATGTAGCCTTTACTATCTATAATGTCTATTATTGTGTTCTGTTTACTTACTTATTAAGTCATCCTTTTGTAATAGATTGACAGTCAAAGTCTCAAATGTTCTTGTCTCTATAAATAGGAAGTACAATAAACTCTGGCTTCCCTGAGAGAGGGAGAGAGAGAAAGAGAGAGAGAGAGAGAAAGAAAGAGGAGAGAGAGAGAGAGCTTTGTATCATTTGAAATGCATTTTAAATTAAAAATTATTGCATTTAATAAGAATAAATTATCCCACCATGATATGAATATTTGATGAGGGATTGGGAGAGGAATGTGGACCAAGTACAGCTACCAACATTATGAAGGATGCCACCTGTGTTCTATTCATTCATCAAATACTGATTGAATGTCTAGTATGTGCTAGGGATTCTAATACAAGAATGAACAGGAGAAAAGAGAAAAGCAAAGAGAAGAAAGAAAAAAATAACTAGCCCTGCCCATAGAGTTTGACAGTATCCTCCTGTAGTTGTGGGAATTTTTTTCACCTTATACGTCATTTAACTTTCTTCCTCCATTTCTAATTACTTATTGCTCTCCCACTCTCTTCCACATGAAGCCCTTCAGTGTTGTTAGACTTTAAAAGTGTGAATCATTTTATAAGTGTGAACATTGAAGTTGGAGAAATAAGGAAGTATCATATTAGCTGTTTCCTGTTCAATTTTCTTCAACTTTAGGTGCAAGATCTGCGGGTTGCCTCCCCTGCAACAGTCAGTCGATGTGGAATGGTGTTTGTGGATCCTGAAGAACTGAAATGGATGCCTTATGTTAAAACTTGGATGAAGGGTATTTCTAAAAAAGTAAGTGCCATCAGATATTCCCCAATATCTCCATCTGTCAGGACTCATGTTGCCTTCTAGTGCACAAATAACAATAGGTTAAGGACTCATGGTTCTTGATTGAGGGGACTTCATTATTTTACCTAGTCCTCCCTGTGAATTCCTGGAATCGTCCAGGAATGTTTATATACTCCCCAAATCTGTCCTCATTTCTTGTTACCCCAGCCTGCCAGCCTGCCTACTCACCCTGCCTCCTGCCTATTCTGCCTGGCTTCTCCCCAGACTAGAAACACAAGCCACTTTTTTGAGTCCCTAAAAACACAGCTACAACAGCCTGAGGCATTGAGACTTCGCAGAAAGCTTGGGAGTAATAAAAGGAAGCAAAATGAAGAAAAAGAATATTTAAGTCCAGACCCTAACTGTCATTGTTTTTGGATTTTGAGAGCCCTTAACACCTATGACAGCCAAAGATAAAAGAAAACTCATTTACATCCTACCCCAATAGTAGGTGCAAGACCTAAGACACATTCTAACCTCAGAGGTACAATTCCACCCAAAGTGAAGGAAAGCTTATACATTGTTATTCAAAACAACTCAGTTTCATACTACTTTCTGTAGCTTCTGCATTCTAACACAGAATTTTCCTCTTTAGCTTAGCTTAACAAGTAGTCCTTTGAGATGTTTCCCCCACATCTCATCCCCTACTCCAAGTAAGCCATCTTCATCTCTGCCTCTCCCCCTCCAAAGATGAGCCAGAAAACTATTGTTTTCCTCCTTTTTAGGCATCAACAGTTTTAAGAATATTATGGTCTAGTCTCAGAGTACCTTATTAAAGACAGTAATTCTCAGAATTGAGAGTTTGTCATTGGCTACCTTAAGATTTTTAACTTTTCTGAATTCACTTTTTTAAAAATTAACAGACATTTTTGTGCTTAGGGCAGTTTTAAGTTTATAGAAAAATTGAACAGAAATGAGAGTTCCCATGCACTCCCTCACCCCCAAACAGTTTCGCCTATTATTAACACTTTGCATAAATGGTGAACCACTATTGATACATTATTATTTTACATTAGAGTTCACTCTTTGTGTGCAATTCATGGGTTTTGAAAAATGCATAATGTCACGTTTCCACCATTATAGTATCAGGCAGAATAGTTTCATTGCTCTAAAATTCCTCTAAGCTCTACATATTCATCCCTACTCCCCATCCTTTAACCCCTGCAACCACTGATCTTTTTACTATCTCTGTAGTTCTACCTTTTCTAGAATGTTATACAGTTGAAATCATATAGTACATAGCCTTTTCAGACTGGCTTTTTTTCACTTGGTAATATTCATTTAAGATACTTCCATGTCTTTCTGTGGGTTGGTAGCTTATTTCTTTTTAGCATTGGATAATATTTTTTGTATGAATGTACCACAGTTCATGTACCAATTCACCTACTGAAGGACATCTTGGTTTTGGCAATTATGAATTAAACTCTTAATAAGCATTAATGTGCAGGTTTTTGTGTGGACATAGTTTTCACCATATTTGGGTAAATACCTAGGAATGTGGTTGCTGAATTATTTAGTATATGTTTAGCTTTGTAAGAAACTGTCAAGACTGTCTTCTAATGTGGCTGTATCATTTTGCATTCCCACCAATAATGAATGAGAATTCCTGTTGTTCACATCCTTGCCAGCATTTGGCATTGTCAGTGTTTTGGATTTTATGCATTCTAATGGGCACGTAGTAGTATATTGTTTTAATTTGCAATTTCTAATGACAAATGGTTTGAGCATCTT
The DNA here is from genome assembly GCF_000001405.40 of Homo sapiens. Taxonomy (NCBI): domain Eukaryota; kingdom Metazoa; phylum Chordata; class Mammalia; order Primates; family Hominidae; genus Homo; species Homo sapiens. The sequence continues at coordinate 84,656,550 of NC_000002.12, forward strand.
TTCATATGTTTGTTTGCTATCTATGTATCGTATTTCATGAGGTGCCTATTAAGGAAGGTCTTTGGCCCATTTTGAAATTGGGTTGTTTGTTTTCTTATTGTTGAATTTTAAGAGTTCTTTATATATTTTGAATTCAATTCTTTATCAGATTATATCTTTTGCAAATATTTTCTCCTAGTCTATGGCTTGTCTTTTTATTTTCTTAACAATACTCCGGTTTCTCTTCAGATTGTATAAATATTTCATCTTCTATTCTCTTAACAGTGTGTTTCACAGAGTAGAAGTTAATTTTAATGAAATTCAACTTACCAGTTTTTTCCCTCATGGATGGTGCCTTTGGTGTCATACCTAAAAAGTCATCACCAAGCCCAAAGTCATGTAGATTTTCTCCTGTTATCTTCTAAAAACTGTATATTTTTTGCTTTACATTTATAATCCATTTTCAGTTAATTTTTAGGAAGGGTATAAGGTCTGTGTCTAGATTTGTTTTTTTGCATGTGTATATCCAGTTGTTCCAGCACCATTTTTTGAAAAGACTGTCCTTTCTCCATCAGATTGCCTTTGCTTTTTCGTTAAAAATCAATTGACTGTACTTATGCAGGTCTATTTCTGTGCTCTCCATTCTGTTCCATTGATCTACTTGTCCATTCTTTCAACAATAACCCACTGTCTTGATTACTGCAGCTGTATAGTAAGTCTTGAAGTTGGGTAGTGTCAGTTTTTCAACTTTGTTCTTTTTTGTTGTGTTGGTTATTCTGGGTTTTTTGCCTTTCCATATAAACTTTAGAATCAGTTTGTCAATTAATCCACAAAGTAACTTGCTGGAATTTTAACTGAGATTGTGTTGAATTTATAGATAACATCAGAGAAATTGACATCTTAAGACTATTTAGTCTTCCTATCCATGAATGTGGTATTTCTCTCCATTTATTTAGTAGTTCTTTAGCTTCTTTCATCAGAGTATTATAGCTTGTCTTATATAGATCTAGTACATATTTATAGTTAATTTATTTTGGCACTAATGTAAATTGTGTTATATTTTTAATTTCAAATTCCAATTGCTCCTTGCTGGTGTATAACAAAATGATTGACTTGTATATGTTAACCTCATATCCTGCAACTTTGCTATAATTACCTATGAGTTCCAGTTTTATTTGTTTTGTTTTGTCAATTTAGGTAGATTTTCTACATAGACAATTATGTTATTTGTAAACAAAGACAGTTTTACTTCTTCCTTCCCAATCTGTATACCTTTTATTTCCTTTTATTGTCCTATTGCATTAGCTAAGACTTCAGGACAAAGTTGAATAAGAGTAGTGAGAGGGGCTGAATTCACTTTTAAATATTTGGAAATTATTTTTCTACCTTACATAGATACTAAAATGTTGTCTTCTGTGTTTCTTCTTTTTCATTGTTAATAATTGTGAAAGAACATCAGTATAGAAGAGTGCATGAAATATGTATTGACAGCTTAAGAAATAATTATGAAATTAACACCTCTGAACCCATTGCCAGACCAAGAAATAGAACACCATCAACTACCCATAATTTCCCCCATGTATCCCTTCCCAGTCATAAAAGGTTTCCTTAAAATTTAATTTGTTTAATATGTTGTGATAGTTATAGCCTTTGGTCTAAAGGTCACTGAATATATAGAAATATCCAGATTTTAACCAACCTAATTCTAAACTTAATTATATATTTATCAGGTCTTGCTAAACTATCATTTGTTTCATTTTCAGCTGACTGAGGAAACCCAAGAATATATATTGAATCTTTTCCAACGTTATGTTGATGAAGGTTTACATTTTATCAATAAAAAGTGCAGCCAAGCAATTCCACAAGTGGACATCAGCAAAGTTACTACACTCTGTTGCTTATTGGAGTCCTTGATACTTGGGAAAGATGGAGTTAACTTGGCAATGGTATGAAGAGTTTTCTTATTGCTATGAAGCTAGAAAAATTAGATTATTGTATAAGTTCTTTGCAAAGAAATGACTCCATTCTAAAATATAACCATTTGATTTTTAAGTTAATTTTTCAGGGGACTAATAGCTATGATGTCATTCTTAGAATCTCAAAGCTACAAGTAATGTTAGCATGTATAGTTTATTCCTCTACTCAGTTTTGAATTCTCTTACAGTCTACAACATATTCCCAATACAAGATATTCTCAATCTGCTTACATACCCTCATGCAGGCATTTAAAAAGTTATAATAATCAGTTGAAAGACAAACTTGGACTTTTTTTCCCTACATATTCCTTCTCATTCATTTTCTCATCAGTGGTTATAATGTATAACTATAAGAAAACACTACTCTGTGAACCATTGAGTGAAGTATAAGAAATATACACTGTGCCCATTTAAAAATGTGTGAGTCTAAATGAAAGAAAAATATCTTTACACTTTGCAGCTTAGGATTCTTTTTATGTTCATATATAAAATATTAAGTCTGTTTCTCTTTATTCTTTCAGGAACAAACAAAATTGAACACTATACTATGTCAGACTTTTGTATTCTGTTATTTGTGGTCTTTGGGTGGAAACCTAACTGAAAACTACTATGATTCTTTTGATACATTTATTAGAACACAATTTGATGATAATCCTGATGCCAGGGTAAGAACCAAATAAATTATATTTTAACATAATAATTCTGAATTATTTAAATTTTAAGATTAAAACTTTAAAAGCTTTAGTTCTATTGAAAATATAACTTATACACTAAACTGGTTCCTAAAATTATTCATGTTTTTCCAACCATAGACAACATTTATCATATTTTTTAAGTTAGGAGCCCTCTCCCAGTCATATTAAAAAAGTAAGATGTATAAGTATATAAAAACTCTCTACTGTAAACAAATATTGAATTCTAGTTAGTAAATTTATTTTTCACAGTGTGAAAGTAACAGTGTGATTGGTTAGCTATCCTGAATTGCTGGAATGTACTTGCTATATATTCTAAGATTGACTAAATAAGTAAATATGTTGAGAATAATGGCAATGAATTTCTCACTGTTAGAGAAGGGATTTACAAATATGTATGGAAGGAGAAAAATTAGAATGCACTCTGTTTTATTGGATTGGTATTGCAGGTCTCAGTACTCATTGATATTCAAAATGTTAACATACATGTAAATGTATGAAAATTGCCTGGGCACATGGCTTACACCTGTAATCCCAGCATTTTGGGAGGCTAGGCAAGAGGGTCACTTGAGGCCAGGAGTTTGAGACCAGCCTGTGCAATATAGCAAGACTCTGTCTCTACAAAAAATTTTTTTAGTATCCAAGCTCAATATTGCACACCTGTAGTTCTAGCTACGTAGGAGGCTGAGGCAAGAGGATTTCTTGAGCCCAGGAATTTCAGGCTGCACTGAGCTATGATCTTACCACTGCACTCTGGCCTGGGCAACAGAGCAAGACTGTGTCTTTAAATAAATAAGTAAATGTATGAAAATTGATGTGTGTATACATACATGTAAATTTTCCAGTCCATGTGCTGAAAAGAACTAGACACAAAGACACCTTGATAGCAGCAATGAGCATATCTAGTATACTTATTTTTAAATACTATTGTCATCCTCCACTAAAGAAAATGAGAAATTCTTAGTAAAATAGTTGATTTCAAGACTGGATCAGGGAAAATACAAAACAACTATTTTATGTTGCATAGTAAAAAAGTGCTCAAAGAATGATGTGACATGTCAAAAGAACACAGAAGGCAGTTTGAAGAGACTTCCACTGGTCAAAAATGGATAGATTTAAGCATCAAAATCAATAATCATAGTATAGGATCATAACCCTTTTAGTAAAATAAAAATCTGTAAGTCCATACTCATAATAAAAATATGCATGACTATGTAAATAAGTAGAGAAGAAAGAAAAACTCTTTCTTATGGCTAATACCAACTAACCTATGCAGAAGGAATAATGGATAAAGTTAGAAAGTCATCACCTTGCAACCATTATTGTAATAATTGATTTAGGCAGGAATCATCAATGAATACTAAAATTAGTGGGTAGAGGTTTCATGATAAGCAGTATTTACATAGTTTCTAAGTATTTACTTAAAAAAAAAACTTGCAAACAGCACCTTAGCTACATGATCAATTTAATTTAACTAGCATCAAGGCAAACCTGTGCCTGCTTCCTGATATGGGGCACTGTGAAAGATATAATCTTGCTTCTGTGATATTTATTTCAAAAATGTATAACTCGATTCTAATCATGAGGTTACACCTGGAAAACCCAAACCAATGAATATTTTATAAAATAAACTGGACTATATTCTTCAAATATATCTATGTCATAAGAGACAAAGTTGAGAGACTTCTCTGAATAAAACAAGACTAAAGAGAGATAATTAAATGCAATGTATGATCCTGGAATGGATCTTAGACTTGGAAAAATATAGCTATAAATTATATTATTGGAAAAAATGGCAATATTTGAATATAGAATGTAAATTAAATAATAATATGTCAGTATTCAATAAATTTTATCACCTAAGTATTTTTTTAATATGTCCTTTTGTCTTCATCCTTGCTGCCTTTGGATAACCCAGGTTCTTATCATTTCTTTCATGGGCTATTAAAATAGCCTATTTATTGTTCCTTTTGCTAGAGTCATATCTAATTCACCCTCTCTACTAGTAATCTTAAAATTAAAGGTCACAGTCTATTAACTGGTCATGAAATCAAGTGAAAGGGTCACAACCCAGTTTTTAAAAAGGAAATATCCTCTATTACAACTTTTAGTAAACACTATATTGGAGAGTCTAGCCAGTGCAATAAGGCAAGAAAAAGAAATAAGACATACAAACTTTGGAAAGGAAGAAGTAAAATAGTCATTATTTGCAGAAAAAAATGACTGAATATGTAGAAATACCTAAAAAATCTACAAACAAATGATTACAATTAATAAGTACATTAGTAAGGCCCTTGGATATAAGGTCCACAAAGAGTTAACAAATGAAAATTTGAAAGAATACCATTTATATAAGCAACAAAATACCAACTACTTAGGAATAAAAGTAATGAATGATGTGAAAGGCCTCTACTGAAAATTACAAAACATTGTTGAGAGAAATTTTAAAACATCTGTATAAATGGAGAGATATACTATGTTCATGGATTGAGATACTATTATTAAGTTATCAGTTCTTTCCAAAATATTTTGAAGATTTTAGGCAACTTCAATCCCAAAATCCCAACAGATTTTTTCCATGAAATCTGACAATCTCATTCTAAAATTTATATAAAAATGTAAAAGATCTATAACTGAGATAATCTTGAAGGAACACACATTTGGAGGACTTAACTACATGACTTGAATAATTCAAGACAATAAAACAGCAGCAATTCAGAGTGTGGCATTGGTGAAAGGATATCAAATAGACAAACTAGTATTGACAAAGAAGTGGAAGAAAGAACCCTTCTGAGGTGCTGTACATGTTCTATATTTTAATCTAGGGTGGTTATATTGATATTTACATATATGAAACTCTCTAAAATGGACTCTTAAAATTTGACAAAAAAGGTTATGTTATACCTTGAGGTTTAAAAAAAAAATAGAACAGAAAGTAGAGTGAATTGAGGAGGTTCCAAGATGGCCAAATAGGAACAGCTCCAGTCTACAGCTCCCAGCATGAGCAATGCAGAAGATGGTTGATTTCTGCATTTCCAACTGAGGTACCAGGTTCATCTCACTGGGGCTTGTCGGACAGTGGCTGCACCCCATGGAGCAGGGTGGGGCATCACCTCACCCAGGAAGCACAAGGGGTTGGGTAATTCCCTTTCCTAGCCAAGGGAAGCCGTGACAGGCAGTACCTGGAAAATCGGGACACTCCCACCCTAATACTGTGCTTTTCCAACGGTCTTAGAAAACGGCACACCAGGAGATTATATCCTGCACATGGCTCAGAGGGTCCCACGCCCACAGATCCTCACTCACTGCTAGCACAGCAGTCTGAGATCGAACTGCAAGGCAGCAGCAAGGCTGGGGGAGGGGTGCCCACCATTGCTGAGGCTTGAGTAGGTAAACAAAGTGGCCAGAAAGCTCAAACTGGGTGGAGCCCACCACAGCTCAAGGAGGCCTACCTGCCTCTGTAGACTCCACCTCTGGGGGCAGGGCATAGCTGAACAAAAGGCAGCAGAAACTTCTGCAGACTTAAACGTCCCTGTCTGACAGCTTTGAAGAGAGTAGTGGTTCTCCCAGCATGGAGTTTTGAGATCTGACAGCAGACAGACTGCTTCCTTAAGTGGGTCCTTGAACCCTGAATAGCCTAACTGGGAGATATCTCCCAGTAGGGGCCGACTGACAGCTCATACAGCTGGGTGCCCCTCTGAGACAAAGCTTCCAGAGGAAGGATCAGGCAGCAATATTTGCTGTTCTGCAGCCTCTGCTGGTGATACCCAGGCAAACAGGGTCTGGAGTGGACCTCCAGCAAATTCCAACAGACCTTCGGCTGAGGGTCCTGACTGTTAGAAGGAAAACTAACAAACAGAAAGGACATCCACACCAAAACCCCATCTGTACGACACCATCATCAAAGACCAAAGGTAGATAAAACCACAAAGATGGGGAGAAACCAGAGCAGAAAAGCTGAAAATTCTAAAAATCAGAGCACCTCTTCTCCTCCAAAGGAACACAGCTCCTCGCCAGCAATGGAAGAAATCTGGATGGAGAATGACTTTGACGAGTTGAGAGAAGAAGGCCTCAGACGATCAGTAATAACAAACTCCTCCGAGCTAAAGGAGGATGTTCAAACCCATCACAAAGAATCTAAAAACCTTGACAAAAAAGATTAGACAAATGACTGACTAGAATAAACAGCATGAAGAAGACCTTAAATGACCTGATGGAGCTGAAAACCATGGCACGAGAACTACGTGACACATGCACAAGCTTCAGCAGCCGATTCTATCAATTGGAAGAAAGGGTATCAGAGATTGAAGATCAAATGAATGAAATGAAGTGAGAAGAGAAGTTTAGAGAAAAAAGAGTAAAAAGAAATGAACAAAGCCTCCAAGATATATGGGACTGTGTGAAAAGACCAAATCTACGTCTGATTGGTGTACCTGAAAGTGACGGGGAGAATGGAACCAAGTTGGAAAACACTCTGCAGGATATTATCCAGGAGAACTTCCCCAACCTAGCAAGACAGGCCAACATTCAGATTCAGGAAATACAGAGAACGCCACAAAGATACTCCTTGTGAAGAGCAACTCCAAGACACACAATTGTCAGATTCACCAAAGTTAAAATAAAGGAAAAAATATTAAGGGCAGCTAGAGAGAAAGGTCGGGTTACCCACAAAGGGAAGCCCATCAGACTAACAGCTGATCTCTCATCAGAAACTCTAAAAGCCAAAAGAGAGTGGTGGCCAATATTCAACATTCTTAAAGAAAGCAATTTTCAACCCAGAATTTCATATCCAGCCAAACTGAGCTTCATAAGTGAAAGAGAAATAAAAATCCTTTACAGACAAGCAAATACTGAGAGATTTTGTCACCACCAGGCCAGCCTTGCAAGAGCTCCTGAAGGAAGCACTAAACATGGAAAGGAATAACCGGTACCAGCCACTGCAAAAACATGCCAAATAGTAAACATCATCGAGGCTAGGAAGAAACTGCATCAACTAACGAGCAAAATAACCAGCTAACATCATAATGACAGGGTCAAATTCACACATAACAATATTAACGTTAAATGTAAATGGGCTAAATGCTCCAATTAAAAGACACAGACTGGCAAATTGGATAAAGAGTCAAGACCCATCGGTGTGCTGTATTCAGGAGACCCATCTCACGTGCAAAGACACACATAGGCTCAAAATAAAGAGATGCAGGAAGATCTACCAAGCAAATAGAAAACAAAAAAAAAGCAGGGGTTGCAATCTTAGTCTCTGATAAAACAGACTTTAAACCAACAAAGATCAAAAGAGACAAAGAAGCCCATTACATAATAGTAAAGGGATCAATTCAACAAGAAGAGCTAACTATCCTAAATATATGCACCCAATACAGGAGCACCCAGATTCATAAAGCAAGTCCTTAGAGACCTACAAAGAGACTTAGACTCCCACACAATAATAATGGGAGATTTTAACACCCCACTGTCAACATTAAACAGATCAACAAGATAGAAAGTTAACAAGGATATCCAGGAATTGAACTCAGCTCTGCACCAAGCAGACCTAATAGACATCTACAGAACTCTCCACCCCAAATCAACAGAATATACATTCTTCTCAGCACCACATCGCACTTATTCCAAAATTGGCCACATAGGTGGAAGTAAAGCACTCCTCAACAAATGTAAAAGAACAGAAATTGTAACAAACTGTCTCTCAGACCACGGTGCAATCAAACTAGAGCTCAGGATTAAGAAACTCACTCAAGACCGCTCAACTACATGGAAACTGAACAACCTGCTCCTGAATGACTACTGGGTACATAATGAAATGAAGGCAGAAGTAAAGATGTTCTTTGAAACCAATGAGAACAAAGACACAACATACCAGAATCTCTGGGACACATTTAAAGCAGTGTGTAGAGGGAAATTTATAGCACTAAATGCCCACAAGAGAAAGCAGGAAAGATCTAAAATTGACACCCTAGCATCACAATTAAAAGAACTAGAGAAGCAAGAGCAAACACATTCAAAAGCTAGCAGAAGGCAAGAAATAACTAAGATCAGAGCAGAACTGAAGGAGAGAGAGACACAAAAAACCCTTCAAAAAAATCAATGAATCCAGGAGCTGGTTTTTTTAAAAGATCAACAAAATTGATAGACCACTAGCAAGACTAATAAAGAAGGAAAGAGAGAAGAATCAAATAGATGCAATAAAAAATGATAAAGTGGATATCACCACCAATCCCACAGAAATACAAACTACGATCAGAGAATACTATAAACACCTCTACACAAATAAACTAGAAGATCTAGAAGAAATGGATAAATTCCTGGACACATACACCCTCCCAAGACTAAACCAGGAAGAAGTTGAATCCCTGAATAGACCAAAAACAGGCTCTGAAATTGAGGCAATAATTAATAGCCTACCAACGAAAAAAAGTCCAGGACCAGACGGATTCACAGCTGAATTCTACCAGAGCTACAAAGAGGAGCTGGTACCATTCCTTCTGAAACTATTCCAATCAATAGAAAAAGAGGGAATCCTCCCTAACTCATTTTATAAAGCCAGCATCATCCTGACACCAAAGCCTGGCAGAGACACACACAAAAAAAGAGAATTTTAGACCAATATCCCTGATGAACACTGATGCAAAAATCCTCAATAAAATGCTGGCAAACCGAATCCAGCAGCACATCAAAAAGCTTATCCACCACGATCAAGTGGGCTTCATCCCTGGGATGCACGGCTGGTTCAGCATACACAAATCAATAAACGTAATGCATCATATAAACAGAACCAGTGACAAAAACCACATGATTATCTCAATAGATGCAGAAAAGGCCTTCAACGAAATTCAACAGCTCTTCATGCTAAAAACTCTCAATAAACTAGATATTGATGAGCTGTATCTCAAAATAGTAACAGCTATTTATGACAAACCCACAGCCAATATCATATCAAAGGGGCAGAAACTGGAAGCATTCCCTTTGAAAACTGGCACAAGACAGGGTTGCCCTCTCTCACCACTCCTATTCAACATAGTGTTGGAAGTTCTGGCCAGGGCAATCAGTCAGGAGAAAGAAATAAAGGGTATTCAATTAGGAAAAGAGGAAGTCAAATTGTCCCTGTTTGCAGATGACATGATTGTATATTTAGAAAATCCCATCGTCTCAGCCCAAAATCTGAAGAAGCTGATAAGCAACTTCAGCAAAGTCTCAGGATACAAAATCAATGTGCTAAAATCACAAGCATTCCTATACACCAATAAGAGACAAACAGAGAGCCAAATCATGCGTGAGCTCCCATTCACAATTGCTTCAAAGAGAATAAAATACCTAGGAATCCAACTTACAAGGAATGTGAAGGACCTCTTCAAGGAGAACTACAAATCACTGCTCAACAAAATAAAAGATGACACAAATGGAAGAACATTCCATGCTCATGGATAGGAATAATCAATATTGTGAAAATGGCCATACTGCCCAAGGTAATTTATAGATTCAATGCCATCCCCATCAAGCTACCAATGACTTTCTTCACAGAAGTGGAAGAAACTACTTTAAAGTTCATATGGAACCAAAAAAGAGCCCACATTGCCAAGACAATCCTAAGCCAAAGGAACAAAGCTGGAGGCACCATGCTACCTGACTTCAAACTATACTACAAGGCTACAGTAACCAAAACAGCATGATACTGGTACCAAAACAGAGATATAGACCAACGGAACCGAACAGAGCCCTCAGAAATAATACCACACTTCTACAACCATCTGATCTTTGACAAACCTGAAAAACAAGAAATGGGGAAACAATTCCCTATTTAATAAATGGTGCTGGGAAAACTGGCTAGCCATATGTAGAAAGCTGAAATTGGATCCCTTCCTTACACCTTATACAAAAATTAATTTCAAGATGGATTAAAGACTTAAATGTTAGACCTAAAACCATAAAAACCCTAGAAGAAAACCTAGGCAATACCATTCAGGACATAGGCATGGGCAAGGACTTCATGTCTAAAACACCAAAAGCAATGGCAACAAAAGCCAAAATTGACAAATGGGATCTAATTAAACTAAAGAGCTTCTGCACAGCAAAAGAAACTACCATCAGTGTGAACAGGCAACCTACAGAATGGGAGAAAATTTTTACAATCTACCCATCTGACAAAGGGCTAATATCCAGAATCTATAAAAAACTTAAACAAATTTACAAGAAAAAAAATCAAACAACCACATCAAAAAGTGGGCGAAGGATGTGAACAGATACTTCTCAAAAGAAGACATTTATGCAGCCAACAGACACATGAAAAAATGGTCATCATCACTGGCCATCAGACAAATGCAAATCAAAACCACAATGAGATACCATCTCACACCAGTTAGAATGTCAATCAGGAAACAGCAGGTGCTGGAAAGGATGTGGAGAAATAGGAACACTTTTACACTGTTGGTGGGACTGTAAACTAGTTCAACCATTGTGGAAGACAGTGTGGCGATTCCTCAAGGATCTAGAACTAGAAATACCGTTTGACCCAGCCATCCCATTACTGGGTATATACCCAAAGATTATAAACTCTACTGCTATAAAGACACATGCACAAGTATGTTTATTGCGGCACTATTTACAATAGCAAAGACTTGGAACCAACCCAAATGTCCATCAATGATAGACTGGATTAAGAAAATGTGGCACATATACACCATGGAATATTATGCAGCCATAAAAAGGGATGAGTTCATGTCCTTTGTAGGGACATGGATGAAGCTAGAAACCATCATTCTGAGCAAACTATCGCAAGGACAGAAAACCAAACACCACATTGTTCTCATTCATAGGTGGGAATTGAACAATGAGAACACTTGGACACAGGGTGGGGAACATCACACACCACGGCCTGTCGTGGGGCGGGGGGAGGTGGGAGGGATAGCATTAGGAGAAATACCTAATGTAAGTGATGAGTTAACAGGTGCAGGGCACCAACATGGCACATGTATACATACGTAATAAACTTGCACGTTGTGCACATGTACCCTAGAACTTAAAGTATAATAATAAAAAAAAACTTTGATTCTGGATAACAATAAAAAAAGAAAGTAGAGTGAATTGCACATAGTAGAGGTAAATATTTTACATGTTTGTAGATACACATATGTATGTATTTACAGAGTCACAATGAAAAATGAATTTCTTACTAAAAGTCACTGTCAAATGACCTTGGAGCAATATTGCTCTGTACAGCTGCCAGGATGAAACTTCTGAAATGCAGTCTGATTATGTTACCTACCTGCTTAGAATCCCTCACTGGACTGTTGCTCTAAGATTTTTAATAAGTAAAGCTTTTGATAATTTGATCCATCTGTATTTCCAGCCTCATCTCACTGTATGCAGCGCTCTCATGCTTCCCAGCATACACCATATTTTCCATGGCATCAGACTTCTAATCCTGTTTTTTCAGTCTGAATCCTGAACCCCTTCTTTCCCACCCCATGCCATCCCTTTTTTGCCCATCTGACTCCAGCGTGTTCTTCAAGTCTGAGTTTTAGCATTACCACCCATGGAAGCCTTCCTGAATCTCTAGCCATCACCATAACTCCCCTGCAAGTAGAAATGAGCCATCCCTCTGTGTGTGTGTGTGTGTGTGTGTGTGTGTGTGTGTGTGTGTGTGTGTATGATTGTAATAAACTCCTTTAGAGCCCTTATTTCCCCATGGGTATTAACTGAAGTGCTTATGTCCCTCAGGGGGATTACCAGGTCATTGAAGACAGAGGCTGGGTCTCATTCAGCACTTGTCCTCAGCATCACAGACAGTATTTGGCATGGCGTAAGCCCTGTGAATGTTAAATTTAATTAAAAAGCTATACAATTCTGACATGGGTTTTAATATAATCGGTATAACAGATATTTCCATGCATTGTGTTGCATGATTTTGTTTAAATAACTAGTCTCAGATACCTAAATAACTATGTATCTACAAAGGAAAAAGAAATCCAAATCCAGTTAGGTTTTTTGACTGCCTTTTTTTCTATGTGAGTGTATCTACTACTGTGTGTCAATATTGCTTATTCCCTATTGAAAGTGGTGTTTAATTTTGTACTTTAGCTTCCCAATTCTGGTGATCTGTGGAGCATTCATATGGACTTTGACACCAAACGGCTGGATCCCTGGGAACGAATCATACCTACTTTCAAATACAACCGAGATGTTCCATTTTTTGAAATGCTTGTCCCCACAACTGACACAGTGCGCTATGGGTATCTAATGGAAAAACTACTGGCAGTCAAGCATTCCGTGTTGTTTACTGGAATAACTGGAGTGGGCAAGGTAGGAAACTTACATCAAACAAGAAGTCCTCTCCAAATGTGAGGGCATGATGGACTTAGAATCGTTAGCACCAGAAGTAATATTATTTCTGAGAGGAATTTTGTTTAGCGTTTAGCACTTTTGCAGGAAGAATATTATGCTGAATCTATATTGATCCTGGGAATTGTTCCAAAGTTTGCCAGTTTCTGAACACATTCTTGGAGTTGATACTATATGAATTAGAGGGCCAGCGTTTGTGTTTAGGGGCTTTTATGCTTTATCCCTTGGTATTTTGGGGGCTGCCACTGCACTGGTTGGATAAGAATTGGGCAGAGGAGTTTGCATGCCCAAAAGACAGTTGATAGAGATCAGCTCATCCCCTCTGGCCTGTTCACTTATACCTGATACAGCAGTGGTATCCTTGACTATTTGGGGTTTTTTGTTAAAGTAGAATGGAGGGAGGAATATTGATGATTTGGGCTTCTTGGTTTTGGAGAATCCACGTAAACAGGACTTCACCGTTTCCCCAAAAAAATATTCTAAAAGAAATTTGGATCTTTCTATGACTCTTTCCATATATTGGCTTGAAGAGTAGCCAAGATGGATTTTGGCATGAAACTAAATTAAAACTTTTTGCTAAGATAGTGCTGATTAGAATATCTCTTTGGTTCTGAAAAATATAACTAAATGGAATCTCCAGTAAGAGAAAGCAGACATTTCAATCTGGCTTTAACCTCTCTCTTTTTATCCTGTTTCTTACTCATTGTGCCAAACTATTACAGATATAACTGAAAGAGGTTATATTCATGTGACATTAATTAACTTATTTTAATTTAAGTCTGTGATTGCAAAAGGATTGCTAAATAAAATTCAAGAATCAGCTGGCTATGTCCCTGTTTATCTAAATTTTTCTGCTCAAACTTCATCTGCAAGGACACAAGAGATCATTGAGTCAAAACTGGAGAGAAAAAGAAAAAATATTCTAGGTAAGAATCATTATTTTAGTTTGTCCCACACAAATTATTCATTAAGCTAATAAATGACATAAATAGTGCATGTAATAAAATGACAGTTGGATATTTTATTTGCTTAATTTACTTGTAAAGGTGATTCTGTTCATGGCATTTTTATGCTAGCTATGTAGATGTCTTAGTGTTGCCAAGCAAGTCATTTATTTCTGTCATCACCTTCAACTCAGAACATCTTCAATCTCTGCCTCTCCATGGCTCTCCCTCTCTCCACCCAGGTTCTTCCAACATGCACTGATTTCCCCTTATTTAAAATAAACAAACCTCTGTATATTTGGCACATTGGGTTATCTGAATTCAGTGAGGAATAAGTATGAGACTGTTTTGGTTTTTTCTTCAGTCAGTACTTTCAGCCAGGTTTTGTGGAAGCTTCCCCACCCTCCCTTATTAACTGCTTAGATAACTAGCATAACTTTCTGGTCACCTTCAGACATTTGGAGTCTGGGCCAGTCTAAGCCTCAATCCAATACCCAATTCAAAGTTCCTCCTCTCATCTGTCCTAAGCCAGGTTTGTGGCTCCAGGTACGTATGGGAGGTGAAGGGGTCATGGGATGCTCTTCACTCCTCCCCACCCTCCCTGTAGGAGGCTGGAGTATGCAGGGAATGGGAGGAGAAGAAGGAAAGGACAAGTTTCTTCTCCCTAGCCAGTGTTCAGATGGGCCTCTCTGTGGCTGGTCCCTGCTTCTCTAGCTGGCACTGAGTGGTGTCTATGCTGTCTGTGAGGCAGGTTTTCAGGAGTGGGCTCTTGTAAGCAACTCCCAAAAGAGCTGTTTGCAAGCCAGGCATTGACCTTATCACTGGAAGTTTCCCTGAGGGTGGGAGTCAGGACCTCAGCCCTCACTCTCCAGCAGTCCATCTGCACCCTCTTGCAGCTGGGGCCCCACTTGCTCAGTCCACAGTCTCTGGGGTGGTGCACCAGCCAGGGCTCAGGCTTGGCTGCCTCCCACATTGCCCACCATCCAGCAGGCCCTGTCATGCCAAACAATGGTGCTGCCAGCTGCTTCACTGCCTTCTGTCTCTGTCCCCTCTCTCCTGCTTAGGTAGGCAAAGGGCAACAGATGCCAGTCTATTTTCTGGTGGGGGCCCCAAATTCTTACAAAGGTTTATCTTAGACCCCTTCCTTACCCCCCACCCCTTCCTGCTGCTTGGCTTCCAGGGGGCCACAGGATGGAGTGGAGCACTCAGTTTGCCTTGGAATCACCTCCTGTAGTAATCCCAACCACAAGGACATGGCTATTTGCCCATCGGGTTTCTCTTTCCTCTGCTATCACTCATTCCTTTTTCTAATGAGTGTGTATATTCATTTAAATGTGGCATTGTGCAGCCCCACTGCACTGGATTTCCCTTTGATGTGATCAGGATGCTTTTGAATATCTAATCTGGTTTCCCTGTGAGGGTACTGTGATGACATTTATGAAAGGAAACTTTGGCATTCTTCCTCTTCCTACTATGGAAAGAAAATGATGTTCCTCATTCATGCCTAAGCCACATGGTTGCTGAGGGCAGTGAGTGTGGCTGAGACAGAGAAAGGTTCACTCCTTGCTGGAGAGAGGCCACCATCTTGTGCCCTGACAGTGAGGATAAGGGGCCACCTGGCATGACAACGTGGACGTCTTGACCAGGACCACATCTTCCTGCAGGGGCCTGGGTGGGGCCAGAAGGAAGTCTCTCCTCCTCCAGGCAGGACTCAGAACTGAGCTCTTTATGACCTGTAGGATGTCATTGAGTCCAAAGTCATACCCTAGCTTTGTCTTACATTTTCTAAGGGAAAATCATAATTCTTAAATTAAATTCATTTTATTTCCCTAGGAGCACCGGGAAACAAACGAATTGTGATTTTTGTTGATGATTTAAACATGCCCAGACTGGATCGCTATGGCTCTCAGCCTCCGATTGAATTACTTCGGCAGTATCAAGATTTTGGGGGATTTTATGACAGAAACAAACTGTTTTGGAAAGAAATACAGGTTACTTTAGCTTTTAAATTACTTGGTGTGCTTAAATTTAAATGACAAGGAAATATGATGTATAGTTTGTGAGACTACCATAACAAAGTACCACAGATGGGGTGGCTTACACAACAGAAATTTATTTTCTCATAATTCTGAAGACTAGACGTCTAAGAACAAGGTGTCTGCAGGATTGGTTTCTTCTGAACACTCTTTCCTTATGTCTTTACATGGGCTTCTCTCTGTGTCTGTCTGTGTCCAAACCTCTTCTTATAAGGACACCTGTCATACTGGATTAGGGCTTACCCTAATGGCCTCATTTTAGCTTATCTCCTCTTTATTTGGACTATCTCCAAATACAGTCACATTCTGAGACCCTGAGTTAGGACTTCAACATATGATTTGGGGACAGGGGACACAATTCAGTCCATAACATGTGGCCTCAGTTTTTCCTCCATGTAATTCAGTGTATTCAGTCTATATTGAGTTTTTGCCATGCTTGGTTCAGGAGATCCATGAACAAGTGAAACAGTCCCTGCCTCCCAGAGAGCTTCAGAGGGTGGACAGACATTTCTAATGCAGAGTGGTGAGAGGGGAGAGACAGGAGGGATTCAGGGGTGGGGCTGGGTTGAGGATGGGAGAAGCCTCCCAGAAGTGATGGATTCTGAAGGCATGCATGCCAAAGCAGGGAAAGGGAGCGTTTTACACCCCAGAAGCAGGGAATGTAAAATACTACGGTGGTGTGAATTATGAGCACCAAACCAACAGGAGAGGCAGAGGTCACATCCCATGGTGCCGTGGGCCCATGAGGAGGAATCTGGATTTATCCTGTAAGTGCTGAGGAGCTGCTGAAGGAAATGTTATGGAAAGATCCCCTTGGCTGCAGGGGAGGGATGAGCTAACGAGGAGGCAAGACCAGAGGCAACTGCAGTAGCCTAGAGGACAAGAGATGAGGGTCGAGCCTCCTGTGCTAATGTGTGTGGTCAGAAAGGTTTAGAAGCCAGAAGGCAGATCAGCAGGACTGGTGGTGTGTTAGTCAGGGTTCTCTAGAGGGACAGAACTAATGGGATAGACATATATACATAAAAGGGAGTTTATTAAGTATTAACTCACATGATCCCGACGTCCCACAATAGGCTGTCTGCAGGCTGAGGAGCAAGGACAGCCAGTCCAACCTCCAAAACTGGAGAACTTGGAGTCCGATGTTCAAGGGCAGGAAGCATCCAGCATGGGAGAAAGATGTAGGCTGGGAGGAAGATGTAGTCTGGAAGGCTAGGCCACTCTCTTTTCACACTTTTCTGCCTCCTTATAGTCTAGCTGCATGGGCAGCTGATTAGATTGTGCCCACAATTAAGGGTTGGTTAAGGGTGATTCTGCCTTTCTCAGCCCACTGACTCAAAAGTTAGTTTCCTTTGGCAACACTCTCACAGACACACCCAGGATCAATACTTTGTATCCTTCAATCCAATCAAGTTGATATTCAGTATTAACCATCACAGGTGGGGTATAGAGTCAAGAGGGAGAAGGGGGAACCTAGGTTAACTGTCCCATTTCTGTTCTGGAGAAAATTTCTGTTCTGGAGAAACCAACACCCTTGACAAGAAAAGGGCGGGGGGCATGTTTCGTTTTGCTCACAATAAAAACAAATAATTGTACCAGGCACTATTCTAAGGATTTCCCACCTACTAGCACCCAACATCCCTACAAGATGGATAATGCTATCAGCCCTGTTTTATAGATCAAGAAATAGACCAAGAGTATGGAGTAATGTGACTGGTCCAAGGTCACACTACTGGCAAGTGGCAAAACTGGGATTAGAGCCCAGGCCATTTGGCTGCTGAATATGTGATTTCAGCTAAGATTCCTCCCTGCCCCCATTGCTAAGCTCCAGTTCCCTGGGAAATCCAGGTAGAGCACTTTCTGTCTATCAAAATGAGAGCTTAAACAAGGCATAAACATTCTTTGAAGTGAAAAAATAAGATGAGTGTAAGAGGCAGAGGGATAAATGGAGACTGAAGAGAGGGTCAGGCTGTGCAGAGGTGAAAACTGATGGGGTCACAGGTAGTAGGTCTCGAGAAAGGGGCCTTGGTCACCAACACAGGGAGCCCCGGATGCAAGATGAACGCATATTCAGTTCCTGGGAACTTTATCTTTATAAACAAAGCAGTCTTTTGCATATAAGGCTTTTTACTTTCCAAATAAGTTTATCTAACTTTATCTTCCCAACAACGCAGTGAGGAGAGAATATCACGTGCCCTTTGCAGGTTTAGAATTCCCCTGACTCAGTGCCATGGGGATGAGGGTGGGAAGGGAATGACTGCCAAACCTCCCACCAGGCCAGCGCTCAGTGGCTCCTCTCTGCCAAACAAATCACATGGAAATGCCTCTCCCTGGCACTCTGAGGCTCCCACATATGGCTGTGAATGGCTGCTCTGATCCGAGGGTCTTTTGCTGCTCCCTGCACATGCCCCACAGTCCCACTGAGGCATAAGGCTTGCTGTCTTCTGAAGGCACCCATATCCCCCACGGCATGCCTTTGTGATGGTGTCCTCTACCTGGAAGGGCCCTGCTCTCCAGCTCTTCCCTTATAATCTTCCTACTCCTTCAAGGCCCATCTCCAAATAGCCTTGCTCACAGGGCCTTTCCTTAAACCCCCATTTCCAGTGTGAGCTCCTCTTTCACCCTCATGGAGCACTGTGTGTCTTTATGGCCTTCACATTCTTTCTTGAATCAGAGCTGTTGATGTGCTCATCTTGTGTTGCATTCCTTCATGTTAGACTCTGAGCTCCTGACCTCCATCTCCCTCATTTTTATGGCCCCTGCTAAGCTTAATACCTTGTATATAGTAAGCCGTTGTTTATTGGAACTGATTCACGTAGAGACAGGGACTTGTCCACCTCAAGCCTTGGTGCTTTAGATCTGGGATCAAGAGTGCCTTCCTCTTGGTCTTCAGATTCTTCTTCCTACCAAAGGAATTGGCACACACTCTTCCCTTTGCCAGAAATGCACCTGCTTCCTTCACCCCTATGGCCTTGTCTTCTGCTACTATCACCTTCCAGCTCTCCACTGCAAGTGCCACTTCCTTGGCCAAATCTTCTCTGACTCACAGACTAAGTTAGGTTCCCCCAACAAGCATTGCCTCAACATTATATCCCTTTCCTTCAAAAAACTTACTGTGATTTATATTGCAATTTTGTTTTATTTTATTTTGAGGTAGGGTCTCATTCTGTCACTGAGGCTGGACTGCACTGGCACAATAGAGGCTCACTACAGCCTCAACCTCCCAGGCTCAAGCAATCCTCCCACCTCAGCCCCCCGAGTAGCTGGGACCACAGGCGCATGCCACCATGCCTGGCTAATTTTTTGAATTTTTAGTAGGGACTGGGTTTCGTCGTGTTGCCCAACCTGGTCTTGAACTCCTGGACTCAAGTGATCCGCCTGCCTCAGCCTCCCAAAGTTGCATATTTATTTTTAAGAACATTGATTTATGGTATTAACCTCTGTCCTTCCCACTAAAGCTGCTTTAAGACGGAATAGGTGGCATGTTCTCTCCATTAGACCCACAGGGCTTTTGCTTTCCATTTAACTCACAATAGCCCAGGCTATTTGTGGATTCCATGTTTGAAGATTCTCATGCTCACAAAATTTATTTGTAACTGCAAAATCAATATTCATAGCACTTATTCTGTCCTTTGCAGACATGTATGGAGTGGCAAAAAATTCTAGCTGTCCAACCCACAGTTCCCAGATGAGGTGGAACAAGACAACACTCTGCCTTCTTTTTCAGCTCCCATGCTGTAAACAACTGCCCTTTTCGCAGTCTACTTGAGACCACACTTTCACATTTTTGTGCCTTCTGTTGGTGATTTTGCTATGTAAAATGGCCCAGTTGTGGTGCTAAAGTGCTGTCTACTATTTCTAAACACAAAAAGGCTGTGATGTGCCTTACTGAAAAAAATGAATGAGTTTGATAAGCTTCATTTAGGCATGACTAATAGTGCTGTGGTCCATGAGTTCAATGTTAATGACTCAACAATATAAAATAAGGCATTTTAAACAGAAACACACATAAAACAAAGTTATAGATTGGTCGGTTGACAAAAATGTCATCACCAGAGACTCACAGAAACCTAACCCTAGGAGCAGTGGTTCAGTAACCACTAATCCAGTGCTCCAGCCAACTTTACTAAACTTAACTACCATGAATAATGAATATTTGTTGAAAGAATGGCTATGTTTTATCTTCAGATAGCAAAGTTTTTAGGATTACAGTTTCACATAAAGGTATTTATACAAAGTAGATGAATTAGCTGAGTGACCTTGAGCAACTTACTTAACCATCCAGGGCCTTGGTTTTTTAATCTATAAAATAGGTGTAATTATAGTGATCTCTTGGAGTGATTGTGAGAATTAAGTCATTTAACATGCACAAAAAAAAATGTAATGCAATGCTGGCATTTGGGAAGTCCTACCATTAGGATAGGCAGGTCTCATTTCATTCTCTGCTGAGTGATCCAAGTGGATTTCTCTGCACACAGGATGTAACAATCATATCGGCATGTGCACCTCCAGGCGGTGGCCGCAACCCTGTGACTCCCCGCTTCATCAGACACTTCAGCATGCTGTGCCTCCCAATGCCCTCAGAGCACAGTCTGAAACAGATTTTTCAGGTGAGTGTCGATTTTAACTTAGGCAACAGGAGGAAAAGAAAGCATATTTGTTCCAAGGCTCCCACAATCAAAGTGGTGTCTTGTGTTTCTAAGGAGTCCATCTATCCGTCTCTTTCCTGAGCAGGAAGCAGGTAAATATGGACTCCTGGAGAGTAGCTGGCAGGCATTTGCATCACTGCCTTCTGTATCTGTTGGTCTCAGAGAGTTCTAGAAATGCAGAAAGATTGTGCAGACAAAACCCCTACCTTTAGAGAAGGCTGCATCTTAGGTCCCTGCCACTTAGCACTCCACACACAGTTCTTGGCAGATCTCATCACTACCCAGCCCCTGCCTTTGTGCTCATCTTATCCCTAACCACCAGGTCTGCGTGTCCACTTGCCACCAAACTTGGCACCTGATATGCCAGAGAGCTCAAGCTCAACACACCTAAAACAGAACTCATCTCCTTGGCCACTCTCGCTAAGAATGATAACCTATCTTTTGTCCATCTGTACTCACTTCCCTAATAGGCTACTTCCCCATCCTTTATATGGGAAAAATAATAACACCTGCCCTACAAGTGCTCAACAGATTGAGAGGCATTATTTTGAGTAGAACAGTAAGAGAATATGAAGCAGCATGACTAAAGCCCCGCATAACCAACCTGCAAAGGTTGCTTAGAGAAGAGAGATTGTGAGCTGAGTCTTGGGGATGCTGGGAATTGACAGGGAGGAACAGATCTTAGGAACAGGAAGTGCTGGGTGAACGCAACTGCAGAGGCAGGAAATGGTAAGGTGGGCACAAAGGTAGAATAAGACAGTTCAGGTGACTGGCCTGGAGAAGCTGATGACAGTGACGTGGACAGTGATGCCCAAGGATGTGGCAATTAAGTGAACCTCCACATTCACCAGCATCAACTTCTTCCAGTAGAAGCCCTCTCTCAAGAGGGACAGACCCCGCATGTATACAACCTTCAGTACATGGAAAGGAATTTTCTGTTTGTATTGAAATAGCTTATTTCTGTGGGAAATTATTTTTAATAAATTGAAGTAGTTCCAATAAGCTGTTTAGGAGCTAATGCCAAAATGGTATATAAAAACTGCCACATTTTGAAAAACTTTCGGAGAGTGCTTTAGAAAATAGGAAAAGATGGGAGCTTCACTCCTATAATTAAGCACCAGAGTATAAAACAAGACATAACAGCAACCACCAAAGCCATTAGAAGGGTTGTCTAAGGCCTGCACACTTTTTTGAGAACTTTTATATTTATATTTTGAAGTTTGAAGTGAGTGATTCCCAACCACACCACAGATACACTGTGATGTGGTGAGTGGTGAGGGGTGTCTCAAGAAACTTATGCCTGGTTAGAAGAGACTGAATTTGCAATTTATTTCATTTTTTATTAAGTTAAAGCAAATTCAGGTTTATGACTACAAAAACATCGTTCTTCATCATTCCAAAATGGAATGATTTCCATTTTGTGGGTGGGAAGAATACAGTGAAGCCTGGGCCACTGGGAAAGACATGGTCCCCAACTCTCAACCTCCTGTGGGATTATCATGTCCATGGAAATGTGTCACCCATGGGAACATCATCCAGCAAGCACATCATAGCTAAAAACTGGCTGTGATAAGGCTGCTTCTTCCCACTGTAACTTTACAGGTTTACATTTAAAACCCACACTAGCTATAAGGGGAAATAGAAATGATATGTGGCAAAACTGAGAGATTCTGGGGGCTACCAGGTTGGACTGAATTCAGGTGGGAAAGAATATTGCTCTCATTACAACGGACAGGGTATTTTGCCTGTAGGAAAAAAGAACTTGCTCTAGGCCCATGGATCTCAAACTTCATTTTTCATCACATCCCACCTTAGCAGGACCCAAGAATTCATCACCCGTCTGTCCTGTCCTTCATTACTGTTTGGAGGAAAAAGAACTTGGATATAATCAAGAATTGAAGAAGAGCAAAATCAATAAAGTAAATTTATTTTTAGCAACATATATAAATAGATTTATTTCTACTGTATAAAAGAAGCCTATGAGTCTAAATAGTACATGTATATTATATATAATGTTTTCAATAACCTATTAGTGTTAACACGATTAGTCCTATCATTGTACTTTCTTTGATAGTCTGTTGCAAATTAGTTAAATAGTGCATATATGCAGGGAGCGCACCACTAATGCCCAGACACGATTTGCACCGTTGGAATATGTACATTATAAGTGACTCTTTCTCAGACCATAGTTCATACAAACCTGAATGTTTACTTACTGGAAATTTATGTGCCAAAATATGCATCACTATACATTCTAAGGGTAAACCGAACAGCACACAACCAGGTAAATTAAATTTAATGAAATTTCTAGTTAGAAAGCTATAACGCAGTAACTGAAAACCGTGATCAGCTCCATAAACTAGTGATAATGTGCTTATGCCAAAGAATCCTCCCAAAACTAAGAAACCTGGCTGCATCTTGCGTGCATGTTCTTAGTAAGAGTTTTGCAAAGTTGCCAAACAGATCATGTAAGCCAGATCCTTAAGTAGAATACTAGGCTGTGGTCCTCAGTAAATTCTATAATGATACGCTAATTTTAATGTATGGATACCAGTTTAGTAGCCTTTAATTCATTCATTAAACAAATATTTGTTGAGCACCTTCCATACGCCTGATATTGGTGTATCATCCCTGTCCTCATGGATCTTCTTCCATGGACACAGATAATGAAGAGATGAATGAGATATCTAGATATAGACACACAGTTACTCATGTATATGTTAGAAACTATTTGTATTTGTGTCATGGAGAACAGAAGGCTGGAGCTTTTTACATACATATAACATATATATAAATAAAATTATCAGCTTGTCTATTCTCCATCATACACATACAAATGGACAGATTTTCATCAAATTTAAAGATTGGGTTTGAGATGGTCCTACATAAAATACAGACCATGTGGAGTATGTTAAACTCATGTTGGGGTCCCAGGAGGGGATACCTAAAGAGGTCATCCTCACAAGTTAAAGCAAATGTTAAACAGGAGACCCACTGAAAACAAATACTCAGGTTTATTTCAAAAGATCTCATATATGACACCAAATCTGAAGTCACAACTTCAGATTAGACTAACTTGCAACCATTGATATGCATTCTCGTGGCTTCTCCCATTAGTTACTCCAGGGTTAATGGTAATAAGAATTTATCTATTTAAAAAACAATAATGATTTTTCCAAGCACTTGCGGGTCAAGGACTAGCTAATAAATACACATGTTCAAGTTGTGATGTTATGGATGAGAAGATCAAAGAGACTGATGGGAGGACTTGTTTTAGACTGAGTGGTCAGGAAAGGCCTCTCTGGAGAGACGGCATGTAACCTAAAACATGAAGGATGAAAGGGCACCTGCCAAGCAGAGAGGGCTGGGCACAGGAAGAGGGGAGCAGCAGTGCAGGGGCCTGAGGTGGGAAGGAGTGTGGGTGTTCAGACTAGTGTGGCGGGGACATGGGGAGCAATGGAAGGGAGGGGTGAAGTGAGGATGCTGGGGGAAGGGTGGACCAGCAGGGAGACCAGAATGGAAATGGAGAGGCCAGAGTGAAGGAGAGAGAGGAGAAGTCCAGATAAAAAAGAGTAGGGGCCAGGATGGGGTGATGTCCGGGGAAACAGAGGGAAGCAAACAGATCCAAGAAATGTGTTCAAGATTGATTTTGCAGGACAGAAAATGGGAGGTGTATAAAGAGACTTCCAAGCTCCTGATCTAAGCTTAGGAGGGAATGGCCAGCTACTGAGATGGGGAAGCTGAAGTGTGAGGGAGTTCACCATTGCAAGTAAGTCGCATTTAAAATATACATGAAGATGAAAGTCTATGAGAGTGGTGGTCATTCATCCATAAAAGTGAGAGAGAGGGTTTCTGTTCATTTCCAGGTGGGTTTGTGCCCTTCGTGATGACCCCTTGGACTCACCTCAAGCAGAGGTCTAAATTACTTGAGAGTGTGTTCATGTAAATTCACTAGTCAGATATGAATGCCACTCAGGCATCACAAAACAATCACAGAAGACAGGAGTGAGCGCATTCTCAAGAATGTTTTCTGAAATGAGCAGAAGAGCTTTGATACCAGAAGACTTTGTGTTGGAATTTGGCTTTCTATTATTAGAAAACGTTATCATCCGGAGTATTTAAAAGATAGATATTTGGTTTAAAATAAATCTAATCCTCTCATATTATGTTTCTGGTTCTAGGCCATCTTAAATGGTTTCCTGAGTGACTTTCCACCAGCTGTAAAGCAAACTGCATCAAGCATTGTAGAAGCCTCAGTTGAGATTTATAACAAAATGAGTGTTGACCTCCTGCCAACACCCGCCAAGTCCCATTATGTCTTTAACTTGAGGGACTTATCCAAATGTGTGCAAGGTAGTGTACTGAACCCTCGTTTTCTGATCTGCACCCTCCCTACTTTTCCATTGGCCCCCAAATATCTCAGTAACATTGTATGTATGCAGGTGTTGGTGACTCACCCAGAAATCCCATCACCTGTTCCTATTCAGGCTGAGTGCTTCACAACTATTTCACATGGCCAACACTGCCTCCCATTTCTCACTCCCAGCTGATTACTTGTCTTTCACTGAAAAAAAAAAAAAAATAGAAGCAGTTGGACCAGAGCTGCCTCATCTTCTAAATCTCCCAGACAACTTGCATCTTCCTTCCCTGGGCTGAGCTCCCCCTCCATCTGTCAGTGTCAATGCTCCTTCTAATACCGAACCCAGTCCCCTCCTGTCTACTCAAGGATTTTGCTATCATAATTCCCACTTCTCATCTTCAAAGTTTCTTTTTTTATTGGATCATGCCTAATGGCATAAAAAGCCACTATCATACCTCCCATCTTAAAAAAAAATAATTTTCTTTAAGACCCATATCCCCTGATGGTACCCCTCCCATTTCTCTGCTCTTTCTAGAAAGACCTCTTAAAGAATGGTCTCTCCTCCCTGTCTCACTTACTCCCTCAAGTTCTCCCTTTACTATACGTCAATCAAAGTTGTGATACCCAACACTGTGCTCAACTGCTCTACCTGAGTCCCATCTCCATCTGCTCAGATCCACTGGTCAGCTCTCAGCGGCACCTTAACTTACAGCAATGTCCACGCAACTTTCCCCTCCCCGCCTTCTCCAGTGGTCCAGGGCAGGCTCTCCTGGGGTCCCCCCTCACTGCCTGCTGTCACTCAGTCTGTTTTGATAGCTGCTCCTCTTCTTCCCTACCTCAAAATGTTGGGGCCGCAGGGCTCGGTCTTTAGATCTACGCACATATTCCCTCAGTAATTCTGGTCAATTCTACATCATCAAGTGCCATCTACTCAGAGATGGCACTGGAGTGCCTGCCTCTAGCTCCCACCCCTACTCTAAGAGTCTGACTTTCATATCCAGCTTCCTTCTCAGTGTGCACCCTCAGGCATCCAGCTGGCCTGCTAAACTTGGCATGTCTAAATGGAACTCTTGCTTTTCCCCTCCACCTTGGCCATGCATACCCCGGCCCCAGAGGAGACTACCATTAGTTGCTCTGGCTAGGAACCTTGAAAACCTCTATGCAATCCACAAATAGTCCTGACAGCTTTATTTTCAGAATATATCCCGAATCTAACCACTCCTCACCACTCCATCCACTACCCTTCTAACCTCCTCTCTAATCTCCTGCTTCTGATTATCCGTTTACCCTGTTCAAAGAGACCCAGCTCTGCCCTCTGCACAGCAGCCAAGCATGGGCCCTGTTGAGACCCTCCTGAGGCTGCTTCTAGCACCTGCCTGTGTTGAGTCTCTGTGTGATCTGGATCCGGGCTCCCTCTCCCTTTCATTGCCTACCACTTTCCTCCTTGCTACTGCCACCTCCTTGCCATTCCTGAAATCGGGCCTGCCCAGGGACCGCTGTACATTGCTTGCAATGCTCTGACACCAGATAGCCACATAAGCTCACTTTCCCTGCTCAAATGTCACCTTCTCAGCAAAACTTCCCATGTCCCTTCATAGCTCCTATTACCTGTAATCATATCGCACATATTTCTCTGCATATATGTGTGTTCATGTATCTGTCTCTCCCATTAGGACATCAGCTCCCCAAGGGCTGTATGCTTAGTTCACCACTGTATCCCAGTGCCTAATCGGGCCTGGCACTGAATGAATGAATGTCTAGATGAATAAACAAGTCTCCCCTGATTTTGTATACAAGGACACTAACTCTTAGTTGCTCCATAATCTGCTTCGTTCCCTGACTCCCCATCCAGTGCCCTTTGTTCTACACCACTCTTATTTTTTTTTTTTTTTTTTTTTTTTTTTGAGATAGAGTTTCACTCTTGTTGCCCAGGCTGGAGTGCAGTGGCGTGATCTCGGCTCACTGCAACCTCCGCCTCCTGGGTTCAAGCGATTCTGTAGCCTCAGCCTCCCAAAAAGCTTGGATTACAGGTGCACACCACCATGCCCAGCTAATTTTTGTATTTTTAGTAAAGACCGGGTTTCGCCATGTTGGTCAGGCTGGTTTTGAACTCCTGACCTCAGGTGATCCACCTGCCTCGGCCTCCCAAAGTGCTGGGATTACAGGTGTGAGCCACTGCGCCCGGCCAATATTTTTTTTTCTCTAAAAAGATTCTAACTAACATGTATAAGTTTGTTTTTAATATCTGCAAAGTAGCCAAAGTAGAAGCTGTGGAGTGCTTTCATGTGAAGCAATGACTGGCCTCTTTGAAAGCCAGCTCTCTTTCCTGTCTTCATCACAATCTAAGTCATTACCTGTTGTGCATTAACAAGTCTGGGAATGAACTGGGAGATGCTGGCCCATGGCAGGAGCTTAGGCATTAAGAACCCTGCAGACCCCTCCTGCTTCTTCCTAATGCACAGTTCTCACACAGGTTCCTGATCTTCCCAACTCCCGATCTGAAGGCTCTGTCATTCTTCTTTTTCTTCCTCCTTCCAGAGCCTGAAGGACTCTCAAAGCTGGCACACCATCCTTGCCACAGGATGACAAAATAATTTGTTTTCTCTTCCTCCACTGAAATCTTGCCCTCTTATACTAGCAGTTTAGTCCTGTGATTCATGAACTCAATTTTCCTAGAAAACATTAGAATATGACTTCGTTTCTTTCATGAACCGCTTCAGACTCACTGATCCTCAGACATTGTCTAATCTAGTCATTTATTTTTTATCCTTCCCCATTGCCTTTCTATTCCTATTTTTAAGATAATTTTTGAGCTTCAAAATTCAGGATCCACTTTATTTCTGAAATGACGCATCATAAAATACACAGGAAATTCCAATGTTGAATCTCTTTCTCCTTGTTTCTGCATTTCATCAAAAGTCCTAGAAATTTCCTTATTTCTACAAATATTAACTGAAAATAATTAAAACTTCAAGCATTTCAAGAAACATATATGTCAAACAACACACAAACACCAATGTGAGATGCAAAAAACAGGTAGCATCATTATCTATAGAAATACCCTAGTATTCCAAAGCAACATGAGCAGTACCTACCATGCTGTGTGGTACCCACTCTCTGCTGTGTGTGCCCACATGCACAGTAGACACTCTCCCTGCCCCTGTCTACAGTGTGAGGAGCCCCATATTGGTGGTCCCTGTGGAGAAGTACCATTTCCAGGAATTCCTGTACATTGTTGCTTTGATTGTAACTTGAAATCATTAGAACTGTGTTTGCAATAACAATTTACACTAATGAAATGAGTACTCAGAATAATCTTAGTAGAAGCCAGAAGGGCCAGGGGCATTTGGTGAGGACTGACATTGGGGAAGAAAGAGAGAAATGGGAGTTTCAAAAACAGTATATGCATTGAGAGGAGGAAAGTTGCAAGATAAGTAAATATATATACTTTAGTATATTTTAAAGTAATGTGAGGCCCTTCACTTAACATATTGCAATTCATGTAATAATGAGATAAACCTTGCTTATATTGTGAAGTCTGACCACTTCACATGCTCGGTTAAAGAAACATCACAAAACAGGGAAAAAATGTTTTTGTCAAATAATGTATCCCAGATTTGTTATCAAAAAATGAGGTCACTATTAGTATATGTGTATATCCACTGGGGAAGCAGTCATTTTTGGCAATATGAGGGTAAAGTTGTACTTAAGGGTTTCCTAATTAAACTATTACTGGAGATTCTACAAATGTAGAATTTTTCTTTTTTTTTTTCCTTTTCTTAAAAAACAGGTATCCTCCAATGTGATCCAGGAACAATAAGAGAAGAAATTCAGATATTTAGACTCTTTTGCCATGAGTGCCAAAGGGTCTTCCATGATCGCTTGATTAATAATGAAGATAAGCACTATTTCCATGTTATTCTGACAGAAATGGCCAGTAAATATGAATCTTTACCTATTCTTTTTTTTATTTGAGTAGAAAAGCAATTTGGTTTCTACAAAGAACAATTAACACAAAAAGAATTTTCATAATTTATGAGTAAAAGTTATTTTCTTTGATGGTTCAAATATATATTAAAATATATGAAATATGCAATATTATAAAATAATTTTATTAAAATTCAGGAAGGGTCAGTCGGGCATGGTGGCTCATGCCTGTAATCCCAGTACTTTCGGTGGCTGGGTACTTGGATCCCTTGGGCTCAGGAGTTCGAGACCAGCCTGGGCAACAAGGCAAGACCCCATCTCTACTAAAAATACCAAAATAAATAAGTAAATTCAGGAAGTGTTTGTATTTTAATTTATTATAAAGTTTTAAGTAGAGGAGAGAAAGTAGGAGAAAGAGCATTTTGTCTGATAAGAAGCCAGGATAGGCCAGGCGCAGTGGTCATGCCTGTAATCCCAGCACTTTGGGAGGCCAAGGCAAGCGGATCACAAAGTCAGGAGTTCAAGACCAGTCTGGCCAATGTAGTGAAACCCTGTCTCTACTAAAAATCCAAAAAAATAGCTGGGTGTGGTGGTGTGCACCTATAATCTCAGCTACTCAGGAGGCTGAGGCAAGAGAATCATGTGAACCCAGGAGGCGGAGGTTGCGGTGAGCCGAGATCGCATCATTGCACTCCAGCCCAGGTGACAGTGCAAGACTCCGTCTCAAAAAAAAAAAAAAGCCAGGATAATTTTAAAGTACTTCTTATTTCTTAAATAAGTATCCAATATTCATTATTTAACAAATGTTTTAAATTCTTTGTTAAGTATTCTTAATCTTAAACTTGGGAGATTATCAGCTAAACTAAAGCGGCATGGAGTTAACACAGTATTCTCTCAGTTTTTATGTATATTAATTAAGTCTTCTAAGTAAAATGCAGCTATTATTCTATATGTTTTATCACTAAAATATTCCATTCAAGATTATCATTATATTTAAAACTTGGTTTTGTTCTTTAAATAGACAAACATTTTGGAATTGCAATTGACCTGGAATATTTTTTGAATAAGCCCATCATATTTGGAGATTTCATTAAGGCAAGTATGTTAGATTGACTTGACCTCATTTGAAAATTGTAAAGCATTTATTATTTTCCAATTCAAATGAATATTCTATAAAAACTTTACATGTGTGAGGAGTTAAGATCTAGGCCAGATGTCAGCAAACTATGGCCCATGAGCCACATCTGCCTGCTGCCTATTTTTGTAAGCAAAATTCTATGGAACATAGCCACAGCCATTTATGTATATGATTTTTATATGGTTGCTTTTGCTCTACAACAGCAGAGTGCAGTAGTAGTGATAAAGACCATATGACCTGCAAAGCCTAAAATATTTACTATCAGACCCTTTACAGAAAAAGTTTGCTGACTCCTGATCTAATTACATTCATTTTGGTAACGGTTTGAATCAGAGAGGTATCAGGTATTCAGTTTGGAAGGAAGCGGAGAGGTCTAGTCTTTTAACTCAGGACTTCCCCTTTATTGTACTCTACATAGTGAAGCTACTTGGTTAAGAGAATTGTTCTCTTCATTTCAGAGTAACTCTAATTAGTAGCAAATTTTTTTATATATTTAACTTCCTTTTATTCCCTTATGAGTTCCTCAAGCCTGTCTCTGCAATACTCTCTGTCTAATTTTTACCCTCTGGACCTAATTTTACCCTCTGGTAAATTTTACCCTCTTGACCTGCCTGGAATAAATCTTCTATCTCACTGCCCTGCCTACATTGGCAGATAGCCATGTTGTTTTACTAAGGTGCCTCTTGTTCGAGTAAAACATTCCCAGTGTCTCCAAGAGGGCAGAGACCATGTCTGTTTTTTGTTCATCTTAAGTTCCCAGGTTCCTGCACAGAGGTACGTAGCAGGCTCTCAATCAATGCTGGTTCAACACATGAAGGAACTCGTCTTTATATTATATGTAGACAATACCTCACCACTCTGGTAACTCCACTCTAGATAAGTATTACCACCCGACAAATAAAAAAGATAAACTACGTATTTTTGTAAAGTATATATTTATATTTATTATTAAAAGTATGGTCCAAAGTTTGTTTTCAAAGATTATTTTCCTGTGTGTTTCTAGTTGATTGTATTATCACATGAGGGAATACACACAGAAAAAAAACAGCTAGACTCTTCTTGCATTGCCTCTGTGTGTTTTAGTAAAACATTCCAGGAGAAAGTGCCCCTGGGGCCGTTGCTACATACAATAGAGAAGGGATATCATCAATAGATTAAAACAAGGACTCGACTCCCTACACTTCACACCTGAATTTCATTCTCAACAATTTAGGTAACCCTAAATGACTGCTATTTAAAAACTACAAATAGTTCTGGCATGATTTTTTATAATAATAGCAGTCTGCCATGCATAGTTTTTAACCAGTTAGCTTTTCCAATGTCAATAACCTAACAGCAAAAAAATGAAACCAGGTCGGGCGCAGTGTCTCACACCTGTAATCCCAGCACTTTAGGAGGCAGAAGCGGGCAGATTATTTGAGGTCAGGAGCTCGAGATCAGCCTGGCCAACATAGTGAAACCCCGTCTGTACTAAAAATACAAAAATAAGCTGGGCGTGGTGGTGGGCGCCTGTAATCCCAGCTACTCAGGAGGCTGAGGCAGGAAAATCACTTGAACCAAGGAGGCGAAGGTTGTGGTGAGCTGAGATCGCACCACTGCACCCCACCCAGCCTGGGCAACAGAGAGAGACTCCATCTCAAAAAAAAAAAAAAAAAGTGAAATCAGAATATAGCATTGTGAGAAAAATCAAAACCCTATTTCTGAGCTCCTATGTAAATTTTATTGCAAAGACCTTCAAAATTCCAGTGTAGCTCTTGAAGAAGTTAAATGAAATGGATTTTCCAGGTTATGTGTCTATCAGAATTGATCCAACTTGGTTCTTCTCCCATAAATTATAGTTTGGAGCAGATAAAGCTGATCGGATTTATGATGACATGCCTGATATAGAGAAAACTGCAAATGTTCTACAGGACTATCTTGATGATTATAATCTCACAAATCCCAAAGAAGTAAAGTTGGTGTTCTTCCAGGATGCTATAGAACATGTTTCAAGGTATAGTGCTATAAGGCGCCCAATAATGCATTGATTTAATATTTTTTGTATTAAAGGGTAAAAAAATAAGTTGTATAAACTCTTCAAACAGATTGCTAGATGGTCAGAGGTCTTTTATTAACTCTCACCATAACTTAAGAGTTATTGTTTAACATATTTTAAATATTTGTGGAATGAGCTTTCTATGGAATCCCCAGAGTCATTTTTTTGCTAAATATTAGTAGATGGTTTCTGTTTGTTTTTATCTGTTCTGTCTTGTTACAAAAAGGATATGAGGTTGTTTACAGAGATACATGTACGGTATAACAATGCTAGTTCCATGCATGCCTAAAGAAAGAGGAGCTTCAAAATTATAGCAAAACAAGTTCAATCCAGGATCAAAGGTTTCACCTGCTTGCATGTCTGACTCTTACCCACTACAAGTGTCCTATGAGGGACAACCTTGACACATTCATGAGCATCCAGCCTAAATATCTGCAGTCCTTGGGGCACACTTCCTGAAGTGGCTCCTGTCCTGTTTGACAGTTCTAATGCTAAAATGATCCTTCCAGGATAAGCCAACATCTGCCTCCTGTGCTTCTGGTATCCATCCCATCCTGTGAAGCAGTCATGATTAAGGTACTCAGTGTGGGTATGAAACCATGATATGGAGCATCTCATTTACCTGGTACAACAATCTCTCTATAGCTCAGGATCATAATCTCTTTACAAGTAAGGCTCAGAGAATGTCCCAGTGGTCTATTGCTATGTAATAAGCCACTCCTACCCTTAGCAGATTCATTTTATCATCTCTCAATTTTTGCGACTGTTCTCTGAGCATCTCTCTTACAGTTGTAATCAGACCGCCGCTGGAGTGCCTGGAGCATCTCCGCCTCCATATAGTCTCTCCACTTGTCTCTCGGCATGGCAGCATCAGGGTATCTGGGTTTCTCAACATGGTGGCTCAGGGCTCCAAAAGCAAGTGCTGCAAGACAGAGCCAGGCAGAAGCCAAATGGCTTTTTTGACATAGTCTTGGAAGTCACATAGCATCATTTCTACTGTGCTCTTCTAGTCAGTGCAGTCATACAGGCCCACTCAAGGTCAAAAGAAGAGGACGGAGACCCTATCTCTTGATGGAATCAAAGAGCAAGTAGGACCAGAGGCATTATTGCAGCCACTTTTTGGACAACGCTGTGTGCCACAGAGAGATTAGGTAAATGGTCCAAAGTCTTCTAGTCAGTGAGTGGCAGGTGGGGATCACAGCCAGTGCTTCAGCTCTAACTCCACTGTGGGTGCCCCTACCCAAAATGGGCTCACTTTTTTCATAACAGCTCTCCAGATATTTGAAGATCATTCCCATATTCTTCTTAGCTTTATCTTCTCCAGGCAAAATTATCCCACATCTTTCTTATTGCGTGTTGGAGATTATTTCCAGTCTTCACATACTGAGCACTTTATAATTTTTCAATGTTCTACTTAAAATGCAGCATCCAGATTTGATATCATATTCTGTGGAATAAATACAGTAAAATACAGTGAGAGTAGGATTTCCCATGGTCTACTGCTGCAGCAAGATTTTCATGGCTTTGGTTTTTTTCCTGTGTCAACTACATTTTAGCGTTGGTCCTTGTTAATACTGACAGTTAAATCCCTAGAATTTTTTTTCACATAAACCATAAGCAAATAAAGTCTTCACCTGTTCCATATTTCAGCTCTTTAATTAGCCCTAATTCAAGATTTATGTTTGTCACAGCTTAAGTGTTATAACATAGGTTGTTTGTCATTGGCTTGTCCAGATGCCACTTGCTTCCCCTCTGTCCCCCTGGCAGCATACCCACATGCTATCCCCTAACAACTTTTATTCCCATCGCTCAGGCAGGCCCTAAGCCTACAAGGAAAAAAATAATGGCAGCATTTTGGTCTGAGAAACTTCCTGGAGAATAGACCAGACCGTAAGCAAAGTTGGCTTAATTCTATTTATAATCTTTCTTACTTTTGTGAAAGAGAATTACCAGGCCCCTCAAGGTTTGCTTAAAATATTATGGACGGAAATTAAAAACCATTTGTAGCATGGTGAAGATTTGGTTTTCAGATGCACAAAGGACTGCCATGTAAATAATGATGTAGACTGTTCTCTTTTATTCAAGAGAGGATCAGTAGTTAGGAATCAGAGAAAACATATTTCTGCTTTTAAGAGCGTTCAAACACCTAATGCTGATTAGCAATGGAAAGGTCTTTGTTATGAAAGTGAGTTATGGATTAATTACTAAATACTCAGTAATTTAGCACACACTACATTTCCATTTGCTGGTGACATTTTAGTTTTTGGCTTTTTAATGTAGGGTAAGTAAAAGTCTTTTAACTCGGGGGGAAAAATTTGCTTCAGAGCCTGTGCTTTCAAAGAGCAAATGCACCAGGCAGTTTCTGCCCATTGTATGCCCCTAACGTTGTCACCACACTCCAAAGATAGTAGAACAAATCTATTAGTCTTTAAGCCACTAATTAGGAGAACTATCTCTTGCCTACCACGTGAGAGAAAATATAACTTAGCTACTACATTAGAGGATTCTTACTAGGGGAAGTTTTCAATCCATTTATAAGTAAATTGCCAGAAAAAAATAATACTACAAAGCAGAATGGACAAGTAATTTGTTTCCAGTAGTTTCAGATAGAAATAATCAAACTGCTATAAATAATAATGTACATGAAATAAGGAAAGAGTGACATATAAAGTGCAAGATTTTTATCATATTCAATATTTCATCAACTGTAGGACACTTGTACATTATGGGAAAAATAAGAAAGCATTATTATCTATTCACTCTGCCCTCAATTTTATGCTCGCCTGGGCAGCTGAAGAGAAAAAAGCAAATAGACATCTGATGTGTCTTTGAGTAGATGTGTACTGTGGCAGACACATAGCAATGACAATGGTGCCTATGGGTCTTCGTTGTTCTAGTAGAGGAGTTGGCCAAAAGTTCTGGGGAAGAGGTTGACAAACTACTTTGGTAAAGAGCCAGATAGAAAAACTATTTCAGTATCTGCAGATCATACTGTAACTACCCAACCCTGCTGTCATAATGCATAAGCAGCCACAGACAGTAAGTGAATGAATGAGCTTGGGTATGTTTCAACAAACTTTATTTATAGACATTAATATTTGAATTTCAAAGGATTTTCACATATCATGAAATATTACTCTTTAAAAATTTTTTTCAACCATTAAAAAAAATCTAAAAACCGTTCTTATCTCATGGGTCATTAAAAAACCACATTGTTAAGGGGCAGGATTTGGCCCACAGGCCATAGTTTGCTGACCCCGGTTTTAGACAAAGCCATCTTACCAAGGCACTCAAGATGTGGAAAAAGTGGACCTGTCTGAGGAGCAGGAGAGGGTGTAAAGGTGGAGGAAACAAATTTCAAAGTTTGATTCTTATTTCAGAAGATCCTAAATAATGACTGGGAGTCTGTGCCTTGTCCTGGAGGAAGACTTTTTAAATAAGTCCTCGTAGACTCCCTGTTGTATTCTTACACTACATAGCTCCTATCTCCTGCCACCAAAGATGATGTATATAGTAACTAACTGTTACAGTCTCTAGAAGTTGGTTACTTGAATGTGGAATTGATGGAGCACCCGCCAAATGCTATGCACTGTTCTCATAGAGAAATGGACAGCATCCAGGCCCCCATGATGAAGCTTACATGTGGGAAATAGTTAGCAATGGTTTTCTCTCATGAGTTACAGTGACCATGTGATGTTTTCATAATCAAAAAATAATAAAGCCACTATAATTTTAAAATATTTGAACATTGTTTTCTTCAATTATCAACAATATAAATAAGGTAGATAGATAGATAGATAGATAGATAGATAGATAGATAGATAGATAGATAGATAGATAGATAGATAAATTTCCCAGAGAAGGAAGGGGAGGAAGAGGAAAAATAATTAAACCTGCTTTTATATTTATCCCATGATTTCTAGATTTTAGACAATGGTAATGATAAGTTTTAAATTATGTTTATATTTTATGTCTTCTTAAGAAGAATTTATTGATGTTATCACCCCCTTTTCTATCATCTTAACAACAATGTATAGAGTTGATTCTCATACATACTGGTCACCTTTATACTAATATCCCTTCCCCCTTCCCAGGTTTTTAAATTTCATTCATACTTGTGTATATCTTCAAGGAATCTTTTAGGGAGGCTTTGCAGATTATTTACTCTCTGAGCCATAACATGGTATTTTTCTCCAACCATTGTCTTGTAAAATGTCATCTTGTCGAGTAGATGCCTGAAGCCAGCCTAAAATTATTTTTTCCTTTGGGGATAATCTATTACTTCTGCATTAGATAATCATAAACTTTTCAATTGTGTTTAAAACATAGATTTCTACTATAAAACTTCTGCATGTAAATTACTTATAGATCTCCTAGGAAACATTTAGTGTTTTGTCTCTCCTCTAGTTTTCTTTCTTGATCTTTGGGTCCGTGGGTTCAGTCCCAGTGGTTTCTTCTATTATGTCAGTCACCATTGCCTCAGTTCTATTCCTTCTTCTCATTCCTGTAATTTCTATGATGTGGCCTCTGGGATGCCATTTGTTTCTCCGAGATTTGCCCTCCTTATCTTCCATTTTCTCTCCCATTATTTTAAGATTGCTATCTTTTTTCTGAGTTCTGGGTATATTCCTGGAGTTTGGCCTCTACTTTTCCTGTTCAACTCTCCACGGTACTCTATTTGTGAGACTTATCACCTTCCACTCAGGTTTTCAGTTTAGTGGATTTTCCATCTCTACCCAACTTTTCCTAAATTTGGGGGGGTTTCCCTCCTTTTTGAGTGCTCTCTCTCTAGTATCATCATTGTAGGGCTTTTCAAAATTCCTGTTGGCCGGGCGTGGTGGCTCATGCCTGTAATCCCAGTACTTTGGGAGGCCAAGGCAGGCGAATCATGAGATCAGGAGATCGAGACCATCCTGGCTAAGACGGTGAAACCCCGTCTCTACTAAAAATACAAAAAATTAGCCGGGCATGGTGGCAGCCACCTGTAGTCCCAGCTACTCTGGAGGCTGAGGCAGGCGTGAACCCAGGAGGCGGAGGTTGCAGCGAGCCGAGATCACACCACTGCATTCCAGCCTGGGCAACAGAGCAAGACTCTATCTCAAAAAAAAAAAAAAAATTCCTGTTAACATGAATCAGAAACTTTCTAAAATTTTGTTGGTATCCTGCAGTAAATCCATTTCAAAGTGTTCTGTTGGTCTCTCCTTCTGCACTGTGGTGTCTTTTTCTAGGTTCAGTGATTTTTCTGCTTGCTCATTCTTATAAATGGAAACCTGGGCTTAGCAATTGACAATATAAGTTGTGGCCTAGATCGGCTAGGGTCTCCAACAAAGTCCTTCAGACTTCAGGAAAAAGAGATTTTACTTTATTCTAAATTTGTACGACTAGGGCCGAGACCCAACAGCCTGTTAGGAATGGGGGAAAGAATGAAAAAGAGAAAAGCCCAGCAGTGCTGTTCACCAAACCCTGGCCTCAGATGCAGCCTGCTCTTCCCTTGCAGCATCCTGCCCAGGGAGGAGGCTCCACTGGCCACCAGCCTTTGGCTCTGGGGCAGGCTCTCTGAGCAGGAGCCATGTCTGTGAACTTGAAATAAACCCTCTGCTCTGATGTTTGCAGGATTGCTCGGATGATACGTCAAGAAAGAGGCAATGCCCTGCTTGTTGGAGTAGGAGGCACAGGAAAGCAGTCACTCACGAGACTTGCAGCTCATATATGCGGTTACAAATGTTTGCAGATTGAACTCAGCCGGGGATATAATTATGATAGTTTTCATGAAGACCTGAGGAAGTTGTACAAAATGGCTGGTGTAGAAGACAAGAATATGGTTTTCCTTTTCACTGACACCCAGGTGTGTGTTTAAATAGCCCATGGGTGAGAACAGGAAATGTATGGGTGTTACAATCGGGTGTGTGCTTTGAACAGTTTGTAGGATGAAGTTCAAGGGGATTGTTCCCTTTGATAACAGATTTCCTGCAGCTTGTAAAAGACTTTTATAATACATTTTTATTTATTTTACCAAGTATTGTTTCCCTCTTTAAATTCTTAGTAATTAAATTTGATCAAAGGTCGAGGAGGTAAGTTTTTAACTTTTCTTTGAGGGAAAAGGCAAAGATAACAGAAGGTAATAAACTATAAAAGTGCATATAAGAAAATAATTTACCAAAAATTCAATTAGGGAAACATGACTTTACCTACAGAAAGGAAAAAGTAAGGGCTATCTTTTGGGTTAAATTACCTTTAAAATTGAAGTAGGATTACATCTATATCTACAACAGCTAAATTAACTGATCTTGAATTAATTCTATAGCAGAGGACTTTCTACATTGATTATTCTTGGGTATTTTTTCTTTAGAGAAAATAAACCCATCTAGAAATTAGCCAACGAATAAAAAAGTGATAGATTTGATGCATAAATGTTTTAAATATTGTAAGCAGAATTAAATACAAAGAAAAAATTGGAAAAATATTTTTAGTATCTATGACATGCAATGAGTTTATATCTTATTATAAAAATACTTATCACAAATGAAAAAGGAAAAGTCAAGCACATCTATAGAAGAAATAGAAAAAATGTGATAGAATGTGAATACACAGTTCCAGAAAACAAAGGGCTTTAAACACCTGAAGAAATTTTCAACCTCACCATTAATGAAGGAAATTGTAATAAATAAAAATGCGAGTGACTTGGCCTTGCAAGTTGATAATGGTAAAAAATCATAATATACAGAGTTGGCAGAGGTGTGGGAATAATAGGCCTGTTTATTCTTCACTGGGAGATTATAAATTAGCAAAATCTTTCTGGAAGGTAGTTGGCAATATGTAGGTAAAGCCTTTACATTTCTTTTACGTTATACTCAAAGCTATGTACAAAGTTGCATGTATAAGAATATCTATTGTAATGTTTTTAAATAATAATCTGAGAGAGTATTAATGTCCAGTGAGAGAAAGTCATATACATAATATCTGATATAACCATATACTAGAGCACTGTGTAAAAACTGTAAAATTATATTTTAGAAGCATCCACATTTTAATGTATATCTAGACATGTATGCCCTGTGTACAAAGAGAAAACATTTGAATCTTGGGATTGTGAGTGATTTTTATTGTCTAGTTGCTTATCTGTAGTTTCTGATTATCCTAAAATTAAGATATTTCTGATAGTGCTTTTAACATTGCTTTTAAAAATCAAACAAGTTATGTAAAAAGTCTCCAAGTATTAAAGCTCCAAAGATCAAGTCATATTGTGTTGCTTCTCTTTAGACAAAAAGTTACTACATTCTGTTGGAAGCCCCAATCAATCTCAAATGTTCTACAATAATGAAGAGTAAACGTAACCATAAAAATAAAAATGCATGTGTCTATACATGAACTTATATATACACAAAACATTATAAATGTGAGAAGAAATTGAGAGAAACAAGATGTTAAAAATAGAGTTTAATTGGCTGTAACTTAACAAATACAAAGTAGAAATAACTATGATTAGATATTTTACATAATATAATTTCTAAGCTACAATTAATAGCTATATACTATATTTCATATTTTACAGAGAAAGCAAATATTTTCTAATACTACTGAATGTTTACAAAAATTAATCATATACTAGATTTAAAGAAATTTTTATTAAATTGTTAAAAGCATAAGCTGTACTCGTAACATTCTTTGCCCATGCTTTAATTAAGGGAGAAATTAATGATGTGTCTTAGGACTTTAAAACATTCATATAAAGATCAAGAAAGTCAAAATCTCTTAGAGACTAAGAAAAATGAACTTAATATAAATAAAAATCTATGGAATGCAACCCAGCAGTTCTCAAATTTACATTTGTAGATTTGAATCAAAAATTAGAAACTACACAAATTAGTTTACTTAAAACTTTAGGAGGGAACAAATGTCACAAGACACATAAGAAAATGGAACAAGATAAAGCAAAAATAAATTAGAACACAGAAAACTAGTGTTTGCTCTTGGGGAAAATTGACAGACACAATTATACCAAGTTCATTAAGAAAAACAAAAAGTTTCAAATGAAGAAAACAAAATAACAGATATCTTGTCATAGTTAAATATATAGTACTCAAACTTTTATATAACTAAAAAGTTAACTGAAATAAAGGGTAAACGAGAGATTGCTTTTAAATATTTGCATCAATGTTGAAAGACAAAAAGTCTATTTCAAAATATGTAAATTACTCATGCAAATTTGAAAGAAAACTCCAAGATGCAGGTGGTTGCAAAGTTTAGACTGACTTTTTAATGGACAATAATAAATGTGGGATAATATTTTCCCTTGCTAATAATCAAAAACATCCAAAATAAATTCTCCAAAAGAAAGCATTTATTATATCTCCCAAATTAACAAAAATAAATGTTAAAAATTGATGAAGTCACACTTGAATTGAATGAGAAATAGTAAAATCTTCAAAATCCAGAAAATATTTGTGCATTTAATTGGTAATCTCACTCCTGGGAATTTGTTTCAAGAAAATAATCCAACTAAGGGGAAAAGATATATGCCTAAAATTGTTCTTATAATGTAAACAAGACTGTAAACTATCTCTGTCCGTGCAAATGTATGGTGCATCAGCTCAATGGTGCATTCTGCTTCTATATTTTTGATAAATATGATGAGTACATTACAGAACTATGGGTTAGTATTAATGATAAAATGGTAACTGAAAGGGGCAGAATATAAAATACTTGCACATATGACTTGACCAAGGTAAAATGGGAATGCCTGCTAAGAAACAAAACACAAAGGAAAAATGAAAAATCAGTGTACTTGCTATGTTAGAACTTCAGGGTTCCATGAAATTTTTAAGATTATCTTCTCTTAAAGATGAAATTGATTCATGTGAATTTTAGAATAAATATTTGCTTTATAATAAATGGAAAATGATTGAGCAAGTTGTAATGATCACTGCTTTCTTCTACAGATTGTAGTGGAGGAGTTCCTAGAAGATATAAATAACATCCTGAACTCAGGTGAAGTGCCTAATTTATTTGAAAAGGATGAACTGGAGCAGGTTTTAGCGGCCACCAGACCAAGAGCAAAAGAAGTAGGAATTTCTGAGGGGAACAGAGACGAGGTAGGATGTGCCAGAGTAGTTATGTGGCTTTATCACAAAAACGTTTCTTCACCTTTTATTTAACCATTCATTGATTGCCTGAAGGGGTCCATGAATAAAATTTTTTTCAATATAATTGGTTTCCTTTGTATTCGATGTATTTTATTTTCGGTGTTTAAAGCATTGGGTCACCAGACTTCCAGAAAGTTCTGTGGGAAGCAGAAAACAGAAATCCCATTGCCCCACAGAGGTCATAGTCTTGTCCAAACTGGCCAGCCTCTCTTATTCCTCTTTAAGCACCAGTTTATTTCACACACTGCAGCACCCTACCTGTGGCGGGCTGAAGGCATAGGTCCAGCATTGTTGATGCCCTTGCCTAGCAGCAATGTTATGACACAACAAAGCAGGAATGTGTTTTCTCTCACTCTCTCGGGAACAGTGTGGCTGCTGTACACTTCCATTCTCCAGCACCATGCTAGATCCCATACACCACTACTTGTTCACCCCAGCTTTTTTCCTTGTTTTTGCACCTTCTTTAAGTTTCTGGCTGTTCTTTCTTATATCTTTACTGTTTCCCTTTGTGAGAATTGTCTCTCCTGCTAGGTCGGAGATTATAGGTACAGATGCAAGTCTACTTCTGCTAATGTAAGCAGGAAGGGATTTATTAAAGGGACACAGAATCATTGGAAGGGCCAAAGAAAGAAATTCCAGACTGAACTGATTGGAATGAATATAAAATGTACACTGTAGAAGTCAATGGTCAAGGAGGTAGCTGCCTCTGCCACAACCATTCCTGCTGAAGCAGGGAGCCACTAAACCAGTCAGTGTGCCTCTGCATCAGCCGCCAGCTCCAGAGCCATGTGTCCTCCATCACATCAGGAAGCAGCTGAAATCAGGAGCCACTTCCAGAAATAATAGCTCCAGGATAGTTTATCAAAGAACTTTGAACTACCATTTGATCCAGCAATCCCATTACTGGTATATACCCAAAGGAAAATAAATCATTCTACCAAAAAGAGATATGCACCTGTATGTTTCATTGCAGCACTATTCACAATAGCAAAGACACGGAACCAACTCAGGTGCCCATCAGTGGTGGATTAGATATAGAAAAAGTGGTATGTGCACACCATGGAATACTACACAGCCATTAAAAATAATGAAATTGTGTCCTTTACAGAAACATGGATGCAGCTGGAGGTCATTATCATAAGCAAATAATGCAGAAACAGAAAACCAAATACCACCTGTTCTCACTTATAGCTAAACATTGGGTAACATGGACATAAAGTTGGGAACAATAGACAACGCAGAATAAAAGAGCACAGAGGGAAGGAGGGATGAAAGGGTTGAAAAACTACCTATTGGATACTGTGCTTACTTCCTGGGTGACAAGATCAGTCATACTCCAAACCCCAGCATCACGCAATATATCTTTGTAACAAACCTACACATGTACCCCCAGAATCTAAAATAAAAGTTGAAAAAGAAAAAAAAAAACTCCCATACCATGCAACTTCTGCCAGGCTCTGCACCTGTACAACTGTGCAGCACCCTGCCCCTCTCTCCCAGATGTCTTCTGCCCCACAGCAAAACCTTGTATGAATGGCCCTTTATTCAAAGGATCTCCTCAAGTACACGGGTGAAAGGGACCTAAATCACATCCAGAACCCTAGCCACGATGGAGTTTGCAAAATGTCATTTTTAATCTTTCCAGACTGTGTGAGAGAAAGAGGTTGGAGTGAATGTTGAACAAGAAAATTTACATATCTACTATGCTGACATTTTATATTTGATATTGGGAGCCTCAGATGCATTAGCCAACACTTATTTTCATTGTTGCTTAATCATTATTTTAAACTGAAAAAATAACTTTCTTTTTGTCAGGTGTTTCAATACTTTATCAGCAAAGTGCGTCAGAAGCTGCACATTGTTCTCTGCATGAGCCCAGTTGGGGAGGCCTTTCGGTCCCGATGCAGGATGTTTCCATCCCTTGTGAATTGCTGCACCATTGACTGGTTTGTGCAGGTTGGTGACATCCCAGGATATCTCTTTGAGAAGTTGGACTTGCTTGACTTTAAAGGGGTAACACATTGTCCAAGAGTAACTCATGGGTACTTGTATTAGCTTTAAAGCCTACTAGGAATTTATTCATATAGAGAATGACCGTGACAATCATAGAACAAAGACAAAACAGAATTTGTAAAGTAAGAGACCATTGAATTTAGCAATGTGGAAGTTATCAGCTATCTTGACAAAATCTGTTTCAATGGATGGTGGGAGAAAGGGTTCAAGAGAGAAGAGGGGAGAGAAATCTGAGTCAGTGGTTATAGGCAACACTTTTGAGTTTTGCCCCAAAGGAAAGCAGAGAGATGGGGCAAGAGCTAGGGGACATGTGAGGTCAAGAGAGAAGTATTTTTAAATGTGAAACACAAGCGGCATGCATGTGTGCTGATGTAAATGATCCAGAAAAGATAAATATATGGATGATGCAGCATACCGAGTTAAGCGCTGTGGGACCAGTGTCCTTGAATAAGCAAGAAGGGATAAGAATGAGTCATCAAAGAAGGGGCTGACCTGGTCAGGGTGCATCCACAGCCTACCCCTGAGTAACAGGTAGGGAGGCAGAATATATGAGCACAGATGCAGGTAGGTAGGAAGATGTGGGGGTAAGAGGTCATTGAAGTTCTGTTTTCATTGCTATTGTTTTTTAGTGATATGGGCAGTAGGATCATCAGCTGAGAGTGAAAAAGAAAGACTAAGTGTCAGCAGTTTAAGGAA
Organism: Homo sapiens; assembly: GCF_000001405.40. Classification (NCBI taxonomy): domain Eukaryota; kingdom Metazoa; phylum Chordata; class Mammalia; order Primates; family Hominidae; genus Homo; species Homo sapiens. The sequence goes on from NC_000002.12 coordinate 84,700,488, forward strand.
GTAGAATCCGGTGTGAAATACTCAGGAGAGCATAAAACTGATATATTAGAAAATGTAGAAGCATTTCTGGGCTGCACTAAGCTAATTATCAAAAATTTAAAGTGATACTAATTGGCAGCCATGCTCAGCTGCACAGTTGCAGGCATGAAGTAAGAGAGTTGCATTTGACCAATGTTCAAGTGAGTTCAAAGAAGCAAGAGAGGAGCAAAGGAGTTGAGGTGTGCAGGGCAGTGATTATAATGATGGACGTGAGGTCCCAACTATGTAACAAACAGAGTGAGGACGTAAGGTCCCTGTAACATATATGATTTATTTATGGAATTCTAGAAGCACCCAATCATTAATTCATTCAGTCAACAAATATGTATTGAGCAACTTCCGTGTGCATGATACTGTGGAGACATACTGGTCACTAAATGCAGACCCAGGCACCCCTCAAATGGACAGAGCCCTTCAGTTCATTAAGCACCATAGACATGAGTAGGAGTTAACTAGGTGAAGAGGGGACTGGGCAGGGAGGAGTTCCCGAGAAATATGTTTTTCTTGGTATTAAACTGTATGTTATTGAAATGACACAACAGATTTTCTAGATTTTTCCTTGATTCACAGTGGCCCAGAGAAGCACTTCTTTCTGTGTCAAAGACATTTTTCTCACAAGTCGATGCTGGAAATGAAGAACTGAAAGAAAAGCTTCCCTTGATGTGCGTGAACGTTCACTTGAGTGTCTCCAGCATGGCAGAGCGCTATTACAATGAGCTGCGCAGGCGGTACTACACGACACCCACCTCCTACCTGGAGCTTATCAATCTTTACCTGTCTATGCTGTCTGAAAAAAGGAAGCAGATTATTTCAGTAGGTTCAATATTATCCATGAAAATATTGTTTTGCTTGAACTCAGAACTTTTGAGAATGCATGGAAACTCTATGCACTGTCTTACCTGTCAGGGCCCTGTATTAGTCCATTCTCGCACTGCTATAAAGAAATACCTGAGACTGGGTAATTTATAAGAAAAGAGATGTAATTGGCTCACAGTTCTGCAGGTTGTACAGGAAGCATAGTGCTGGCATCTGCTCAGCTTTTGGGGAGGCCTCGGGAAACTTTCAATCATGGCAGAAGGTGAAGAGGAAACAGGCACATTTTATGTGGCAAGAGCAGGAGCAAGAGAGAGAGGGGGGTGGTGCCACACACTTTTAAACACCAGATCTCACAAGAACTCACTATCATGATGACAGCACCAAAGGGAGGATGGTGGTAAGCCATGAGAAACTGTCCCCATGATCCAATTACCTCCCACCAGGCCCCACCTCCAGCATTGAAGATTACATTTCAACATGAGATTTGGGTGGGGACACAGATCCAAACCATATCAGGCCCTCTCCATCATGACATGTGCCCCTGACAACCTAAAATATGACCAAAAAGTGTTTCCTGCTGTTGGTCTGAGGGCCTTCTCCTTTTCAATAATTATATATATTTTCCTTCTGCCATTTATGCAAGTATCCTTGACTCAGTAGAATGATATGGGCATCACAAGACCATCAAAGTTATGCAGTGAACTGGTCATCTCTATGGTATTTAATACAGAGGAAAACATTTTGTTAAGCAATACAGATGGTGTTTTAAAGAACATGTGCCAGTGGTTCCGACTAAGAGCAAGGACTGGGGTATCAGCCAAACTGTGTACAGCCTATGTTCTGCCTCTGGCTATGCAACTTTGAGCACATTAGTAACTTCTCTAAGCCTTAGTAGAAAATAAGGCTAAAAGAAAATCTGTATCTACCTCTTGGATTGTCGTGGAATTTAGGACACTTTGTTAGTGAATTCCTGAAACTATGATCTGACACATATAAAGTGCTCAGAAAATAGAAGCTGCTGTCATCATCATCATCAGGAAATTAACATGACCTACAATTTTCTACATTTTAAACACACTAAAAATGGAAGCACTTACAATATAGATATTTAAATTTTTTCAGAGGGTTCTTACCTGGTTAAATGCCTGCCTTGTGAAATAACTTGACTGATATTTTTGAAATCTGCCCATTTGAACCAGCTTTTTTTTTTTTTTTTTTGAGATGGAGTCTCGCTCTGTCACCCAGGCTGGAGTGCAGTGGCATAATCTCGGCTCACTGCAACCTCCGCCTCCCAGGTTCGTGCCATTCTCCTGCCTCAGCCTCCCAAGTAGCTGGGACTATAGTCAACCGCCACCACGCCCGACTAATTTTTTGTATTTTTAGTAGAGATGGGGTTTTGCTGTAGCCAGGATGGTCTCAATCTGACCTCGTGATCCGCCCACCTCAGCCTCCCAAAGTGCTGGCATTACAGATGTGAGCCCCTGCCCCAGCCATGAGCCAAGCTTTCTGACTCACCTTCGAAAAACAGTTCTTCCCAGGTGTCTCCTTTACCAGATACCAGCCCTTTGATCATGGTCAAGAGTTTTCTACCACAGGGAAGTAGGTTTCAAATCCAGCAGCTAGAGCTACACCCTCTGGACCTCATCTCCCTAGGGGTCCTCAGCCCTGCTGGCCAGAGCAAACAAGCTCCCAGAGCTGCAGCCTCCAGGGATTCACATCTGGACCTGTTCCTCACTCATTCAACATGCTACCACAGGGAATAAAAACAGTACCATGTGGTCCTTACTCTCAGTGAGCCACAGCCCAGTGACGTCCCACTGCTGTGGCCAGAGGGCATGGATCCAAACAACTGTGATGAATGTCATGGCCATTTCTAGAGTTCCATTATCTGAACATTTCCCAATTTGTAATATGTTCACAACCTGAATTATTACAAACTGATTTAACAATTCTGTAGACGTAAAAGTCTAATACATGAGTAATATGTGTTCGATACCAGTAAACTTAGAGTTTATAATGCTCATTATAATATAAATTTTCATTGTCACTTAGGCACGAGATCGGGTGAAGAATGGTCTCACCAAGCTACTAGAAACAAACATACTAGTAGATAAAATGAAACTAGATCTTTCAGCTTTAGAGCCTGTACTTTTAGCAAAATCAGAAGATGTTGAAGCCCTGATGGAAAAATTGGCAGTGGATCAAGAAAGTGCCGATCAGGTATGCTGCAGTTCCTGAGAATGTGGAAAAGGCTTCTGTCAGCAACTGATCACTTATATATAATGAGACACGATTGGATTTTTTTATTATATATGTTATTAAAATAATTAAGTGATAGATTTAGCAAAGTTTTTTTTTTTTTAGCAATTTAGCAATGCTTTTAAGTTGTAAACAATCTCCCTTTACTAAATCAGTTTGGCTCTGTCCCCAAGAATTGATGCAGCCCAATGAATAGGACAGAGAATTGTGAGAAAAGCACCACCTACAAATATAAAGCAACTATGTCTCTCCTAAGATGGAACTGTTTGTTATAATAAGTTTATATTCATTATGCTATTGGCATGGCATAGATGGACAAAGGAGAGCATAAAATGCAATCTAGCTAATTCCCTTTCATCATTATTCTAATCCAAAGGGCAAATATGACTCACTATTATTGGCTTTGTTTTGAATATTAAAATTCAAATAATGAGGCCACTTAAGCAGTCATGTTTCAATGGTTAGGTCCGTAACACTGTGCAGGAGGATGAAGCAACAGCAAAAGTCAAAGCTGAAGAAACCCAAGCAATAGCTGATGATGCTCAAAGAGATCTTGACGAGGCACTACCTGCACTAGATGCTGCCAATAAAGCACTGGATTCCTTAGATAAGGCAGATATATCTGAAATCAGAGTTTTTACAAAGCCCCCAGATTTGGTCATGACAGTAATGGAAGCAATCTCCATTCTTTTGAATGCCAAGTGAGTAATTCAGAGTCATGTATTGCCATGATACCTGGTAAGAGTTCTTTACTGTTTTCCTCCATGGTAATGTATATATTCATTCCCTTCTCCACCTTCTCATTGCTTCAGTTGGTCATTCAACAAATTGATTCAAGGAGCATTTTCTTCCCCAACATCTATTTTGTACTAGATGGTGGAAGATATGTTTTTCTCTGCAAGATATACACAGGCTAGTGGGAAGACAGACATGAAAACTAATAATTTCATTGCAATGTGAGAGTTGTGTAGTATTGGGAGTGCTGAGAAAACAGTGCCTAAGCCCAGCTGGGATGTGCAAGTAGGTTTTTTGGAAAACACTGCTCAGTTGGATAGTGGGACCATAGGCGAGCTCAGGAATGAGCTTTAATGTTCTTGGAGTGGGATGGGGCTGGGCAGGAGGCCAGTGATTGCATCACGAAAGGTCTTAAAAGCTGCACTAAACACTTCAGATTTCATCTTGGAGATATGTAGTTTTCAAACTTTCTTTAGTGATACAAACTTTTTTTCAATAAAATTATGTTGTAATGAACCTTTCTGTGTAAAACTAGGCAAAGGGCTCAGAGCACCACATCACCACCAGGCTTCCAGGAGACAGGGTGGAGAGGTTCCCACTGACCCTTAAACTGGTACCTCGGTAGGACCCAGAGAGCTCTGCAGAGCACAGATAGAGAGCTGTGGGCAGAAGGGACTGAGAATCGTTGAACATTTTTTATCTAATCAGATTTTCATGGTAGGAAGATCAATCTGGCAAAAGTTCAGAAGAACAAAGTTCAAAGAGACATAAAGCCCAGTTAGAAAGCAATTGTAGTGTCCTGGCAGGTGATTTTAAGGGTGGGAACTATGATAAAGGAGGTAAAATGTGAGTGCCTGCGGCGTTTTAAAAATAAAACTATTGTTTCTATAATGCCTTACATTTCTAAAACTGTGATTTTGTAATTCTTTCTCTACCAAAGCTGGGTCGCATGGAAACTTAGTCACCCATTTTCTTTTCGCCCCCTGAATTAATTGTGGTGCACCTAACTACCAATTACTAAAATTATAGTACCAAGATTAAAATTATCCACTTATTGGGATAATATCATAATGTTCTCAAAGAAATACATTCTTTTGTTCTTATATTACTTCATTTCAGTGCCATTAATATATCATGTCTGTCTTTCAGGCCTGATTGGCCATCAGCAAAGCAACTTCTTGGTGACTCTAACTTTCTAAAAAGGCTTTTAGAATATGATAAGGAGAACATAAAGCCTCAGATATTGGCAAAGCTTCAAAAGTATATTAATAATCCTGATTTTGTGCCTGAAAAAGTGGAGAAAGTGTCCAAAGCATGTAAATCTATGTGCATGTGGGTAAGAGCTATGGATTTGTACTCTCGAGTGGTCAAGGTCGTCGAACCAAAAAGACAAAAGCTCCGCGCCGCACAGGTACATTTTCTGTATTGTGATATTTTATAGAATTGAAGGCCATGATCGCCAGTCATTTCAAGTTCTCTGTATAATGTTACTGTGGTCCTACGCAATATAGACAGTGACAAAACTCTTGGAAATTAGCTTTTGTTTTAAACAAGAGCTGGCAATTTTTTTTCAGAAATTGCCTCTGAAATCAGCCTTCTTTCAGCATAAGAGGAACATGAGTTCCTCAGTATATTCATCTGAAAAAAAAGGAATTAATCTCTTTCTTTAAGGTACTTTTTAGCTCAACCATCTGATGGTCTGTATTTCCGTTTGCTAAATACTTCCGTGCTTGATGGTGTCATCTGAGGTTTTAGAACCAGCTTAACCCTGTCATTGGATGTGAGGCCCTTCATCTTCCCAAGAAGAAAAAAGAATGATCATTTAGTGGAGCAGGTTACTGAAAGAACTGTGGCTATAGAGCAGGGGTTGGCAAACTTTTTCCATGAAGACCCAGAGAATAAATATTTTATGCATTGCAGGCTATATGGTCTCTGCAGCGAGCACTCAGCTCTGCTGTTGCAGCACAGAAACAGTCATTGACAATACATAGATGAATAAGCATGACTATGTTCCAATATAACTTTATTTATTGACTCTGGAGTTCAAATTTCACACAGTTATCACATTTCATGAAATATTATTCTTTTAAAGATTTTTTTCTAATTATTTAAAAATGTAAAAACCATTCTTAGCTTGCATACTGTACAAAAACAGGCAGCAGGCTAGATTTGACCTGCAGGCCATAGTGTGCCGACCTCTGATGTGGAGAACTAGTTAGGAAATATTAGTTTCCACTATGGCATGAATATTTAATTTGTTGCATCATTTAAAATTAATAATCCATTATGATACCTAATTCATCCCAAATGCTCAGTACACCTGTTTCTCTATTATGATTTATTTTGTTGGGCTTTATTATTGATTTTGTTTTGTTTCATTTACTTCTGTTCTTGTATTTTACTCTAATTTATATTTGTTTTAACTTTATGTATCACATCAAAGTCTTTTTGGACATGAAAAGAGGAACATATATAAAATTTTTTTTAGATCTGTATTATTAATGGGCAAATTCAGCCTTTTTTTGGCCCTGTTCTTAAACAGTTGCTTGATTTTATTAGGCTGAACTTGACATTACCATGGCTACCCTGAGAGAAAAGCAAGCATTACTAAGACAAGTAGAAGATCAAATACAGGCCTTACAAGATGAATATGACAAAGGTGTAAATGAAAAAGAAAGCCTGGGTAAGTAACTCATAAAATTTACATTGGCCAGGAAATGCCTGATTTTCAGAAGTAGGAAGAAGTTTTTGGCAATCAGGTTTCAGCTTTTATCCAATGTGTAGAATGTATTTTCATTAGCCTCCTAGGATCAAATAAGAACTCATGTGTTTTATATATTCAACATCCTGTACCTGAACAAGCCTTACTGGAGCATGTTACGTTAAAACACAAAACAGTATGTGAATTTGATCCAGAAGCTAAATACTACAAGGATACAGAAAGCACTGTCTTCAACCAGAGTAATGGAGTATCAAAAAAGAGTTTTCGATAAGGAAAAGGCAAACTTAGACTTGGTTCTGAAATGGGAATTAATGCTGAATTGGTGTAAGGTTTCATAGAGATGTATTGACATCATTAGCTAAATAATGCTATTCTGCTATAAAAAGAAACAGGTAAATAAGCTTTTAATACTTTATGAAAATATTTAATAGTATAATCTGATTTTCTTAAAATTTTTCTAGCAAAGACCATGGCCCTGACAAAAGCACGTCTAGTACGTGCTGGAAAGCTGACAGCAGCATTAGAAGATGAGCAGGTTCGATGGGAAGAAAGCATACAGAAGTTTGAGGAAGAAATATCAAATATCACTGGGAACGTGTTCATAGCAGCAGCTTGTGTGGCCTACTATGGGGCTTTCACAGCCCAGTACAGGCAGTCAGTGAGTAACCCTGCTTTCTGTAAGGAGGGGTAAGAAGCAGCTGAAACTGGAGCCAGGGGTGGTTCATTTTTCTGAGTTCAGATGGAGGCTCTCCACTGTAGAGGTTCTTCATGGTGGAATTTCTTTATATATTTCACAGCGCTTCACTCCCCAATAAGCCAGTGATGGTCTACCCCTAGGCTTTCCTTAACACGTTCCTCCCTTTCCTTCTCCTGTCTTAGAAAGCTATTCATCATTTACACAGCTCAAAAACCTGGGGGAAGGAAAAGAGACAGTGAGTCCCCTACCCTTATGATCACAAGTGGCATGTAAAGCCAGCCTGGATGAGATGTTCTCAATTGGTGAAACTGCAAGAGGGCCAGTCAAAAGAAAGGAGCAGGCAGGACCAGGAGGAATCTGTGCTTCCTTAGGCTTTTATCTCTATAAGAAAGAAAGCCTCAGCTGGGTGCGGTGGCTCATGCCTATAATCCCAGCACTTTGGGAGGCCAAGGCGGGTGGATCACCTGAGGTCAGGAGTTCAAGAGCAGCCTGGCCAACACTGTGAAACCTCGTCTCTACTAAAAAAAAAAAATACAAAAATTAGCTGGGCGTAGGGGCAGGTGCCTGTGATCCTAGCTACTGGGGAGGCCGAGGCTGGAAAATTGCCTGAACCCAGGAAGCGGAGGTTGCCGTGAGTGGAGATTGCGCCATTGCACTCCAGCCTGAGCAGCAAGAGCAAAACTCTGAAGAAAGAAAGAGAGAAAGAGAAAAAGAGAGAAAGGGGGGGGGGAGGGAGGGAGGGAGGAAGGAAGGGAAAGAAAGAAAGAGAAAGAAAAAGAAAGAAGGAAGGAAGGAGGAAGGAAGGAAAGAAAGAGGGAAGGAAGGAGGAAGGAAGGAAAGAAGGAAGGAAGGAAGGAAAGAGAGGGAGATAGAGGAGAGGAAGAAAGAAAGAGAGAAAGAAAGAAAGAGCCTTTCATTTATCAGAGAATAAAAGTTTCATCTACATGCATTTTCCAGGAAATGAAATTATTTGAAAGAATTTTAGTCATTTTTTTGAAATGTCTTCCTAAAAATGTTTACCCTTGTCCTTCAGTTATAAAACCTGATATAATACTCTCATATAGACTCTCCAGGAGCTCTAAGCTCTTAGGGTGCCATGTTTCTCACTGGGGCCAATTGTGCTTTTTGGGGACAGACAGCTCTCTCTTCTGCATGACTGCACCACTCATTGAAGGAGGTCATATGCCAACATCCCTATCCCTCATCTACTGATTGCTTGTACACCCTCAGTCATTGTGATAACCCGAAACTTCTCCATATGCTTTCAGACTCTCCCAACAGGGAAAATACAAACCTGGTTGAAAACCACTGCGACAACCCAGTCATTTACACATGAGACAACTGAGGTCCAAATAGAGGGAATGATGTTTCCAAAGTCACATCTAACTAATGGTATAGTCAGAGTACCTAGGCCTCCTGATTTTGGTCTACTTCCTGTGTCCCATGCTCTGATGCAAGCACATCTGTGGAGACTGGGAGGGCTTAGCTCTTCAGCCACTGACTTACCACTGCCCACCACATTTTGCATGTGCCCTCGTTTACTGAGTGTTCCTGACTCTACTCAAGTAAGCTTTCCCCCTTCTACAGCTTATAGAGTGTTGGATCCAGGACTGTCAGTCTCTGGAGATCCCAATCGATCCTTCCTTCAGTCTCATTAACATTCTTGGAGATCCCTACGAGATACGGCAGTGGAACACTGATGGGCTGCCCCGTGACTTGATATCAACAGAAAATGGCATTTTGGTTACTCAAGGCAGAAGATGGCCTTTGATGATTGATCCCCAAGATCAGGTGTGTAGCAAATGCTTAAGAGAGTGGCTTTTGGTTCTGCTTAATGTTGAGCTAGCTATTAAAAATTATAAAAGTGGGCCTCAATGTACTTGGAGATTTAGATTTAACATACATGGAGATTTAGACCTAGAAGAGAGTGTTAAAGTCCTATAGTCCAAGTCCCTCATTTTGTGGATGAGAAAGTAAGAAAGGAAGAATTGAAGTGCTCCCGTACTTGATTTTGATTGGTTTTGTTTAGGGGAATGACCATTCATTTTTTGTTTTCTGTGAGGGCAGAAATCCACAGATCTTCATTCTTCTGTAGTCCTTGTTCCTAAAAGGTCTGAGGAATGAGAGTGAAGTCAGGGTATGATCAAATTTTAGGGCAAGCCTGACTGGAATTTACGGTTGACAGCATCCCATTTTCTGACTCCCTAAGTTCATGGATCAGGTTGTACTAAATAGGGTTTGGAAGAGGGAGCCACTGTGGAAGCAAGGGAGACCAACATGAATACCATAAGCATGAACTCTGTTCCCAGATGACTCTTTCTTTATTTCTTCCACATCTAAACAAAGAGAAGAGTCCCAAACATTGGGCTTAAAAGATGTCTTTATTGTCGGGGGACAGGGGAGTACAGTTTATATATTTCAAATTTGTTTCTAGATTGAATAACATTTCCACACTTTCTTCTAAAGCTTTCGCTTTCTAGCCATTTATTATGCTCTGAAGCAAATGTTCTGCTCTGTGCTTTTCCAAACAGGCAAACCGTTGGATAAGGAACAAGGAAAGCAAAAGTGGTTTAAAGATCATTAAGCTTACAGATAGTAATTTCTTACGAATACTCGAGAATTCAATCCGACTTGGTTTACCTGTCTTACTGGAAGAGGTTTGATTTTCACTTCCTTTTCTCATGTCAGTTCCCAACTTTCAAATCATATCTGGAATCCTATATAGGCCACATCCCCATCATGCTAAAGACACCAGTCAACTCCATTTTCAAATTGGTCAAACCAGTTCCTCTTCTCCTTAAACAATACATTATCACATTGCAAGAGGGGTGGGAGGGAGGACCTGTTGACTTTCAGACATTGTTTTAGTGTTAAGAGGGCTGGCCTCTGTTTCCTGACACTGCTGTTTCACAGGCCTCATTATGGCCCTTGATGGTGAGCTGCGCTGAAAATTCACAACAGTAGTGCAGTCAGGATTATGTACATACAATAATGATGCGAAGCCAGTAAAATATTCTAGTGGATACAAACATTATTTTTTACTTGGGCATAAGTCAGAATTGGATTAAGTGAATTAGATAAGAATTAACTTTTGTTAAAAAAAAAAAAAGAAGAAGAGGAAGAAGAAGGGAGGGCAGTGTTGTTTGTTGAGTCTAGGTGCTCCATTTCTTTGGCTATCATTGCAAGAATGGATGTTATTTAAAATTGTTCCCTCATTCAAACATTATTTGGGAACCAGTGGCAAAAAATATAGATGTGGTTTCTGTTCTCAATAGCTTACAATTGAGGTGGGGACAGAGACAGTAAACAGAGAAAGAAAGAGAGAAGAAATGAGAGAGGGAGGGGAAGAAACTTGTTATCAGAGGTTTGAAAGGGTAAAGAGGGGGCTGGGATAGTCACCAATGGATAGGCCACCAAGGCTGGTCTGACTTAGATATGTGGATAAAGGGAGTAATTTAAGCTGTGACCTATGTGATGAGCTCAGCCATATGCCAGGCTTAGAGAGAAGGGCTTCCCCAGCAAAGGGAACAGCACAAAGGCCCTGGGCACAAAAGAGATTGGTTAATGATCATGGTTTATTTTCCTATAAGTAATAAAAGAACAAGCGAGCCAAAACATGGACTGTGAGTTGAGTCTCAGTTTAACCGTGCCTAGAAGTATCACTGCGTCATCAGAAAGAAAGAAAGCTCAAAAAGACCATGGACCAGGGCAGTTTAGCTGCAGCACCTGCATGATGACTAGGAATTGTAATTAATATGTTAGCATTAACTAATATTTATTGCATGTTCACTCCATGCCAGACTCTGTTCTCAGTATTTTATGTATTTTAACTCATTAATCCTCACTGCCCCATCACAAGATAGTTACTATTGTTATTCCATTTTGTCAATGAGGAAACTGAGGCATGGAAGGGTTGCATAAACTATCCAAGCAACCTTGCCTGCCTAGGAAATCCACAGGTTACACTATTCCCCACTCAAGCCACAAAGAGCACAAGGGACCTCAGTGTGACCAAGCTTGGCCTTGACCAACACAAGGGTGATTCTGTAATGGATCCCAGTCACAGGAGAGAGTGAAGTCTCCAGAAAACTTTGGCACAGGTATTTTAGCTCCAAACTGGACTCCTGAACTCAGGTTTACTTTATGACACGAGAGATCCTGAGGGACTTTCCTCTTTCATGGCAGCAGACAAAAGGTTTTCTGTGATGTTCTACCTCTGGACAGAAGAGTGTTTTAACTGTAGTAGAGTGCTCTTGGGAGAGGGGGTGGGCCCTTGTCAGGGCCCCAGCCAGGAACAGGACACTCTGACCAGTCCTCCCCAACTCTCTGTGTCTTGGGGTCATCAGCATTATACACCTAGCTGCTTTCTACATTTGCTAGGGTGGTGTATTCAAACTTTGTCTCCACCCATTCATGAGTATGAAATCAGTTTAGACCATCTCAATCAACATTTTCAAATGAAATAAAATTTTTTAAACTCAAAATTATATTGAATAAAGGTAAATTTTATCTCATAAACTTTTGTTTGAAGAATTTACATGTGTGGGTACCATGTCACAATGTGGAACAGATTTGTTAAAATGGATGACAGTCAAATTTTGAAAGCCCCTGGGCCATGGGACCCCCATCACATACGTCCTGACATAAAGATGTTTCTGATGGGATCCCTGGGCAATGTCTCCATGCCCACGTTCCTACCAACAGTCAGATTTGCTTTGAGGAAAAAGGCATAACTATCATGTAGAATAGGGGTTCATAGACTTTTTCTGTAGAGAGCCAGGGAGTAAATGTTTCAGTTTTTGCAGGCCTCATGCAGTCTCTGTGCATATTCTTCCTTGTTTTGTTTTGGTTTAGTGTTTTTTGTTTGTATGTTTTTACAACCCTTAAAAAGGTAAAAGCCATTCGTAGTTCAAGAGTCATAGAAAAATGGCTACATGGGGCCAGATTTGGCCTATAGGCTGTCATTTGCCAATCCCTGGTTTTAAACAACCATGAAAATGAACAGATCTTCATTTGTGTGGAGCCTGTTGAAGTCCAACCCACAATGACTTAATCTACCCAGTTTCTCTCTTCTTCTCATGGAAATGAATAGTGTGTAAGATTGATCTAAATAGATATATTGCCTTCAGATGCTCTTATTTCCTTAGACTGCTAATAAAATGCTTACTGGAAAATAGGTACTGTTAGAGGTAGTGTGAGGATGTTAATAAATATCCATCAGATCACTGGAAAATTATTCATTCACAGTACATTTTGAGGCCTAAGGAATTTTGTGAAGTTCATGCTATCCATTTTAATTGCTTCTTTTTGTATTGTCCTGTTTTGTTTTAATTTCTAAGCTTAAGGAAACCTTGGATCCAGCTCTAGAACCCATTCTTTTGAAACAAATTTTTATCAGTGGTGGCCGACTACTCATCCGTCTTGGAGACTCAGACATTGATTATGACAAAAACTTTAGGTTCTATATGACAACCAAAATGCCAAATCCCCACTATCTGCCTGAGGTATGAACTACTGGTCTGGAATTCTCAACTTAACTGGATTATCATGGTGTAATGAATCTCTGAAGTTTGATGGGCTCCCACCCGGAGGGAAAGTGCTCCCCCATTCTCCCCTGTCTCCTATACACTCCCCTTTCTTCCACCATCTTCCATTCTTGCTTCCCTTCTGAGCTTTGATTCTGATTCCAATCACCCTTGTCATCACCATCTAGTTAGGTTGCAAGCCCCTACCCACTGGGGCCCAGGCCGATGCTCTGTCTCGCTCCACTGTGCACCTCTCCAGTGCCCTCGCCATCTCCCTCCTGGTCCACAGCCACTCCTCCTAAACATAGGGCATCCCCCTTTTAAACTCTCTCTTTCCTCCATCAGCAAAGACTATTTTTGTCCCTGTTATTATGACTAGTAAATGAATCAGAGCTTAGTTGAGAGTCCATGGGGCTGGGGTTGGGGGGAGGAGGAGATGTCATTACTTAAATGTGCAAATGCCCACAGCATATGTGCCCAAATAAAGAGGTCACCCATTTGAAAACTCTAGGAACAAGACAACACTAGAGAATCATGATCTAGAGGTCCAGTGTCTACACTTAGAGTTATGGGTGGTGGGGGTATCTTGTCCCCTTCTCATGCTCTTAGATTCTTTGAGTGGAGCTGTGTGAGCTCCACTCCATACATATGTCCCTGAGACTCAGAAGACTCTAGAAGAACCCCTACTCTAGTACTACAGTGTCCAAGGTAGTTGCAACAGAAATGAAGACAGCTGGGACTCCATTGCCCCTCCCACCAAGCTCCCACGGGAGTCTCCCTGGCCACAATCCCCCTCACATGCCCAGGTGCTGCCCCAGCTCCAGGCATGTCTGTGCACTCTGCAGGCTCTTACCTAGGAAAGGAACTTGACCTCAAGAACTTTACTTCTTCACCACCACAACCCTCCCAATATCCTTAAATATACCATTCCAAAGAGCGTCACTTTCATTTTAGCTGTTGAATTGCTCATAGCTATCTGTCTTCACCAGATGTGTTCAGGTTGAATGAAATTGACACACTTCTTGAATAAGATGGGGAAATATCATTGAAAGTTTAAGTTAGGATTTTCCTTGTCAGCCTCGAGGAGTTTAATTACACAGCCACTGCCAGGGCTCATGTCCCAAGTCCCATTTCAGAGTTTAGAAAAGTGACCAACATTACCAGAGGCTGGGAAGGAGAATGGAGGGGAGCAGGAAGGTAGGGATAGTTAATGGGGACAAAAATATAGTTAGATAGACTAAATAAGATTTAGTATATAATAGTGCAACAGGGCGACTACAGTCAACAATAATGTATTGTACATTTAAAAATAACTAAAACAGCATAATCAGAATGTTTTTTACTCAAAGACATGATAAATGCTTGAGGTGATGGATACCACCTCCAAAAAAGAAGTGTGACCAACGTGCCAACTTTCACTCTTTGATTTCTCACTTATTTAACTTTTGAGAGGGTGTATTGCCCACAAGACCCAAGCCTAGCTCTGTAACAGGGGGCAAATTATCCCATTTCCAGGAACCTCACGTCAATCATCTCTAAAAAGAGATCAATCCTACTTCAAAGATTTTGTAATATGGTAAATATTACAAAATTACAATATGTAATTTACCATATTACAAAATCCTTGAAGTACGATGCCATATGTTCATTCACACACTCTTGTTATACTTACTGGTTTTTGCTATTGACTTATCGAGTGATGTCAGAATATATTATAGTAATAATTTCTCATTAAAATGTTATTAGACAAAACATATAAAACTTTATTTGTTTATCAATAATAGCTTCTTTCAAGCAAAGACACACTGTATCATAAGTAACTAAGTGATTTTATTACCTCATTTGGTTCTCACGGCTACCCTATGAGTTTTTACTATAATTATCCAAATTTTTAAATACCGGAAACTAAAGCTCAGCACAGATGAGTGGCTCATCCAAGATGACACAGTCACTAAAGGGTGCAGCTCAAATCTGAACCCAAGCTATCAATTCCAAAATACTGCTTTTAATCGTTCGCTGGCTCACCTTTCCATTAAACACAATGTAGGATTCTGTAACTGTGGTGTTTGAGGAACAAGATTGTTACTCATACTGGCAGGGAAAAACATATGAGGATTTTATAAGCCACAGTACACCTAAAGTATGTGTGGGGGTAGGTGTGTGTGCAATTAGACCTGAGATACATCCGCCTGGGTAGTAATGAGCTGTGTTCTAATAAAGAAAGGTATTTTATTAGTTTGCACTTAAGCATTTTTATGCACTCTGTGCTTCTCTTCCAGGTATGCATTAAAGTTACCATTATCAATTTCACTGTAACAAAATCAGGCCTGGAGGATCAGTTGTTAAGGTAAAAAAACAGGGAGTTGAGGGGAGGGAAGGGGGTATTGTGGGTTTCCTAAATATTTTGTTTAGAAATATTGACAAAGACAATGTTCTGCTGTGTAAGAGCACTACACATGAACCCTTAATCAAAAAAAAATACAAGTAAGTGGCCAAGTTCTTTACCATTTCCATAGCTGTTCAGAGCAGCTGATCTTGTCTACCGTCTTCTCAAGGACGTCAAGGATAGACCCTTAATTCCCCACCCCCACTGTTTGAACCAGGCTGGCAGCCCAGCCCTGCCTCTTCCCTTCACTATGATTTCCATCCTGAGCAAGTGAACGAAGTCAGTCTTTCTGTTGTTCCTAGAAATGCACTGGTCCATACCTGTGAAAAAACAGCTTCTCCAAATATATTTGTTCCAGCTTCACTGGTTTTTAGGTGTTTTCTTAGTGTATTTAACTGTCCACTTCAAATATATGTGTGTGTATATATATGTATATATGTGTGTATATATATACACATATATACATATATACCCATATATATACATATATATGGGTATATATATATATGTATGCCCTTTCTTAGTATATTCTGTATGTGATTAAATCCCTATTTCCCAAATATTGCATTATGAGTTGTTAATATTAATCATCAGAATTAGCCAAGAGGTTCATGAGACAAACTTTAAAAATATTTGTTAAAATAATAACATTGATGTTGATTCAAAATTAATTTTATATTTAATATATATATTTAACCAACACATATATACACATATGTATGTATATAGGAATACCTATGTATGTATTTTTATTCACTCTAAAGAAACATAATTTAGACCCATGTTCAAAAGAAATATCCCTTATATTCAAGTCAAGATCGTCCTGACTTACCTATGTTGTCACTAATGAGCTTAAGTCTTATTTCTCTAGTTTGTTTTAGGAATTATTCTGCCAGCTGCTAACTTGCTTACCTTCCACTAGGTTAACTTCTTTCCAATTAAAGTTTATTTCAACATATTTTATGAATATATTCTAAGGACTTGGCTGAACACTTTGCATACCAGTTTATTCCTGTGCATAGTTAAGCTCAGCTGTGTCACTAAGCTCCCAGCATGTTAGGCTGCCTGGGACAAGAAGGAGAAGTGCCCTGATAAGAACACGAGAAATGCTGGGACTCAGTCATGGTGTGCAGTATCTCCCTGCTATTTCTCCTAGATTGATGGCATTGAAAAGGGAAGCTAACAGCCCTTAGCCAGGGTGAGGATGGAGCTGGGTCTGCCTGTGTTCTGACAGGCCGTCACCTATTTCAGTTGCCCTCTGCTCTGCTGAGCTCCTGGACAGGCAGTGATACACATTGTGCTCAATTTCTCATTGCAATTTTCCTCAGATCCTCTCAATTTTGAACACCACAGTTCACCTCCCTGCCTCCTGGAAAATGCCAACCACAATGCCTTAGTCCTTCTGGGGCAGCACAAGGCCATTTTTCAACTTCAAGGAATTCCATTCAGCCACCCAGACTGTCCACCTCCTTCTGTCTTCCTTTCTATTTCCAGAAACTGTAACTCACCTCACAGACTTCCTTGGCAGGCTCTTTTGATTCTTAACTTGATTAATTTGATTAATGTTTCTCTCAAGCTGTTTCCTGAGCTTACCTTTATCTTAAAAATTCCTTAAACTACTGTCTTCTGAAAAACTTATTTAAACAATTGAATTTGAGGTTATGATTTTTAGTATTCTTTATATAATAATTTCAAGGTGTCTGAATTCAGCATGTACATAACAAGTAAATAATGGGTTGTTACTTAAGGCAGCATACTAGTAACAGTGCATGCTCTGGAGCCAGCAGACCCAGGTACAAGCCCAGCTTGGCCTCTCATAGCCATGTGATCTCAAGAAGTGACCCACTAGAGTCTGTTTGTTCACCTGCAAGCTGGGGATGATAACCACAGTGCCCACCTTATGGGGGGGGCATTCAAAGGATTAATAGATAATCCACGTAAAACTCTTAGCAGGGTGCATTGCATAGAGTAGTACTTAATAAAGATTAACTTGCAAATGGAGACTGGGAGCAAATTATGAGAGAACAAGTGAAGGGAGATATAAGTTCACCTGTTTATACAAGGGTGAAGCTGGAGGTAAGGCTCCTTTCTCATATGCAATCAAAAATCATTTCATGGAGGTGGTGTGATTTCAGAATCTGCCATGTTGGTACAGAAAGAATATTCAAGGCATCATAAATATTCCAGGCACCATTTTCATCTTGGCACAAGCAAGCGTTAGAGACAGAAATTGAATGATTAGAGAGATCAAGTATTAAGCAGGTCTTCCTAAGAGATGAGCAGAAGGTGTGGGAACTTCAGTAGTATGCATCTCTAAAATACAAGATAAAAGATCAGAATTGACATGTAGTTGAGTCAGAAGCTATTGTGTAAACCCAGCAAAAGAGACATGGTGTGCATTCAGATATGGCCATCAGCATTAATGCTCAGCTGAATAGTATTCAGAATAAGAACGATTACAAACAGAGAAAGAAAAATAGAAGCAACTTTGAGGCACTGGCAGAGACATAATTTAGATATCTGAACTTTGGTTTTAGTGATGTGGTGCGACTTGAAAAACCCAGGTTGGAAGAACAAAGAATTAAGCTCATCGTGAGGATCAACACTGATAAAAACCAGTTGAAAACTATCGAAGAGAAAATCCTGAGAATGCTCTTTACCTCTGAAGGAAATATTCTGGACAATGAAGAACTTATTGACACACTCCAGGATTCAAAGGCAAGTAAAATATTTTTAGTACTTATGGAAAGTATGTTACTTCAAAAGTTATAACTACAGCCTTTGAGGGTCCTGCAAGGGCTTTTAAAGCAAGACGGGGGCCACACTGGGCTTCCATGGACACACAGACGGGTGCCTGCCTGTCAGGGCTCCTTGCCAACCAAAGAAACCTGGAGAAACTGTAGACCACTGCTTCTCTTGTCTTGTCTGCATTTCTTAAATAAAACACATAAAGAACTGGACAAGATATAAATCGAAAGGAACAAACACAACAAACTTTCATATGAATGCCATCACCTGCAGGAAGCCTCTGTCTGATATTCCCAGTTGGAATTAACTTCCTCCTCCTCAGAACTTCTATAGTGTCTTATCTGGATCTCTACTACAGCACTTGACACTGTTTATCCTATGTCACAGTTATCCAATTACATGGCTTATCTCTTTTGTTGTGTTGTTAAGTTCTATGCAGTGGGAATCTGTGAATAGTTCATTTTGATATTCCTTCTCCAAGGATTACACATGGTGGTTGCACACAATTGGTACTCAACAAAAACGTGTCGATAGTAAGATGAAGTTTTACCTTAAACTTAAAATTCTTCAGTAAATTATTTCTCAGATTCAAACTATCATTTAAGGAGTGCATACTAAGAACAAATGATTTTCATCCACTTGTGAGAAACAAATAATTTACTGAAAAAAAATCCCCTTGACTTTATTAAACCAGAAACACATAGGTTATGTTTTTTGCTTTTGTTGACATCAAAACTGGTTGACTGCTTTATATTGTATAGTCCCTTGAGATTGCAGTATTAAAACAGTAATAAGCAAGTAATTTTGGGCCTCTGTTTTCTTCCTCTCTGCTTTAGCTTGTTTGTTCATAGATCTCTTTATCCTCCTGTCGTTCATTCTTCCTTGGGTTTTTTATTTTTTTATTTCTGGCGGTTGTGTGTTAACCCACTTATTTTTATTTTTTAGCAAAGTTGTACATGCCAACTCTTTAAAGAATGAAATATTCTACAAGGCTTATTATGAAAAATAGCATTCCGTGCCTTCTCTTCCCACCAGCCACCCATGCCTCCCTTCACAGAGGCAGCTCTCTTGAGTTTTTGTTTTTTTTGTTTTTTATTTTGTTTTGTTTTGTTTTGAGACAGGGTTTCGCTCTGTCACCCAGGCTGGAGTGCAGTGGCATGATCATGACTCACCGCAGACTTCATCTTCTGGTCTCAACCCATCCTCCTCCCTCAGCCCCCTGAATATCTGGGACTACAAATGCACGCCACTACGCCCAACTAATTTTTCACTTTTTTTTTTTTATTTTTTGTAGAGACAGTGTCTCACCATGTTGCCCAGGCTAGTCTTAAACTCCTAGCCTCAAGCAATCCTCCTGCCTTGGCCTCCCAAAGTGTCGGAATTACAGGAGTGAACCACTGTGCCGGCCAAGGCAGCTACTTTCATTTTGTGTCTTAACTGTTATCTGTACCTCTAACACACACACACACACACACACACACACAGACACACACACACAAACACACACACCTTCCCATCCTCTGGCCTCCCACTGTAGTTATATCCTGATTATAGCTGAACATTAAATGTTAACATTGCCTAAGGGTGAAGATCTGGCTTTAAGTATTTGGGGTCTGAGAGGAGAAGGGCTAGGGTCTCAGCATCCAGTCTGCAGTCACCCAGTCACTCTGTTTTAGTTCCTTCCTTCCATCAGAAAACCCTCTCTTTTACTTTCTCCAAAGGAAATTTCTATTTTTTCTGCCAGGGTGAGAAAGGGACAAACCCCTGGCCATGGGTGGTGTGGGAAGATGACCTAGGGGGTCCTCTTACAACCAATTCTTATTTTAAGCCCTTCCCACTTCCAAGAGTGCTTCTTTTTTTTTTTTTTTTTTTTTTTTTTTTTGAGACAGAGTCTCGCTCTGTCGCCCAGGCTGGAGTGCAGTGGCGGGATCTCGGCTCACTGCAAGCTCCGCCTCCCGGGTTCACGCCATTCTCCTGCCTCAGCCTCCCAAGTAGCTGGGACTACAGGCGCCCGCCACTACGCCCGGCTAATTTTTTGTATTTTTAGTAGAGACGGGGTTTCACCGTTTTAGCTGGGATGGTCTTGATCTCCTGACCTCGTGATCCGCCCGCCTCGGCCTCCCAAAGTGCTGGGATTACAGGCGTGAGCCACCGCGCCCGGCCGAGTGCTTCTTGCTACTAATTCTTAAGCCTTTGAGGAGGATTATTTTTATAAATCGGGTGAGTTCGTGGCTATCCACTTTTGCCAGTGTAGGAATCCATTTTTCTGGGTCTGCTAAGTCATTGCCACCCTTCTGTCTGCTTTCGAGCTCCCAAAATTCGTTGATATTTCCTCGCCCATTCTTCCTATCTTTATTGGTTTACTCTGCATTTTTAAGCCTTTTCCTACAATTTTATTGTAGTTTCAGTAGGAAGTGAAGGTAGATACACATGTGATGACTGCCATCTTTATCTATAAGCTGGTTTATTTGTTTTGCAAGGAGTTGCTTTGGAGTCATCCTTTCTATACAGCAGGGATCAAACTGATCCTTGGCTGTGTTTCCTGCCACTTCTTGGCTACAGTTTATACTCCTCTCAGCTCTTAGAATCCTTACATAAAAATATGTCTCATATTCTCTAAACGCGGCTGAAACCTCAAGCCTGTAGGGCATAATGTCTACAAGTAGTTGCCAAACTCAACGGAAGCATATAGTATTCTAATATTCTTTGGCAAGGAGATGAAAACAATCCACTTTCCTTCTCTTTAGCCCTGGTTTCTACATTATCAGTGCCTTGTGCTCCCTAAGACATAAAGAATTATTTGTTAGTGGGCCTACATGATCCACCAACTGATCCCATATCAACTTTTTTTTTCTACTTGGATTTGAAAGCTTTAGTTGAGTCCCATATTAACATAGGGGTTTCCTACTCAACTCTGCCCTTTATTTCCCCTTCAGCTCCCTAAGGGGTTATTACAGGGAGAGTTTGATCTCTGATTCCTGGAAACAGCTTCTGCACTGAATCCTTCCCCTCCCTTTCCTGGTGGGCTGGGGTAAATAGTCTAGACTTATACTCTTTATTATGGTAGGTAGCCACTAGCCATAGGTGGCTGTTGAGCACTTCAAATATGGCTAGCCTGAATTAAGATGTATTGGTAGTGTAAAATACACAACAGATTTCAAGGGCTAAATCCAAAGAAACAAAATATCTCAGTAACTTTTATGTGGATTATATGTTGATATAATATTTTGGGTAGATTAAAAATATACTATTAAAATTTCTTTTTATCTTTAATAAATTTAGAAAATGTATGATTATTTATGTGGCTCACATTATATTTCCATTGGAAAGCACTGGTCTATACAGGAACTTGATGATTCCTTTTAGCTTTGATGGAGCAAATACTGAGCAGTCAGTTCCCTTGGTGATTTTTCATGGTCCCTGCTCTAGACCCTTTGACTTTCTAGAGAGAAAAGGATTTCCCAACCCAGGGATATCCACCTCTGAAAAACAGTGGGGGAAGAGAGAGGAGGCAGGGGCAGACAGCAGTAGAAAGAGAGAGACTGAGAGACATAGAGAAGGGAATCTTGGAAGGCCCATTGGCCAGAGGGCTCCCCAGACCCACAAACCCAAAATGCAGAAAACCAAAAGACCTTGAAAGCATCGCTAACTCATTTGGGGTTATAATCCTCCACAAACAACAGCTTCTATCCCATATGTCTATACCTGGGAATACTAGGTAAAGAACAAGAATATTAGTCACCCTTGTTATTCCAGGGAGGGATGTGGTGCCACTGCCTCCCAGCCACTCTCTACTCCCTTCTTTTGGGCATCTTCCTGGGTATCCCTTCTCCTTTCATTCCTTTATTCATTGTGCTTGCCCTGGACTGCTCACAAAGAAGTTCGGGAGCAATTAGGAGTGCTGTGATGGTGTTTGCATTGCAGGAGTAATTCAGATTGAGTCTCAGAGACATGCTGCTTCTATGTTTTCAAAGCTACTTGTATTGCCTGCTGCCCTCTGCCTATTCCTAACTCTGGAAGGAAGAAAGGTCAGCTTATTCAGAAGGTCACTGAGCCCTGAGACTCAGTCGTTCCACCTGGGGACCCCTTATTATAATCACCAACTCATTCTATCCTTATTTCTTCCCTAGACCTAACTGGATACATTCCAGAAGTCCCACTATTTTTCTGGAACAGATCCCTAAGAACTTGTTATTGTATGTTTATTCAGATCACTTCTGGTGCCATTAAAACCAGGCTGGAAGAAGCAGAGTCCACTGAGCAGATGATCAATGTGGCTCGTGAGAAGTATCGTCCAGTGGCCACTCAAGGCTCTGTAATGTACTTTGTCATTGCAAGCCTCTCAGAAATAGATCCTATGTACCAGTACTCATTAAAATACTTTAAACAGGTAAGTGTGTTCATGTTGTTAATGACAGTCATCTCTTTGGCCTCCATTACACCTGTTGAATTACTTCTTGCTTCACATAAGCCATAAGTCTAGTTATCAGGTAAAATCTCCCAGGTGCATGCAAGGTTCAAGAGTGGTTCCAGCCAGGCATGGTGGCTCACACCTGTAATCCCAGCACTTTGGGAGGCCGAGGTGGGTGGATCACCTGAGGTCAGGAGTTCAAGACCACCCTGGCCAACATGGAGAAACCCCATCTCTACTAAAAATACAAAAATTAGCCAGGCGTGGTGGCAGGTGCCTGTAATCCCAGCTACTCGGGAGGCTGGGGCAGGAGAATTGCTTAAACCCAGGAGGTGGATGTTTCAATGAGCCAAGATCGTGCCACTGCACTCCAGCCTGGGCGACAGAGCGAGACTCTGTCTCAAAAAAAATAAAAAATAAAAAAGAGTGGTTTCACCAGCCCTTCCAAAGATGCAGTTTTTAGAGTAGAGTTAGTGATTATTATATATATATATAAAAGGTATATATAAAATTTGAATTTTTTTTAAAGATTTGATTGCCCAGTATGCACAGAACACTCTGTAGAGGAAGAGAAGAAAGCTCCTTTGCAAGTTTCATTTGCTCCTGACTTCCTCAACTAGCTAGCATGTTTGTTTTCCTTCATGCCTGCCCTTCTCTCTTTTTTAAGAGTCACAGCTGAGTCCCATTTCTTTAGACATCCTCTGCAGTAATCTAGATTCCTTTCCACTATTAGTGTTTTCTGTTGTATCTCAAGTCCAAACAGCACTGACCTTAACCAAATTGGTTTATGTATCTTTTATTTCCCAAACCTTTTATGCAACAACCTGTTCTTCCTTCCCTGCGCCCACTTCTGACTTAGAGGGATCTCTTTCCTTTGTTTCTGTCCCACTTTCACCATGTGACTATGAGACTCTCTTGTTTTATTTCAGCCTCTCTTCTTTATCTCATATTCACAGTTGAATTTCATCTGCTGTCTCATGAGTAGGATGTTTTCACCCCTTATCCTCTTTGTAGCAGCATTCATTTTTTCTCAAAAGCAAATTCAATGCCACAAAGCTTCAGCAGGCAATGCCAATTTTGCTAAAGACTTCCAGGGAAGACAGAGAGTTTGCATTACTCACTATACAGCAAGACTACCAAGCATCTGCATCAGAGGTTCTCTCAGGTGCCAGTGGCCTCTTCTCAGCCCACCCGACCAAAGCCTCCCTGGCTCAGTCTTCCCATCAGCTCCTACTTCCTGTTGGCAGTGCTGTCTCCTTTTCTGGGCAGAGCAGTTTAACTTACTCTCACTTTTCTGTTCATCCATGCTTATACCCTACCCATGACACAACTCAGCCAACGAAGGCCTCTCCCTCCATACATGCCACTCAGTAGAAAACAGTGGAGAATTGTAAACATAACACTTTTTCCCTGCAACACATCTCTATTTCCTGTTATATGCCCCTGTATAGTCAATGCTGGCTCACACACCTGGAAGCCAGGCCAGCCTAGTCCTAGTGTTTTCAAAACACTGTTCCACAGACCTAGGTCCTAAATGAATTTTCACAGATATTGCCCATCAACACAATTCATACTCTATAGCCTGGAATTCAAAGCCAAATCCAGCCTGTCCCTGTTTCATCTCTCCAGTCACATTTCTCTCAACTCCTGTGCAACAGCCAAATTGATCCACTTACATTCCCAAGACTAACTGGATGCTTTTGTGTTTCTGACACTCCCTCTGTTTAAAATGGCCTTCCTCCCAACCTAAATGCTGCTGGGACTGCATTCTAAATTCTCCTAAATTCTCCAGCAAAGCCTGCTGCTGGGACTGCAAACATCTAGAGGCTGACTGGAATGAACATCCAAAATGGCTGACTCACATGGCTGGGCTGTCACTCATGGCACCTGCCATGGCCTCTCCTTGTGGCGTGGGCTTCTCACTACAGGGCAACTGGGTTCCAAGAGGGCCTCTCCCCAAAGTAAACGTTCAAAGAAACCAAGATGGAAGCTCCAGGACTTCTTCTGACCTAACCTTGGATTTCATGCACCATCAATTCGGCTACAGTCTGTTGGTCAATCAAATCACTAGGATAGTCCAGGTTTGAGAGAAGGGGATTTAGACTCCACCTCTCAATGGGAGTAGTAGCAAACAGGTTCAGCAGTCTTTATCCAAAATATTTGATATGCTTCATCTGGCATAATGTTACCCCACGTTGTCTTGGGTGGTTGGCTTCTCTCTCCTGCTGGAGCCTGAACTCCCAGGAGGCAAAAATGAAGCCTCACCAATCCCATATCCCCAATGGTGCTTAGCACCACATAATGCTCGAGTGTTTCATGAATGAAGAGTCTGTTTTGATCTCTGCATATAACATTCCAACAATTCTTATTGAACTTCAGATAGTCAAACAATTCTTATGACAGCTTGATTTTTCCTCTAGAGGTCTTATTTAGTACCCTCGATAATGGTTGGAGGTCCAGGAACAGTTTCTATTTCCAGGAAAGAATGGAAATGAGGAATTGAAAGAAATGGGAGTCAAGTTGTTTAGATAGGCCTGGGTTGTCTTTCAACAAGATGTTCATTTTAGCAGCCTTTGAAAGCCATCTGTGCTGGGTTCAAACCTCAATTCCTAGAGGCAAGGGTTTGGGTTCTTATATCTCTGCTCCCTTCCTTCAGTTGACAGGTATTAACCCAAGCAAAATAAGGATTACCAAATCCTGTAATGCCACCTAAATGACTTTTTGTTAATACTTTTCTTATCTTGGGTGTTTTGGAATTTATGCTCTTCAAGTTTTTAAAATCTCCTTCAAGAAATAAAAGTGAAAAGGCCCTAAAATATCTTGGGCTGAAAGTAAAAGTGATATAGGATGAATCATGAAAGCTCTGGAGTTTTACAGATTAGAAGGGAAACCAGAAATCCAAAACATATTTGTAGGTGACAGCCTTGGCCAGGATACCCTCTACCAAACCCATTTCACAGTGAAATTCTTTAGAGAATTTTGAGATTTACCAGTTTTATTTTGGTACCATATTATCACATATTCACTGGGCTTTAACCTCTATGGTTCTTGTCAGGTTGTTAAAGAGGGCTGAGTCCTCTTTTCTCCTGAGTGTGTTAAAACAAAACTCTATTACCTTTGTCAACAAAACTTTCAGGAGAATCAACAAAGACTTTCCCAATTTCCTGAAATAATTGTAGGCTTCCTCTAAGCCCTTTTAACTTGGGGGAATGGAGACCTATTTTGGTGAGGAGACTGACACAATCAGGCCCCTTTACCTTTGCGCTCCATCCTATTAGTAGAAGAGGTGGGTAGGAAAGGCCTGCACAGCCTCCGCACAGTATTTCTAGGGAGGAGTGGAGGATGCTTCTTGACCCTGATCTGCTTTGGTCCTTAGTGGGCTTCTAGCTGCCAGTCTGTTTTGATTGGTCTGCCCTCACCATGAACAATATATCTTGATCCCAGGGATTGGGCAGGTACTACCTCACCTCCCACCTTTGCCCCTCAGGCTGTGGATCCTGAGACTGCAAACACATGCCCCTCAGGGCCCTGGTGGGACTTCCCCTGAGTCTCTGCTGCAAGATCCCTCCTTGCCCCGTGACTTCCATGGAAGGCCACACATTCAGGCTCTGCTCAGCTTCCTCACGCAGCTTGGGACCTTTAGAAATTTTTTGATCTTCCTACATGGATGAAACTGGAAACCATCATTCTCAGCAAACTATCACAAGGACAAAAAACCAAACACTGCATGTTCTCACTCATAGGTGGGAATTGAACAATGAGAACACATGGACACAGGAAGGGGAACATCACACTCCGGGACTGGGGGAAGTGGGGAGGGATAGCATTAGGAGATATACCTAATGCTAAATGACAAGTTAATGGGTGCAGCACACCAACATGGCACATGTATACATATGTAACAAACCTGCACATTGTGCACATGTACCCTAAAACTTAAAGTATAATAATAATAAAAAAAATAAAATAAAAAATAAATTTTTTGATCTTCCTTCCACTCCACTTAAAAGTTGCAGAAAATGGGTAGGACTACCTCAGGCCTAATCCCTCAATGCCACCATCTCTACTGCCTTCCCAGTATCTTTATAATATGGGGCACCTTTGTGGTAGTGATTCTCCTTTCAAAATTTCCAGGTAGGAAACAAGGTAGAAATCTCCTTTAAAATCACAAAAATCAGTTTCTCTTAAATTTCCAGGAAAATTCTAGCACATTACTTCTACACCCTAAAAATTATCTTGGGGAAGTGCTAAGAAATAAGCATGAGCTTACCTTGCTCTTACATCTCTCACCCCAAAATGCAGAGTTTATCAAATCTGGGTTGAAGATGTGAAAAAACTGGTCCTGCTAGCTCACCTCTGTTTTCCAGAGTTTCATGTCTCACATCAAGATGATGCCTCTTGAATATTGTCAAGAGCTTGGTGTTGGTCCATTTCTTAAAAATAGGAGAGAAAGGGGAGTGTAGAAAACAAATATCACATATCACTTTGGGATGAATTCTAGACTTTTTCATAGTACAGTAAGTCCTCAATGTTGTGGATAGGTTCTTGGAAACTGTGACTTTGTTTAGCAAAATGACATATAATGAAACCAATTTTTTTGGTCTCATCAATGTAATAGCAAAATGACTTTGAATGCAAGATTGTTCATAATTCAAAGACCTGCTGTGCATCATTTCACTTAAAGTCTCAGTTTCCAAGAACCTATTGGGCACATTGAGGACTTACTGTATTCATCTCCCATGCTGCCATTTACTCACTGAATGCGAACAAGGGAGACAGATTTTTTGTTCTCTGCAGAGAATGAATTAAATCAGAGACATTGATAGAGCTCTCTTTCACACAGTTGTTCAATACCACCATTGAAACTTCTGTAAAGACAGAAAATCTACAACAGCGCCTGGACGTACTACTAGAACAAACTCTCCTAACTGCTTATGTCAATGTTTCAAGAGGACTTTTTGAGCAACATAAACTCATCTACAGCTTTATGCTTTGTGTTGAGATGATGCGTCAGCAAGGAACCCTATCTGATGCTGAATGGAATTTCTTTCTCCGAGGTTCTGCAGGATTGGAAAAGGTACCTGATTCCCATTTAGGTGATGATTGATATGGTTTGGCTGTGTCCCCACCCAAATCTCATTTTGAATTGTAGCTACCATAATTCCCATGTGCTGTAGGATGGACCTG
The DNA here is from genome assembly GCF_000001405.40 of Homo sapiens. Taxonomy (NCBI): domain Eukaryota; kingdom Metazoa; phylum Chordata; class Mammalia; order Primates; family Hominidae; genus Homo; species Homo sapiens. Next base: position 84,728,013 of record NC_000002.12, read on the forward strand.
GTGGGAGATTACTGAATCACGGGGGCAGTTTCCCCCATACTGTTCTCGTGGTAGTGAATAAGTCTCATGAGACCTGATGGTTTTATAAGGGGAAACCCTTTTCACTTCGTTTTCATTCTCACTTGCCTGCTGCCATGTAAGATGTGCCTTTTGCCTTCTGCCATGATTGTGAGGCCTCCCTAGCTGCATGGAACTGTGAGTTCCATGTGAGTTCCATTAAACCTCTTTTTCTTTATAAATTACCCAGTCTCAGCTATGTCTTCATCAGCAGCATGAAAACAGAATAATACTATGATCGTTATTCTAGATAGAGCCCACAAGCACCTACCAGTGCTCTGTGGTGACTCTGGTGGCCGAAGGCCATACATTTTGCTGTGTTGCCCAGTGGAGGGGTATTGAGGTCAGGAGGCCCATGTTATAACTCAGCTCTGCCTCCAACTAACTGTGTAATGTATCATTTAACCTCTGTATGGTGTACTATCCTCACCTATAGAAAAGGAATGTTGGGAGTAACCAATAAGCTAGTAGAAGTGAACATGTTTTGCAAAGCTGAACCTCTTACAAATGTAAAGAGTTAAAATCCAATAAAAGTTGTAATTCACAGATTTAGCAATAGTTTTTTTTAAAAAACCATGACCCTCTCTTGCCTGGAGATGTATCTCATTATAAAGCATGGGAAGTGACAAAATGACTTGATTGTCGCCTTCTGTAATACTGTAATACGAGTTCTGCTACAGTTCCCTCCTTCATGTTCATCTGCTTGTCCTGCTTGCTCTAGTCCCTTAAACTGGCTTAACCCACACACATACCACAAAGCTAGTGGCCCACAGAGGTGAGCCCCCAAACCTTGCCTACAATTTGATCTCTGCTCCACTCTAAATTCTTGGCTCTGTCCAACTCTGCAAATCTCAAGTCCTGTCCTTGGCCCCTGCAGAAGTGACATCTGCACCTGTTTGCCAGTATTTGAACCCCAGTGTATCACTAGGAGGTTGAACCTGATGCTTTTATTTGACTCTCAGCACCCCATGTTCCCAGAAAAAGCCGAGACAAGATCTCTCCACCAGATGTTCCTTCCTCCCTGACCCCCATCCATCTTGCATACACACATATTCTGTGACTCCTCTCTTAATGTGTTTTATCCTCGTAATCACAGTTCATATTTACAGAGAGCTTGCTATGTGTTTTATATATATCAACTCCCTTATTCCTCTCAGTATTCTTCTTAGGTAAGTTCCTAATTTGTATCTCTAGTCTATGATAAGATAGTTAGGCACAGAAAGGTTAAGTAACTTGTCCTGATAACACACTTAACAGGACCTGGAACCGGGATTTGAACACTTGCAGTCTGTAAAGCCTGCTCTCTTAACCAGTTCACTCTGCTGCTGACTGTTAGCCAATCACTTAGCCAGGCCCTGCCCTGTGTGTTTTCGCCCTTCCTTCCTCACTGCAGCCTTATCAACAGCTCTGCTTACAGTTTTCTCAACAGAAACTCAAAGAGGTTAAAGAGCTTTCCAAAATCACAATAATGCATAACACAGTCTGATTCAAACCTGTGTTCTAAGCTCCCAAAGCCCATGTCCATTCCAGCACCACCTACTTCTCATGAACAGCATATCTTGAAAAGTTTAAAATATGTTTTAAATACCATCAAACTCAAAATTTAAAATTACCATCATCAGAAACCTCTCTGAATTATTTTTAATTAAACTGTCTTTTCCTCTGTCATGAGGAAATTGGAATGATTCTTGACTAATAATTTTTTTAGAAATGTATTTGGGGTGTATTTTATATGGTCACTTCATTTAATATTTTGACACTAGTATTTTCTATTTTTATCGTAAGTACTACATTGTTTTTTGCTACATTCATTATGATCTAAATTAAATTTTCTGGAATAACCTCAGAAGCCAACTTCCATGCATAAAACTTTTTCTGTGGAAAAATGTGCAGTGAGTTCCAAACACCTATGACAAGATTGTGTCATTATGCAAGGAAATGGTGCAGCAAAAGGGCCCTGGAAGAGACCTAGAAAGAATAAAAGATGAGTGTCCAGGATGGGAGGAGAGAGAGGAAGGAGATACATGCCCGATGGAATCTGGAGTTGACTGGATGCACTAGATAAAGAAAATCCAGATAAGCAAAACACAGATTTCTAGAAGGTGGCAACAACAACAAAAGGTGGGCAGAGATGCTGGGATCTGCAGCTGGAGACTGGCTGGTGTGAGCAGAAGTAGGCATTTCCAGGATTGAACCACAACAGTTAGAGTTTAGGGACAAACAGAAAACAACTGGAACCAATACACAAAGCCTCAAGCATCTGCAGGTTTCTATTACATGTGGACAAGGTAAATGGATTTCTGCAAATTGAGGTCTCCAGGCTATTCTCATTGGGTATATTCAGTCCATACAACTAATGTTTTTAAATGATGATATTTTAAACAGGGGTGTCCCATCTTTTGGCTTCCCTGGGCCACATTGGAAGAAGACTTGTCTTGGGCCACACTCAAAATACACTAACACTAATGACAGCTGATGAGCTTAAAAAAAAAATCTCAAAAAAAAAATCTCATAATGTTTTAAGAAAGTTTACGAATTTGTGTTGGGCCACATTCAAAACCGTCCTAGGCTGCATGTGGCCTGTGGGCCATGGGTTGGACAAGCTTTTTTTAAAGCATTTTCTCTTAATGCTAGGAATCCAAAAAATGATGCTAGTACATAATAATAGCATAATCAGAAAACTTTACATGAAATCTATTTCCTGGAAAATTCATTAAAATTTGCGCAGACCAGTGATTTGTTTTACACATTATTATTAGAGATCAAAATACAGCAAAACCACTCAGAATTGTTTATTAGATATTTATAAATGCCTATGAACGTTAACTAATCTAAGAGTCTTTGAGGGATTTATCTAGGATCAAGATGTAACACAGGGAAATGCCACTTCCAGCATGACAGTGTGAGGATCTTCGCATACTGGCTCCCCAGCAAAACTGTTGAAAATTATATAAGGATCATTTAAAGCATCTGGAAATGGTCCCAGGCACATATAGCAAATGAATAAACATTTATTTGAGAAAATTTACTAGAGGTTCAGTAAGGACAGCAAATCTTGTGGTCTTTGAACCTAGACCCACTCCCTCCCTTCCTGCTCCCAGCTTAGTGAGATAGGAACTGCACTCAAGACTGATGCAGCTAAGAGCACAGGGCTCCTGCCTACTCCCCACTGCCAGTTAAAGGGCCATATTCCTGGAAAGGACAAGACAGCAGCATTTCTCATCCTGCCCACAGCTACCTACTGCTGAAGATAAGTCCCAGTTGAGTGTAGCCAAAAGGTGGGGCTGCCTTCTTCCACCCAGCCTCCACTGAGGAGACTGAGGCTCCACGTTTGGTGCAGCATCACTGTTGTCCCAGCTCCTAAGATAGTAATTCCTCAATGGCAGAGGCAAGCTGAGGAGACCTGAAGCTACTCTCTTCCCATCCATGGCGTACTCAGCTCCTAGAACTGGAATATGCCCCTGCGAAAAGTGCAACATTGTCATGCCCCTGGCTTGGAGGTTTTTCCTGAGTGGGAGAAGCAACCTATAAAACAGATAGTTCCTTATCTCCTCACAGAGTAACTGACTTCATTTCCAACACAGTATGGAAAAGTTTAAGCCTAATGATGCTGTCTAAAACAATAAAGTTTGTAGTGAAAAGCAATTGAAAGGAGGTTGATGGAATTACTGGACAGAGACACAACATTATAAGCCAGCTGGTTTGCCAGAGATAACTTAGGAGAAGACACTGAAGCCTGCCAAAGACCAGAAGGAAACCCAAACACTGACTCCAGCAACTCCTTCAAAGGGGCCCAAATTTGAATGTTTTAGTCTGAGGAGAAATTTATATCCCCAAGAGCATTGTTAAAAACATTAGAGCAATCAGCCCACAATTAGTGGTGCTTAACAGCTAGATGCAGTCAGGGAAAGAAACTATCAAAAAGAGCCCTGAAAAAGCTATGATCATCCCAGGGTAACTGTGAGCATTCCTAAGGCTGCACCCCTTGAGGAGCAACATTAGAGACTTAATGCTGTGCAGGGGGTGTGGGGAGCCTCCACTAAAATAATCCAGTCAGTTGTTAAACAAATAAGCAAGTGACAATAAGAAACCTTTGGGGAAAGGGTGCATGCTCAGAGTTGCTACAATACATTACAGATTGAATAAGATTCCTTATTCAAGACGCCTGGGCCCAGAAGTGTTTCAGATCTGGAGTTTTTTCAGTTTTTGGAATATTTCCATTATACTTACTGGTTAAACGTATGTCTGCACAAAAAGCTGGACACAAATATTCATAACAGCATTGTTTATACTAGTCAAAAGGTGGAAACAGCCCAAAAGTCCATCAACTGATAGATAAATAAAATGTGGTATATTTATACAATGGAATATTATTCAACCATAAGAAAGAATGAAGTACTGATACATGCTACAACATGGATGAACCTTGAAAACACTAAGCTAAGACGTCCGTCACAAAAGCCCACATATTATATAATTTGATTTCCATGAAGTGTCCATAATGGGCAAATATATAGAGACAGTAAGTAGTTTAGCAGTTGCTTAGGGCTCAAGGGATGGGATTAAAGGGGAGTAATAGCTAAGGGGTACACGGTATCTTTTTGAGGAAATTAAATGTTCTAAATTGTGATGGTGGTTGTACATATCTGTGAATATACTGAAATCATTAGATTATATACTTCAAATGAATGAATTGCTTAGCATATAAATTGTATCTCAATAAACCTGCTTTTAATTATAGTAAGGAACCTCAGGCAAATATTCAGGAAATTTTGAAGAACTAGTTTCAGTCTTACAATCACAGCTATTTTTCTGTCTCTTTTAAAACTGTTTGCCCACATGTAAGTGCTTCATGGAATATTGCCAGATGGCATAACACTTCTCCCAGAAGTTTCTAAGAGTATCTAAAATAATTAGACAAACTCTTACCACAGCTAGAATAAGGTTGCCATTTGTCTTGCTACTGATACTGCTCCATACTCAGCTTTCTGTATCTTCTAGGGGTGAGAACATCTGGGAATCTGATTGGGAGACTAGTTCTCTAGAGAAAAATTATTAACCTTAGGAATATTTGGCAAGTGGGGAAAGATCGATGTTGGGTGTTGGAAAACAGGCTGAAAGTAGCAGATTTAATTGATCCACTTTGTTTTCTGTAAATGTCAATCTGAAAAGTTTTTAGCAGCTGTACTTCTGTGCAAAGGTCCACAATTAGAATTGATTCAACACCATTTCTATTTCACCATATTGTACTACTTGTCCTAGGAAAATGGTTATTTTAACATACTATTAGAGCTTGATTTTTCACTTGGACAAAGTGAAAGTATATTTTGTGATTGCCTTTGTGAATTATTATTCATTTTCTGTCTTCAAACAGGAACGCCCACCTAAGCCTGAAGCTCCCTGGCTACCTACTGCTACATGGTTCGCATGCTGTGACTTGGAAGAATCATTTCCAGTTTTTCACGGACTTACCCAAAATATATTGTCACATCCTATTTCCATACGCTTAGGTAATGTGACAAAAAGAACCTGCTGAGGAGGCTTATAAACAGGCTCTTGAATCCTAATCTTAATGTTTTCTTTAACCTCTTCTGTAATGTCAGCATTTTTCACTAGGAACTTCCTTCATTTCTAAGAAACTGTAAATTATTTGTTTTCACAATTTCTTGAGTCGAATGCTTGGCCCATGAATTTTTAATATTTCATGTTTACTTTATATATATGTATACACACACCATATATTTTATGTATATATTTGAGAATGTAAATATACATTTGTGTATTGCTTTAGCTGTATCCCATAGGTTTTTTTTTTTACTTTTTATTGAAGGATAACATAAATCCAGAAAAATGGACAAATCAAAATTATAGTTTGATTAGCTATCACAAACTGTGTAGATTTATTTATGAGCCATCACCAAGATCAAGAAATAGAACAGTACCAGCATCCCAGAATCCCCTTATTCTCTCTCGCTTCTCTCTTCCTCAGAGGTAACGACTACTCTGAATTATAACATTCTGTATTCATTTTTCCCTGCAAGTCTTAATATATAGCCCTTTCAATTCTAAAACTACACTTTTTTTTTTTTTTTTTTTGAGACGGAGTCTTGTTCTGTCGCCCAGGCTGGAGTGCAGTGGCGATCTCAGCTCACTGCAAGCTCCGCCTCCCGGGTTCATTCTCTGGCCTCAGCCTCCCTAGTAGCTGGGACTTCAGGCGCCCACCACCACACCCGGCTAATTTTTTGTATTTTTAGTAGAGATGGGGTTTCACCGTGTTAGCCAGGATGGTCTCGATCTCCTGACCTCATGATCCGCCTGCCTCGGCCTCCCAAAGTGCTGGGAAAAACTACACTTTTTAGTTCAAAACCATTTTAGGATTTAGGGGACCATCTTTTTCTTATTTATAATTTAATTACATTCTGGAAATTATACTCATGGTTTTCATGAAATTGACTCTTTGGAATTATATACACTTCTTTTGCAGCCTGGTGCATGTTTTGTTTATATAAAATATTCCATGCATGTCATTTCTTGAATGCAAGGTTCCATATGTGACCTTTAGCTCAAACTTACTAATTGTGGTATTTACCTTACTAATGTTCTTATACTGGATCTGTCAGATTCTAAGACAGCTATATTAAGGTATACCACTATGATTGGCAATTTCCCTTTGTAATTTTAGAATTTTTCCCATTATACTTTGTGAAACTATGCCAGTATATAAAAATAGGTTTACAGTTAAGTTCTTAGTAATTGTTCCTTTTTATTAAATAATATCACTCTTTACTCTGAATAATGCTTTTTGCCTTAAATATATTTCTTTTTTATTATTTTTATTTTATTTTTGAATCAGGGAGTACGTGTGCTGGTTTGTTACATGGATATATTGCATGCTGGGGAAGTTTGGGCTTCTAATGATCTCATTGCCCAGGTAGTGAACATAGTACTCAATAAGCAGGTTTTCAACCCTTGCTGCCTCCCTCCATCTGCTCTTTCAGAGTCCTCAGGGTCTATTGTTCCCTCCTTTATGTCTGTGTGTACCCAATGTTTAGCTCCCACTTGTAAGTGAGACCATACAGTATTTGGTTTTCTGTTTCTGTGTTAATTCACTTAGGACAATGGCCTCCAGCTGTATGCATGTTGCTGTAAAGGACGTAATGTCATTCTTTCTATGGTTGCATAGTATTCCATGTGTATATATACCACATTTTCTTTGTCCAGTTCACTGTTGATGGGCACCTAGGTTGATTCCATGTATTTGCTGTTGTGAATAGTGCTGCGATAAACATGAGTGCGGGTGTGTTTTGGTAGAATGATTTCTTTTCCTTTGGGTATATACCCAGTAATGGGATTGTGGGTCAAACGTTAATTCTATTTTCAGCTTTTTGAGAAATTTCTAAACTGCTTTTCACAGAGGCTGAACTAATTTGTATTCTCAGCAACAGTATGTAAGCATTCTCTTTTCTCCACAACCTTGCCAAAATCTATTTTTTTGACTTTTTAATAATAGCCTTTCTGATTGGTGTAAGATGGTATCTCATTGTGGTTTTGATTTGCATTTCTCTGATGATTAGTCATGTTGAGCATTTTTTCATGTTAGTATGTCTTCTTTAGAGAAGTGTCTATTCATGTTCTTTGCCCACTTTTTAATGGGCTTATTTACATTTTATTGATTTAAGTTCTTTATAGATTCTGAATATTAGTTCTTTGTAAGATGCATAGTTTGCAAATATATTCTCCCATTATGTACATTGTCTGTTCACTCAGTTGATATTTTATTTTGCTATGCAGAAGCTCTTTAGTTTAAATCCCATTTGTCTATTTTTTATTTTGTTGCATTTGCTTTTGGACTCTTCATCATAAATACTTTGCCTAGGCCAATGTCTAGAAGAGTATTTCCTAAGTTTTCTTCTAGGATTTTCATAGTTTGAGGTTTTTCTTCAACCTTGAGTTAATTTTTATATATGGTAAGAAGTAGGGGGTCCAGTTTCATTCTTCTGCATATGGTTAGCCAGTTTTCCCAGCTCATTTATTGAATAGAGTATTCTTTCCACATTATTTTTATTCACTTTGTCAAAGATCAGTTGGTTGTAGGTGTGTGGCTTTATTTCAGGGGTCTCTATTCTGTTCCATGTGTCTACTTTTGTACCAGTACCATGTTGGTTTGGTTACTGTAGTCTTGTAGTATATTTACATGTTGAATAACATGGTGCCTCTGGCTTTGTCCTTTTTTACTAGGATTGCCTTGGCTGTTTGGGCATATTTTTTGTTTCCTATGAATTTTAGAATAGTTTTTTCTAATTCTATGGAAAATGACATTGGTAATTTGATAGGAATAGCATTAAATCTGTAGATTGCTTCGGATAGCATAGTCATTTTAATGATATTGATTCTTCCAACCCATAAGTGTGGGATGTTTTTCCATTTGTTTGTTTCATCCTTTCTTTCGGCAATGTTTTGTAGTTACTCTTATAGAGATTTTTCACTTCCTTGGTTAGATGTGTTCCTCAATATTTTTGTGGCTATTTTAAATGGGATTGCATTCTTTATTTGTTTCTCAGCTTAAACATTATTGGTATACAGAAATGCTACTGATTTTTGTACATTCATTTTATATCATAAGACTTTGTTGAAGTCATTTATCAGATCTAGGAGTCTTTTAGTCAAATCCTTAGGATTCTCTAGGGACAGAATCATATTGTTAGTGAAGAGAGATCATTTGACTTCCTCTTTTCCTGTTTGGATAAATTTCTTTCTCCTGCCTGATTGCTTTGGCTAGGACTTCCAGTACTATATTGAATAGGAGTGGTGAGAGTAGACATCTATGTTTTGTTCCAGTTCTTATGGGGGAATGCTTCCAGCTATTGTCCTTTCAGTATAATGTTGGCTGTGGGTTTGTCATTGATGGCTCTCATTATTTTGAGGTATATTCCTTTGATGCCTAGTTTGTTGAGGATTTTTATCATAAAGGGATGTTGAATTTTATCAAATGCTTTTCCTCGTCTATTGAGGTGATCATATGGTTTTTGATTTTAGTCCTGTTTATGAGGTGAATCACATTTATTGATTTCTATATGTTGAATCATCCTTGCATCCCAAGAATAAGGCTCACTTGATTATGATGAATTAACTTTTTTATATGCTGCTGAATTCAGTTTGTTAGTATTTTGTTGAAGATTTTTGAGTCTATTTTCATCAGGGATATTGGCCTTTGTTTTCTTTTCTTTTTGTGTCTGTGCCAGATATTTGTATCAGGATGATGCTAACTTCATAGAATGAGATAGTGAGGAGTCCCTCCTCCTCAATTTTTTGGAATAGTTTCAGTGGAATTGGTACCAGCTCTTCTTTGTACATCTGGTACAATTTGGTTGTAAAGGGCTTTTTTTTCCGTTAGTTGGTTGGTTGGTAGGTTTTTATTCCTGATTGAACTTCATTACTCATCATTAATCTGTTCAGGATTTTTGTTTTTTTCGGGTTCAATCTTGGGAGGTTGTGTGTTTCCAGGAATTGATCCATTTCTCTAGATTTTTCTAGTTTGTGTGCATAGAGATGCTCATCATAATACCCTCTGAGGATCCTTTATATTTCGGGGGGATCATTTGTGATGTCACTTTTGTTATTTCTGATTATGATTATGGATCTTCTGTATTTTTTTCCTTGTTAATCTAGCTTATGGTCTATCAATCTTGTTTATCCTTTCGAGAAACCAACTTTTTGTTTCATTGATCCTTTGTATGGTTTTTGAGGTCTCAATTTTGTTCATTTCTGCCCTGATTATAGTTCTTTTATTTCTTCTGCTAGTTTGGAGTTTCATTTGTTTTATTTTTCTATTTCCTTTAGGTACAAGGTTAGTTTGTTAATTTGAGACCTTTCTAACTTCTCGATGTCATTTCTAACTTCTCGATGTAGTTTTTCAGTGCTATAAACTCTCCTTTAACACTGCTTTGCTGCATCCCAGAGGTTTTGATACATTCCATGTCTGTTTTCATCTGTTTCAAAAAAGTTTTTTACTTGTGCCTTGATTTCATTGTTTACCCAAAAGTCATTCAGGAGCAATTTGTTTAGTTTCCATGTAATTTTATGGTTTTGAGAGATCTTCTGTGTATTGATTTCTATTTTTATTTCACTGTTGTCTCAGAAGATGCTCAGTATGATATTGATATTTTTGTGTTTATTGAGACTTGCTTTATGACCAAGCATGTGGTCAATTTTAGAGTATGTTCCATATGCAGATAAGAAGAATGGGTATCTTGTGGTTGTTAGGGAGAGTATTCTGTAGATGTCTATTAGGTCCAAATGGTCATGTCGAATTTATGTCCAGAATTGGTCAATTTTCTGCCTCAGTGATCTATCAAATGCTATCAATGGGGTGTTGTGTGTTGTGTGACTATTGTTGTGTACTGCCAAAGTCTTTCATTAAGCCTAGATGTGCTTGTTTTATAAGTCTGGGTACTCCAATGTTGGATACACATATATCTAGGACACTTAAGATGTTTTGTTGAATTGAGCCCCTTATCATTATTTAATGCCCTTCTTTGTCCTTTTTTATTTTTGTTGGTTTAAATTCTGATATAAGAACAGTAACCCTTGCTTTTTTTTGTTTTCCGTTGCGTGACATATCTTTCTCCATCCCTTTACTTTGAGCCTATAGGTGTCATAACATGTGAGATTGGGTCTCTTGATGATAGAAGAAGAATGGGTCTTGTTTTTTCATTCAATTTGATACTCTATGTATTTTAAGTTGAGCATTTAGGCCATTTATGTTCAGTGTTAAAATTGATATATGAGGTTTTGTTGCTGTCATAATGTTGTTAGCTTAGTTGCTTTGTAGTCTTTATTGTATAGTTGCTTTATGGGTACTGTGGGCTATGTGCTTTCATGTGCTTTCATGGTAACAAGCATTATTCTTTTGTTTCCACATTGAGAACTCCCTTAAGCATGCATTGTAGGGCCAGTCTGGTGGTGGAAAATTCCCTTGGTGATTACTTGTTTGGGAAACACTTTATTTCTCCTTCATTTATGAAGCTTAGCATGGAAGGATATGAAATTCTTGGCTGACATTTATTATCTTTAAGAATACTAAAAATAGGCCCCAGTTTCTTCTGACTTGTAAGGTTTGTGCTGAAAAGTCTGTTTTTAGTCTTATAGGTTTCCCTTTATAAGCAACATGACCCTTTTCTCTAGGTGCCTTTAAAGTTCTCTTTCACGTGGACTTGGGTTAGTCCTATCCCTCCTATCCATCCCCAAGTGTGTCTTGGGAATTGTCATCTTGTGTAGCATCTTACAGAAGTTCTCTGGATTTCTTGTATTTGCATGTCGACCTCTCTAGCAAGATTGGGGAAATTTTCCTGAATTATATCCTCAAATATGTTTTCCAAGTTGCTTATTCTCTCTTCTTCTCTCTCATGAATGCCAGTAAGTCATAGGTTTGGTCACTTTACATAATCCCATATTTCTCAAAGGCTTTGTTCATTTTTTAAATTCTTTTTTACTTTTGTCTGACTGGGTCATTTTGACAGATTGGTCTTCAAGTTCTGAAAGTCTTTCTTTTGCCTGGTCTAGTCTGTTGTTAAGGCTTCCATTTGTATTTTGAATTTCCTGATGCGAATTTTTCAATTCCAGGACTTCTGTTGGTTTTGTTCTTAATATAGCTATGTTGTCTTTCATATCTTCTGTTCTGTTCTTAATATAGCTATGTTGTCTTTCATATCTTGGATCATTTTTCTGGCTTCTTTGTGTGGGATTTCAACTTTCTCCTGGATCTCATTGAGTTTCTTTGCATCATATTCTGAATTCTATATCTGTCATTTCAGACATTTCATTCTGGTTAGGATCCATTGCTTGGGAGCTAGTGGGATCCTTTGGAGGTGATGAAACACTCTGTCTTTTTGTATTGCTGGGGTTCTGCACTGGTTACTCCTCATCTGAGAGAGCTGATACTTCTCTTTTTTTTTTTTTTAATTTGGTATCACTTGGTTGGGGCTTCTTGTTTATTCGTTTTTCCCTTGGGGGTATGACTGTGATGTATATTGTGTATGATTAATTGGCTTCATTTCTAGGTGCTTTCAGAGTGCCAACTCTCTGTACAGGTTCCTTGGTTGCAAGTAGGTTCATGCAGTGACTTTCTCAGAGGTTGTTTGTTGTAGCAATGTAATTTTATTTGGTGGCGTAATTCAGGATGCAGTCTAGTAGATGGTGCTTAAGAGTAAGAACTGATGGGTACAAGCAGGGGTGGAAGCACTAGAGAAGTACAAAAAGCACCTCTGCAGAGCACATTCACCCTCAGTAGGGCAGAGCTGCTGGAGAAGCTTGAGACACAGACTCTTTCAACCCGCATTCCCCAGACTCCAAAGTGAAGAGTCACTTCCAAATCCATGACAGGGCACTGAGAAGAAGGGTGGCGGAGCAAGTGTGACCCCCTCTCCATGTCCATTCCCAGGCTTTGGTGGTACCACCTTCAGTGGCTGGCACTGCACCCATGTTTTCTTTTATCCAAGGGGGTCTTTGGTGGGCTGCACTCTCCCCTCCTTTAGGGACAGTCTGCAGCAAGGGTTAGATCTCCAGGGGAGTGGAGTCTGCCTCCCTCCCACGCCTCAGAGCTGGTGGGGCACTGTTCCCCAACTGACCAAGGAAACAGGCTGGGACACCCCGTTATGACCCATGCAGACCAGTTCTAGGTTGCAAAGCTGTCTCTGACTGAAAGTCTTGCCCTCTGGGAAAAACCTCAGCTTCAGCAACTCTCCTCCCACTCCAGTCTTGTGATGGGAGAGAGCGTAATTCCACCACCTACTACTGGGGCACTCTCCACACTCACTGCTCAATTCTGCCTGTGGGGACCCTTCTCCCCTTCCAGAACAAGCACTTTAATCTCACCTAAGACCAAAATGCTTGCTGTGGCCACCGCTGCCAGGTTACCAAACAATGGCTCTAACCTCTCAAAATGGTGTCAGCCATGGGCTTGCACCTAGAGAGTGGGGAGCCCCTCTCAGGCGAGCAGCATGGACGAGAAGCTGTGAGGAGTGTGGTCCACTCAAGTCTCAGTCTCATAGCAGCTCGTAGCAAGGCATTGGACATTGTCCTAGGTATATATAGGAGAGCCTTGGTCCCCTTTCCCTGCTTGGCTGGGTGGCAGCAGCAGTCACATCAGCCCAAACTCAGGCCAAGGATGAGGCACAGCTCAGCACTACATTCTCAAAATGGTGCCTTGGGCCTGAAAACAGGGAGGGCGGATCACTGCCCAGGCAGGCAGCATGATCAAGAAGCTGTGGGGAGTGTGGTTCATTCACATCTGTCTCACAGCAGCCTGCTACAGAGCTGTGAGTATTGTCCTAGGTATGAGTAGGATGACCTGGTCTCCCTGTTCTTCCTTAGCCAAGCAGAGGCTACAGCCACATCAGCCCAAACTAAACAAAGCATGGAGCTCAGCCCAGCATTAAACTCTCAAAAGGGCACCTTGGGCCTGGGGCTAAAGAGGGTGGGGCACCATTCAGGCAAGCAGCATAAGCAGGAAGCTGTGAGAAGTGTGGTCAACTCATATCTCAGTCTCAACAGCAGCTCATAGCAGGGCAGCAAGTACCCTCTAGGGGGTGCATGAGTGTGCCCGTTCTCCCCTCTCCCTCCCTGGAGCAGCACAGTGGCTGCAGCTGTGTCTGTAAATCCCCAGGATCTGGGTTCTCAAAATGGCACCCAGCTGAGGCTGCACCAGGCTCGGATTCCTGTGGGATTGTGTGTGGGTTCCCTTTCTAGAGAAATGTCTCTGTACAATCTTTAGGCAGTTCCATATGTCAGGCACAAGGCCCTAGTGGGTCAAGGGTTTCTCCTGTAGCCAAGATCTTAAAACCCTGTTTTGGAGCTCCAGGGATTTCCCTCTTACTGTTTCCCTGCATCCAGGACCATCTCCCAGCCCAGTCAGTTCCTGGCTGCGCAAGCTAACTTGAACCCTCTCCTTACTTACTTCTGGTACTTCATGTCTCTTCTCTAATGAATCCAAGCATTCTCTCCTAGATTACCTGTTTGAACTGTGAGTATCTGCTTACTATTCTGGCTCTTCTCCATGGAGGCAGCACGCAATACCTGCATCTAGTCAGCCATCCTGACCTAAAACCTCAAAATACATCTTCTAATATTAATATTATTACAGCAAGCCTCTCTTAGTACTCCCACTCTATATATTTCTGCACTCTTTACTTTCCATTTTTTGTGTGTCATCATTATGTTTTTGGTGTATCTTAGTAGGATTTTGTTGTTGTTTTGAGGAACATGAAAGTCTTTCTTTTAACAGACAAATTTTAATTTGATTATATTTATTATGGCTATTGATTTATTTAAGTTCTTCTTGACTGAGGAAGATTTCCATTTGACAATGTCTAGAGACATTTTTGTTTGCCACAACTGGGGTGGTGCTACTGGCGTCTGGTGGGTAGAGACCAGAGATGCTACTACACATCCTACAGTGCTCAGAACAACCCTCCACAACAAATAACTACAGCATCCAAAATGTCAATATTAGTAAAGTTAAGAAACTCTGATCTGTTTGGACTTACATTGGTCATCTTTATTTTGGGCATATTTTTCTGCCAGCTTTTTCTTTGCTTCCTTTTTTCTTCTTTCTTCTTCCTTCTTCCTTTCTTTATATCCTTTATTTCTCCTCTCCTTCCTTTCTTCTTCAGTTGCATCATCCACACTCTTTATTTTCCCCTCTACTGATTTGAAATTCTATTTTTATTTTTTGGTAATTACTCTTATACTTCTAATATGAATATTTATTTAACTAAGTAAACCCATTAAGTGTGGTGGTTTAAAGTCTACATTAACCAGAATTTCTAAGATCCTAATAGATTTATTGGATTTCTAAATGAAGACTAGGGGGAGAAAAAGCTGTTCAATAAATGCATTAACTTATTGAAAAGTGCATTCCCCCCTAGTCTTTTGTCCCCCACTAGTAAAAATTGTTTCTATGTTATGCACCAGTTAAATGAGACAGCTAGAGGTAGAGATAGAACACAAAAAGAAAAATACTCATAGAAGAAACCCAGAGATGGACAGTTAGGGACAGACCCAAAGCAGAAAGGGCTAGATGGAGCCTCATCTACACAGAGGCAAAGGAAGAGGGAAGGTGTGGAGGTTGAAAAGCAAAGTAATTATAGGGACAACTCATAATTTTTTCATAGAAAGCACCATGTGTTATCCATATCTTTGAGACTAAAATTGCAACAATTTAAAAAAACTTTCCTGTTTTTATGTGTTAGATTTCAAGGTTTGTTCCAGAAATGCTACAGACTTATGAAGGTTTGTACATAGTTTGATAGGTGGCTGGTATTCTAAAAGTGAGCTTTAGATATTTACAAGTGATGTCTAATTCCATTGTCAATCTTACCTTCAGAAACTTCCTAATTGCCTTAATCTTTTGTCTTTCTTGATTTCTAAGTGCTTCGTGTCCTATTGGGAGTTATTTAAAATATACATTATTAAGCTAGGTGTGGTGGCTCATGCCTGTAATCCTAGCACTTTTGGAGGCTGAGGCGAGTGGATTGCCTGAGCTCAGGAGTTGGAGACCAGCCTGGCCAACATGGTGAAATCCCATCTCTACTAAAATACAAAAAATTAGCCTGGTGTGGTGGTGTGCACCTGTAGTCCCAGCTATTCAGGAGGCTGAGGCTGGAGAATTGCTTGAACCTGGGAGGCAAAGGTTGCAGTGAGCCGAGAACACGCCACTGCACTCTTGCCTGGGCAACAGAGCAAGAATCTGTCTCCAAATGAATAAATAAATAATGCATTATTAGATACCATCTTCTAATGCATATTTTATACATTATTTTCTCCCATCATTTCCTGGAGTCCTAATGATTACACAATAAATAATGAGAACCTCACTGGAAAAGGAGTCCTTTTGCAATACATGGTTCTGCTACCTGGTCTTCAGAATAATGCAGACACCTTTAACTAAAGAGTATTGTGACATGGTATGCTTTGTCGTCTCATACCTTGTAATTGTCTATATTCCATATATAAATTATAAATCTTGCAAAGATGAACACTACCCCAAGGCCATGGTCAGAAGTGTCACTAAATTTTTGTGTCACTAGCTTTCTGATTGCTATGATTAAGCCCCCAGAGGAGAGCCCCTGCAGACAAGCTAGAGAAAGTTGCTTTCTAGCCTGAAATGCAAGCCAACAATTGTGCCTAACGGCCAACCCAAGAAACCTGTTTCCTTACTGGAGAACACACTAGTTATTTTGGCTTTCTGAAAGGCTTATACCATATGCATTCTGTACCTACAGAAATGTCAGTGCGAATTCTTAGTACATGTTATAACCATTGTAAGAACTAACTGTGATCCTAACTTTCATACAAGATACAAATCCATTTCTTATAAATATTCTATAGCCAGGGAGCAGGGGATGATGTATCGTTTATTAGGGCATAATGTAAATATGTCAACGTATTCAGCTATTATTTATAGTGTTTGAATTACATATGCTAGAATTTTCAGTTTACTTCATTTATCATAGACTGATTTTATTTTTTTCTTGCTTTTTCTTCTACCTCTAACAGTTATTATTTGACATATTTTTATGCTATTTTCTGGCTCACCTGGGTTCATTTTATTATGTTTTTATTATGGATTTGTTATTTTTATTAATATAAGAACCTACTTTGTCCCATTTAATTATGTTTGCTTTGAATTCTAGTTAATATTACCCTTATCACTTCAATCTTCTTTTTGCTCACATTTGCTTAAGTATCTCTATGCATCCTTTTATTTTTAACCTTCCTAATATTTTGTTTTGTTTTTGTTTTTTGTAAGTGGTTTGCTGCTATTTTCTGATTACATTTTAAATTCTTTACTTTTTGATTAGGTTGGGTAGCAGGGGAGACTGATGTATTTATAGTATACTTGTGGTTAAAACTGATAGTAAATATAGAGATATTTTTAAATTACCAAACATTATTTAATTTCAAAGCCAAAACAAATCTAATTAAATTATCTTTTTTAAATTGTATTTCCAGGATCTTTTGAGACTTATATTAACCCACAGAAATGGGAAGGCTATTCTAAAATGAAACACGAAGATAAACACATGAGACAGGAAAAGGAGGCAGCACACCAAGATCCATGGAGTGCAGGATTGAGTTCTTTCCATAAGCTAATTCTTATTAAATGTTGTAAAGAAGAAAAGGTAGGGCATTTTTTTAATTAAAGGACTGTGTTACAATTATTTCTACTAAAGCTCACTAGCCAGTTATGATTTATAAATTTATTTGAGAGTAACAATGGCCAAGTTTGGGAGATGACTCAAAAAAATGAAACATGGGCCGAGCGCCGTGGCTCACGCCTGTAATCCCAGCACTTTGGGAGACCGAGGCAGGTGGATCACGGGGTCAGGAGATCGCGACCATCGTGGCTAACACGGTGAAACCGCGTCTCTACTAAAAATACAAAATAATTATCCGGGCATGGTGGCAGGCGCCTGTAGTCCCAGCTACATGGGAGGCTAAGGCAGGAGAATGGCATGAACCCAGGAGGCAGAGCTTGCAGTGAGCCGAGATCGCGCCACTGCACTCCAGCCTGGGCAACAGAGCGAGACACTGTCTCAAAAAAAAAAAAAAAAAAAGAAACATGGTTCTGTGTTATTACTAGAACATAATGTTTTATGTAGAGAATTATGAAAGAGAGCCAGCCAGGGCCATGGTTATCCTTTCCCTGGTGTGTGCCATTAGAGTACCGTGCTCTCTGCTGGAGGGATGGAGTCTGTTGGGAAGCTTTAGAAGGGAAGTAATGGGCCTTTCAGATCTTGACAACAATGGAGAGGAGACATTTGAAGGGTACAAAGCCATAGTTACCAGGACCTGTTTGAAGATGAAAGAAGTTATGACAGTCTGAATTAAGACAGAGGTAGTAGATTAGAGAGATGAAGGGGGGCATGGAGATGAGGCAACTGATATGGCCCCCAGTTTCTGTTTGCATGCCAAAGGGGATAGTTGTGCCAACAACTAAGCAAATGAGAAAGGAGTAATGTGTGAGAGAGAGATGCTATTGATTCTACAGCTATCAGAGTGGTTAGCAGTCTGAAAGTCAGCTCATATGGAAGTAGGAAACTGTAGAGAGATATATGAATTAGAAATAGAGATTTGGGAATCAGCATTCATTTGGAAAGTAAAACTATGGGAGTTGTTAGGATCGTAGAGGAATAAGACATAATAGAATAAGAGGAAAGATGGGCAAAAAGTGAAGCTCTGATTGCCACCAACTTTTAAAAGGCAGAGAGAAAGGATAAGGAGCCCATGAGAAGAAATAGCAGAGGGTCAGGAAAAGCTCTAGGAGAAAAAAAAAGTGTCATGGAAGCCAAGGAGGTGCAAGTTTCAACACAGCACAAGTTATCAACAGAATGAATGAAGCATTCATGGCAGTTCCAGTTTCTATGCATTTAGATATAATTCCTAATTTTATTGTTAATAAGGGTATAATATTATCTGCTAAGGATTTGATTGGTGAGTTTCAGGAAGCATTAGAGAAAAATGGAGATTGTTCCTTTGGGAAAAGGGAGAAAAAACTAACTGGAAAAGATGAAAGCATATTTGGGAGGTGTTGATGCTATGTTGTAGGATTTTCTGCTATCTGTGTATGTTAGTCTGCTTTGCATTGCTATAAAGGAATGCCTGAGGCTGGGTAATTTATAAAGAAAGGAGGTTTATTTGGCTCACAGTTCTGCGGCTGTACAAGCATGACACCAGCATTTTCTTGGCTTCTGGTGAGGCTTCAGGAAGCTTTTACATATGGTGAAAGGCAAAGGGGGAGCAGGCACATCACATGGTGAGAGAGGAAGCAAGAAAGAGGGGAGGGAGACACCAGACTGTTTTAAACGTCTATCTCTTATGTGAGCTACTAGAGCAAGAATTCACTCATTTCTATGGAGAGGGCACCAAGCAATTTATGAGGGATCCATCTCCATGACTCAAACACCTCCCACTAATCCCTACTTTCAATATTGGGGATCACATTTCGACATGAGATTTGGAGGGGACAAACATCCAAACTATATTATTCCACTCCTGGCCCCCAAAATCTCATGTCCTTCTCATATTACAAAATACAATCATGCATTCCCAACAGTCCTCAAAAGTCTTAACTCATCCCAGTGCTAACTCAAAGTTTCAAAGTCCAAAGTCTCATCTAAGACCCAAGGCAAGTTCCTTCCACCTACGAACCCATGAGATCAAAAACAAGTTATTTACTTCCAAGACACAATGATGGTTTGGGCATTGGGTAAACATTCCTATTCCAAAAGGGAGAAATCAGCCAAAAGGAAAGGGCAACAGGCTCCATGCAAGTCTGAAACCCAGTAGGGAAGACACTAAATCTTAAAGCTCCAGAATAATCCTTGACACCATGTCCTGCATCCTGAGCATACCGGTGCAAAGTGTGGGCTCCCAAGGCCTTAGTAAGCCCTGTCCCCATGGCCTTTTGGGGAGCTGTCCATGTTGACTGCCCTGCTGGGTTGTAGTTGAATGCTTATGGCTTTCCCAGACTGAGGGTGCGCACTGCCAATATCTCTACCATTCTCACAGCTCCACTAGGCAGCACCCTGGTGGGGACTCTGTGTGGGGGCTCTAACCCCACATTTTCCGTTGACACTACTCTAGTAGGGTCTCTCTATGGGGATCCCACCCCTACAGCAGGCTTCTTCCTGGACACCCAGGCTTTCCAATACATCCAATACATTTTTCCAATATAAAATCTAGGTGGATGCTGCCAAGCCTCCTTCACTCTTGCATTCTGCCCAACTGCAGGCTTAACATCACATGGAAGCCACCAAGGCTTATGGATTTTGCCCTCCAGAATAGCAGCCCAAGCTGTACCTGGAGCCCTCTGAGCCAAGGGTAGAGTTGGAGATATTGGGATTTGGGGAGCAGCTTCCATAGGTGGCTCAGGACAGCGACGCCCAAGGCTTGTCTACTGAAACTATTCTTGCCTCCCAGGGCTCTGGACCTGCAATGGAAGGGACTACCTGGAAGATTTCTGAAATGCCTTTGAAGTCTTTTTTCCCCCTGCCTTGAATGGTAGCACCTGGCTCCCATTTAGTCATGCTAATCTCTCTAGCAAGTGGTTGTTCTGCAGGCCTCTTAGAATCCTTTCCTGAAAATGCTCTTTCCTTCCCTACCACATAAGCACGCTACAAATTTTCCAAATTTTTACCCTCAGTTTCCCTTTTAATTATAAGTCGCAACTTTAAGTCATTTCTTTCCTTCCATATCTGATTGTAGGCTGTTAGAAGGAGCTATGGCACTTATTGACCACTTTGTGGTGAAAAAATTAGATTATGAAAAATTTGAAATTTCTTCCACCAGATAACCTAGGTCATCACTCTTAAATTCAACCTTCCACAAACCCCTAGTGCATGGACACAATACAGCCAAGTCCTTTGCTAAGGCATAACAAGGGTGACCTTTGTTCCAGTTCCCAGTAAGTTCCTTATTTCCATCTGAGACTTTATCAGCCTGGCTTTCACTGTTCATATTTCTGTCAGCATTTGGTCACAACTTAGACAGTCTCTAGGAAGTCCCAAACTTTCCCTCATCTTCCTGTCTTCTGAGCCCTCCAAACTCTTCCAGTATCTTCTCATTACTCAGTTCAAAGCTGCTTACACATTTTCTGGTATCTTTGTAGCAATGCCCCATTCCTCAGTACCAACTTTCTGTATTGGTCCATTTTGCATTGCTATTTAGAAATACCTGAGGCTGGATAATTTATAAAGAAAAGAAGTCCATTGGGCTCACAGTTCTGCAAGCTGTACAAGTATGGCAGCAACATCTTCTTGGCTTCTGGTGAGGCCTCAGGAATCTTTTACATATGGTGAAAGGCAAAGGGGGAGCAAACATGTCACACGGTGTGAGAGAGAGCAAGAAAGAGGGGAGAGAGGCACCAGACTCTTTTAAACAACTAGCTCTTATATGAACTAATAGAGTGAGAACTCACTCATTTCTGTGGGGAGAGCACCAAGCCATTCATGAGGGATCCACCTCCATGACCCAAACACCGCCCACTAGGCCCCACCTCCAGTATTGGGAATCATATTTCAACATGAGATTTGGAGGGGACAAACATTCAAACTCTGTCATTCTGTAGGAAGACAGAAAATAAGTTATGTGGTTGACCTTAAATACAGATGATTATAATAAAAGAATAGAGAATGCAAGACCATTGAGAGTGTTGGTAAGAGTAGTTATAGGAAAAAGAAGAGATATAGAAAGGGCTTATAGACTGGGAGAAAAGGAACAAGTAGGTGGAAATTTCTTTGAGAAATGATGTAGTTAGACTAGGGATGTGGCACAGCTGGAAAGATGGGAGAGGTTATAATCAAAATTGAGCTTAAAATTTCTAATGGGGAGCAGTTCCAAGTGATGACAATGTTCTGAGGTTGACCATGGGTATGGGTGACTGTGAAAGAGATAGGATGTGCACTGAAGTTAGAAGCCAAGGAACTGCAAGGTTAGGCTGTTGGATGTCCACATGAACCCTGAACCTGGGTTGTGTCACCTCAGATGGTGCCTGGGATGCAGTAGATAAATCAGTAACACTTTGTTCAATGGAACAGACATGTAATAGAAAAGAAGGCTGGCTGTGATCCAGGTGGAAAGTCTCCAGTGAATATGGACAATAGCTACCAGGTTGGATGGTGAAAACATGAGAGGATGACTAGATGCCATGAGTCAAAAAAAGGAATTTTCCAAATAAAGACATTGAAGCTAGAAAATTATAGACTATGAAAATTTTTGCAAGTCATACAATCTGATTTCTTTAACAACACGTTTTGTTTGTTTGCTTTTCAAAGGTAAATAGGAGATGATGAAGTTTA